>NC_000010.11:95143095-95446125 GCF_000001405.40 Homo sapiens | reverse complement strand
CTGTGACACTGCATAGGTTCCTGCAACTCACTAGGGGAATTTACTGCCCACTTGCAGTTGTGTCATTTTGCCACTAGATGGTACACTGTTGGTCCTTTTGGCTTTTACCCAAAGGTGCCTGGCTCATTTGGAGGGGACTTGTAAGAGGCATTCCAAAGACGTGCCATCATGTACTCAACCAAATCAGGCTCTTTACAGCTTAGTTTTTAAATAAATATTAAGTGTTAGAGGTTTTTATGTAAAATAAACTCTCAAGTTCTCATCTGATTGTAATGGCCCATATTATCTCTAAATAAACAGCAGGGACTAGACTATGATTTTCAAAGCTTTCAGTGTTCCGGTCAAGCTCAATTTGTGTAGTTTCATGGATGCGTCCTCACTGCCCAGGCTCTGAGCACTTAAGGTTGTAGAGACACAACCACTGCCGAGCCACTTGGGATTCAGATCTGGTCAGCCTCATGTCAGGAGAGAGGAATGAAGATTCTCCTCTTCAGATGAAACCTTGGGGACTTCTCCCTCCCATCTTCTGCTGGTCAAGGTTCTTGGGTGGCAGATAACCAGAAACCACCTCTGGTGAACTCAAACTGAAGAGGGATTTATTGGCAAGATCTTGGGTAGTTCACGGAGTTTATGGAAGGTTGGAGAACTGCACTCAGAACTGGGGCAGGAATTCCAGGAGGCTGAGCTGGCTGGGATCAGAGCCAGAATCAGGCCCTGGAATAGTCTGGATAGGACGTTGCTGCTGTTGCCACAACAGGGGAGGACTGGATGCAGGGCACTGTCCTTGGCACTGCTGCCGTTGCTGCAGTTCCTTTTCTTCAGTCAGCCCATTCATCCTCAGCACTTTTAATTTTATTTTAAACTATCCCTTGTTTGTTAGTATCACCTGCTGCAGATTTAATCACCAGAGTGAGAACACACAACAGAACCTGCTACTCAAAAAGTCCTCGTGTGCAAGAGCTGGTACTCACCTGTGCATTGTCATTGTCACGTACTATCGTCATACTAGCTCTTAAAATATCAAAGTAGTCTCTTAACACCCAGGGTCCATTCTCCTTCTACCCTCTCAGCATCCAGCCATTAAATGGTTAATAGCAGGCACAGGGAGGGGCCTCCCAGAGAGTGCTACAACTGGTGTCTGCTCCAGTTGGTAGACATTTGTGGCAAAATGATGGTTAAATATTTTGAAGATTATCCCTGACTGTGTCTATTTTAGGTTAGTTTGTAAGTAAGGGGGCTGACACTTAGAAGTTAGTAGTTTCTATATTGAGAAATGTGAAATGTGCAAAGGGCTACCCGCATATGACGGTGATTACTTATCATGTATGAGTTGAGGTATCCTTTTTGTTTGGTTCACAAGACATCTCCATTCATTTCTTCTCCAGCCTAAGAATGCTGTGTGCTTTGTACTTGTTTTTTAAATTAAGACGAATTAAACTATACAAAGGGAATTGGTAAATGGATTATGGAGTGTTATTACAATGAAATACAGCCATTAAAATGATGGATATGCTGACTATATAGAATCCCAGAAAAATGTTCATGAAATACTTGATTTAAAAATTAGAACACAAAGCTGTCCAGATATTATGTTTACAATAATGTACTTGCTATTTATGTATCTAAAGGCTAGAAAAAACTTATAAAAGAATGAAAATAGTTTCAGTTAAGATAGCTTCACAGTGGAAACAAAAAGATTTCTTCAATAATGCTTTAAAAATTGAGGAAAGGCCAGGTGCAGTAGCTCACACCTATAATCCCTGCACTTTCAGAGACTGAGGCAGGAGGATCGCTTGAGGCCAGGAGTTGAGGCCAGCCTGGGCAATAGAGAGACCCCATCTCCACAAAATAAAAATTTTAAAAATTAGCCAGGTGTGGTGGTGCATGACTGGTCCCAGCTACTTGGGAGGCTGAGGTGGGAGGATCGCTTGAGCCCAGGAGGTTGAGGCTGCAGTGAGCCGTGATCACACCAGTGCACTCAAGCCTGGGTGATAGTGCAAGACCCTGTCTCAAAAACAAAAACAAAAATAAAAATAAAAATAAGGAATAAAAACCTTAATACAATTGCTCATGAAAATTATTTATAAAATAAAAGCATTTGGATGCTATCACAACAACACTTTTGATCCTGGGAGGCAAACTAAGGTATCAAAAACTTAGGACTGGAAAACATGAGGACATACAGATAACAGCAGGTTGTGTGTTTCTCGATTGAAAGAACAAATGTTTCCACAGCTTAGAGAACCATCTGTGGGGACAGCTATTGAAGGTCATAGATAGTCTCAGATGTATTTGACAGTGACAGAGGCAAAGTTCCTGCTGATTTGGGCTGCAGAGATGGACTTTGAATGATTTCCTCTTCATCCCTAGCATTCTACTCTCTTAATTACAAGGACAGTAAGGCAAAGCAACCATCCAGAAAGGAAACCAGTGTCCAACTTCAGCTTTTTTAAAAGAAAAAGCTAAAGCATGTCTCCTTTTGCAGACCTTCATACCATATCTTCATATCCCTATTACAGAATTCGTGAACCGGGGTTTTTCTCTGTATCATTGCTTCTCACACCTTAAAATGCAAAGGGAGCACCTGGGATTTTGTTAAAATGCCCATTCTGATTCAGTAGGTACAGGAGTCTGAGCTTCTGCATTTTCTTTCCTTTTATTTTTTGGAGTTGGAGTCTCGCTCTGTCACCCAGGCTGGAGTGCAGTGGCACACACGAACTTGGCTCACTGCAACTTCTGCCTCCCAGGTTCAAGCAATTCTCCTGCCTCAGCCTCCCGAGTAGCTAGGATTACAGGCACCCACCACCACACCCGGCTGCTTTTTGTATTTTAGTAGAGACAGGGTTTCACCATGTTGGCCAGGGTGGTCTCAAACTCCTGACCTCAGGTGATCCGCCCATCTTGGCCTTCCAAAGTGCTGGAATTACAGGTGTGACTCACCACACCCGGCCGCTTCTACGTTTTCAGTAAGCTCCCAGCTAATGTGAATGCTGCTGGCCTGTGGACCACACTTGAAATATCAAGGTTCTACATATCCCGAGGACTTGTTTTTCAGATTGTGTGACCTTCAGATGTGTTCAGTAAGACCTTATTAGTCGAGGTATGTACAAGACTTGTACTTTGAAAAAACTATAAAACATTACCAAGAGAAATTAAAGAAGTCCTGGAAAAAGGGAGAGATAGGTCATACTCATGAACTGGAAGACTCAATATTGTTAAAAATGTTAGTTTTCCACAGATTGATCTATAGATTCAACATGATTCCAGTCAAAATCTCAACAGACTTTTTTAGGTAGAAATTGTTAAGGTGGTTTTAAACTTTATATGAAAATGCAAAGGATCTAAAATAGCCAAAATGATTTTGGAAAAAAACTCAAGTTGGAAGACTCACTGTATTAGGCCATTCTTGCACAGCTATAAAGAAATACCAGAGACTGGGTCATTTATAAAGAAAAGGGGTTTAATTGGCTCACAGTTCTGTAAGCTAACTGTACAGGAAGCATCTGCTTGGCTTCTGGGGAGCCTCAGGAAGCTTCCCATCATGGTGGAAGGCGAAGGGGGAGCAGGCGTGTCACACGACAAGAGCATAAGTAAGGGTGCGGGGGGGGGGTGCCACATACTTTTAAATGACCAGGTCTTGTGAGAACTCGCTATTGCAGAGATAGCACCAGGCCATGAGATATCCACCCCCATGATCCAAACACCTCCCACCACGCCCACCTCCAACATCGGGGATTGCATTTTAATGTGAGATTTGGGCAGGGACAAATATCTAAACTCTATCACTCATATTACCTGATTTCAAGGCTATGTAAAACTACAGTAATCAAGACAGTGAGTTATCAGATAAAGACAGCTCACTGAAACAGAAAAGAGTCCAGAAATTGACCCAGCCATATCTAACCAGTTGCTTTTCAGAAGTGTTATGCTAAACGAGAGAAGCCAGACACAAAGGATTACCTGTACTATGATACCATTTATATAAAATCCTGGAAAAGGTAAAACAATAGTAACAGAAAGCAGATCAGTCGTTAACAGGGACCTGAGATGGTACTTGGCTGTAGAGATACACATGGGAACTTTTTGGGGTGATGGAAAGGCTGTATATTGTGATTGCGGTGGTGGTTATAGGATGTATATATTTGTCAAAACTCATCGAATTGTACAATTAAAATGGATATTTTTGGTTATATGCAAACTATAACTCAATAAAAGATCTGGATATATATTAGGGCATTGTCAGTATAATTTCAGCTTTCTTTGAGACCCTACTAAATTAAGGGGTTATCCATTTGAACATCAGGGATTGGTTCCCACCTCCAGGTGGTAGAGCACAGTGCATAGGAACTTGGGCCAGAAAGTCAGGCTGTCTGGGTTCCAGTATCAGCTCCTCCACTGCAGCAAGCACACAGCTTCACCTGTCTGTGTCTCGGTTTCCTCATCTGTGTAACTAACCTGACATTAGTGGTTACCTCCTAGGGTTGTGAGGGTCAAATGCGTTAATATATTCAAAGCATTTAGAACATTTCCTTGTGCATAGTAAGCTATATATAAGCATTCAGTATGATCAGTAAGTTCTCAAATCAGTTTGTGTTGTGATTTTACCTCTTTCTCCTAAAATGTGTTTTTTCCCCTTTCCTTTACCCTCTCTTTAAACCACGTGCACTCGTGTAGCTTGAGGTTTTTAATAGAATGTTTGAAAGGGATGTCGGATAACATCAGCACCAAATATGGGCAACAAAACTGAAACCAGTGAGGTTGAGTGATGTGCCCAAGGTCACAATAATATGTGGGTGACCACAAACCAGAAGCCTGGCCAGGTGACTCCTGGTTCAGCTCTGTTTTATCAAGGGTTACAGTGTTTGCATTTTTAATACTAACCATTGGGATTTATCGCGAACCTGCCATTCATCAATTGCATTGTGTGGTGTTTGTTTTTCTACAGAGCAGTTCAGAGCCCCAGTTGCAGACGACTTGTCCTGCCACCACCATGAGTTCTGGTAAGTCATTTTAAACTCATCTTTCTCTTATCTACCAAACTGGGCAGTTTACCCAGATTTCCCACGCACCCTGAAGGCCCCACTCTGGCATTTTATTTTTTATTTTTTGCCACCTGGGTGAATGCCAAAGCTTTGTCATAAGTTGTCATCATCACTCTCATCACCTTCATGGTTAATGATTTTTTGAGTGCCTACTACTATTGCCAAAGAACTGTGCTATACACTTTACATGCACATTAGCCCTCTCTTTATTGAGATGTAACTGGCATACTATAAACCACAGATATTTTTAGTATACAATTTGATAAAATTTGACATATGTGTTACACCTTCATGGCATTTCTTAATCTGGGTGACTGCAGCAAAAGTAAACTGATTGGCCATAATTGCCCAAGGATGTGAACTAATCTAATGCTTCCTTCATCTAGGCTAGTAGAGTAGTTTGCTCCCTCTTTTGCTTTGCCTTTGGTAGTAAAAGTCAAGACCTAAAGAAATAATCAGTTTTGAGTATTTTTAGTTTTGAGCTGAGGTAGAAAACGTGGGTTAGGGAAGACAGAGATGGGAACAGATCCCTGCTCATCATGCAGCTAAGAGCTGTCAGCTTTCCAACCCAGAATTGGAGCAGAGAAGTTTCCATCTGGAGATTCAGCCCCACCTAGGCTACTGAGCATGCCCTGGACCCTCCTGAGACCTGCAGGTGGGGCAGGCTGTGGGGTGGGAAGATGATCATGTGGATATCTCATTCCGGAGTCTCCCAATCCTGCCGTATTTCGTGAGTGTTGTCAGTGACCTCTGTGGATTAAAAATCACCCTTTTCCATTTATTTGCATACAATGCCGTTTTAGGCAAGTTCTGAGTAGGACAGTATGTAGTTCAGACCTAGGAAGGCTCTGGGCTGGAATAGCTGAGGCCCACACCCTGACCTCAGTGTTTACTGGCTGCATAGCCTTGGGCCTGTGGTGGACCCTTCTCCTCTGCAAAATGGACATAATAAAAACACCAGTTCATTGGGATTTAGTGAGGATTAAGTGAGGCAATGCTTTTATTTATTTATTTTTGAGACAGAGTCTCGATCTGTCACCCAAGCTAGAGTGCAGTGGCGTGATCTTGGCTCACTCCAATCTCTGCCTCCTGAGTTCAAGTGATTCTCCTGCCTCAGCCTCCCGAGTAGCTGAGATTACAGGTGCCCATCACCACGCCTGGCTAATATTTTTGTATTTTTAATAGAGACGGGGTTTCACCATGTTGACCATGTTGACCAGGTCTCGAACTCCTGACCTCAGGTGATCCGCCCCTCTCCGCCACCGTGCCTAGCTAGCCTAAGGCAGTGCTTTTAAAGTGCTGAGCTCTGTGTCCAAGGCATAGCAAGTGCTTCATCTTTGGGCTCTTACTGTTATGAGCTGAGTTCCTCCCTGCAAAGCCAGGGACTTGGCTTCTCAGCAATTCCTTGAGTGCTTTTGCTGTGTGCGAAGAGGCCGTGCACCTTTTCCCCTCTAAGCAGGCTCGGGTACTGCCAGTAGCTCCTGCTTCGTAACTCATTTTTTGTTGTCTCCTTGGCTTTTTGCTTTTGTTGTCATTTAAAATAGGCCATGATGTTTTGCTTTATTTTGTTTTTAACTTTTTCTCTGTAGCCTAAAGCTACTTTCTCGTCCAGTGGCAGAACTGGCCTCACTTTGCTTTACTACTCTTGGCATCAAGGGCCAGAGAAGGAGGAAGGGAGGGGCCTGGAAGAAGGGTATGGGTGTGGAAAAGCCCAGGAGACTGCTCCCCAGAATCTCTCTCTCAGGTGGGGGGTTGGAAGGAGGCGTTGCCTAGGAAGAGTTCAGAAATTCTGGAGCCTTTGACCTGATGATCCCACTCTTGGGAATTTCTATCTTAATTCCAAGGAAACAAAAATATCACCTACATGAAGGGGGGGTATGAGTAAGTACGTTATGTGTATTTACTTGATGGAATATTATGCCGCTGTTAAAATGGTCATTAGGAGAAAAGCAGCTACATGGGAAATATTTGTTTTAATCACTGGTGGAAAGAGCAGTGTAAAAATGGTGGATTCTTTTAATTCCAAGTTTGGGCTGGGCTACCAGTCACTGGGGGAAGTGCTTTACCTGTGTGATATTGTTACATTCTCCTGGAAAACCCTCACAGGTGGGGCGTGGTTTGCCACCCTCATTACACAGATGGAAAAACTGAGGCCCTGAGGGGTTAATAATATGGCTGGGATCACTCAGCTAGTGTGTACTGTTGCTGAATCAAACTCAGGAAGCTGGACAGCAACATTGTGCTGCAGAGGTTTGAGTTTCAGGAGATGGAGTTACTAATTTTTAAATACCTTTCCAAAATTTCTTCAAGTTTGGTTGTTACATTTAATTAAAAGAAAGGAAGAACATGGGGCTGGGCCTGCTGGTAGCTCAGAGGCTGCCCCACACTAGCCTGGGGAGGCCTGGAGCAAGGCCTACAGTCACAGAAGGAACTAGAGCAGGTACTTGGATTTCTGGCCTTCTCACCAGCACCCTTCTTCCACCCATCTCAGAAATCAGAGCTCAAGGGAGACTCAGACATCTAGGAGAATTAGCCTTCACCTATAGGTGGGTGTGGGCAATTAACAGGTCACAGCCTGTGGGGCCAGCATGCGGAAGCCCAGGCACCAGGTGGGGCAGTGGCCCTGCTCATGTGTGGCCCACAGGCAGCATCCAGACTGGCCTGTCAGTGTGGTTTATAGCAGGCGACCCCCCTTTTGGAAGGCTGATTGTTAAGGGCCTAGGTAAGGTGACTTAGTCTCAGCCTAATGAATTACAGGGGTGTGGGACTAAGCTTCAGTCCCAGCATTTGGAGAAATAGAATATATATATGTATCAGGAAACCCAAATGTTTATCCCATTTGGGGAGGAAGAAGATGAGCTGTGAGATGGGCAGACCAGAGTTCAAATTTCAGCCTAGTGATCTTGGGCAGGCCTGGAATCCTCTCTGCCTCAGTTTTCTTATCTATAAAATAGGCATTCCTAACTCCTAGTTCTGGAGGTCTGGGTCTTCAGGATAAAATGAGGTGCTAATTATGGAATGCTAAGCATGGATCCTCACACCAGGCAAGTCAGTGTTTAAAAACCCATAGCTAGTCATGATTATGTTTGTAGCTTGGTTAACTCTGGGCTTGGAGGGGTTCCTCCAAGCACACATGTCCCAGGGCGACAGGGCCTGCCGGCCTTCCTTCCTTGGCGTGCCTTTATCTATTTTGGGATGGGGACCTGGGCGGGGCTTAGGCTACAGGGGAGCAGGGAGGATCTTAGCTTCTGTAACTGAGCAGAACTCAGGAAAGTCTCAGCCAACACAGAGGACATGACATCCGAGGGGAGCTCCAGGGATGCGTGGAATTTCCATCAGGTGAGAAGGGAGGAGGAGGCATTCTCGGCAGAGGGCCTCATAGGAACCAAGGCCTAGAGGTCTGAAAGTATCTGGGCAGGACCCCTCTGCTTCCTCCTGATTGTGACCCCAGCACCTCCTGCCACACAGGACTCAGTAAGTGCTGGGGCAGCTTACTCACAAACCTCATGCTCTCTTTCTTTCTTGCAGAATGTGATGGTGGTTCCAAAGCTGTGATGAATGGCTTGGCACCTGGCAGCAATGGGCAAGACAAAGGTAAGGTTCTTGGAGAGAAATCTGGATTGGTACTGGAAGGCATTTCTAAAGGTGCGGAGTATGTCAGGCCGGGGCCATCCCATCTGCCTGGTGCAAACATCATTGGCCTAACCAAGCCATAAACTGGTGACCTGTTCCCTACACTGATTTTCTGAGACCTGGAGCCTGTTGTTGCATTTCGGGAGTCTGAGGCTGCCATTTTCCCACTGTGAGGTATTAAAAACTTTCCCTAGCTCACAAGGATGCTGTGAATGACAGATCAGATACGAGGACCAAGGCGTATTTCATGCCTGGTACAGATGGCATTTATCAGCCTGAAATATCCCTTGCTCAGCCTTTTACCTTCACCTGTAATAAACAGTGATGTGTTCACAGTCCTGTCCCTAAGGCAAGAGCCTAAATCATTAAAATAAATTATTTCAGTGGCATTAATTTAATGCACATCCTCTCATAGTTTCAGTTTTTAAAATTTTTAGGATAAAAGATTTAAATGTGAAATGAATGATGGATGCGATGACCTTTGAGGTCCTGCTTAGCCTGGAGACTTTCATCCTGACCTCAGTGTGGCTGCACAGATAGCCTGGCTACGGGGCTCGCGGTGCCACTTTTATTGTGTTGTGTGATGGATGCTGAAGCTGGAGTGACAAGGCATGGGTTCAAGTCCCAGCTCTGCCACTCATGAACAGGACATCTTGAGAGGCCCTTTATCTTTGTGGGTGTGGGTTCCCTTATCTATAAGATGAGGGAATTTATGATCTGCCGTATTTATTTCTGCTTCAAATTCAGAATTGGAATGAACGCTCATCCCAGTAAATTTTCTGGTAACCAAGAGGAAGGGCCAGAATCCTTGCATTGGGCATTTAAGTCAAGATGCATCTCAAAGAATAATTCCAAACAATTTGGCATTTTGATCTTTGTAATTTCCATCTGGGTCAACAAAGTGTTCCTTTTAAGACAAGGCAAAGTGTGAAAGGAACCAGCCGTAGAGGGTATGTCCAGAGACTAGGAGGGGCTGGGGTACAGGGCCCAGGTGGTGTGGGGGTGGGTTCCTTGGTGGCCAGAGGGGACCTGCCATGCTCCTGTTCTTGCCTCCCTGCCTGGTCGCCCCTCTGCACCCACGGTGTGGGGCCCTGGACAGTCTCGACCAAGTTGCACTTAGGGAACTCTGAGGGGCAGTGCCTGTGGAGTGGCTGTAGGCATGTGTTTAGCATCCAGTGAGGAGCATGGGGAGGGGTGGGGGCCCTATTAGTTTAAAGCCTGTGGGGTCATGGACCCCATCCATGTGAACTCATTTATACAAGAGACTTAAGGCGTGTGGGGGAGGGTGGCAGGTGGAGTGAGTCCCACTCTCTCCTTGGTGAGACTCACCTTTGTCTGCAAACAAGCAGGCAGGAGTGACTGAAGGGCATCAGGGTGGCCTGAGGTCACTGAACCAGAGCTGGGATAGCTGAGCTCCAGTCTCAGCCTCTCCGCTTGAGAACTGAATGAGCCTGAGCAGTTCACTGAGCCTCTTGCTTCTTCCTCTGAAAATGGTTACAAAAGTCTCCCCCAAGCCCATCTCCCAGGTGGAGCAGACAGGAGGATGCTGTGAGAGCACATTTGTGTCTTAATCCATGCAGCAGCGTCATTGGCAACCTAGTCATTGATGGCCAGGCGCCGTGTGACTGCCCCATGCCTTATGAGGTGAGCTGACAGCGGGATGGACTGGAAGGTGCACTGTCTCTGGCCGACATGCCTCCCTTCTGTTGCCTTGACAGGCTCACCAGCACGATGCTGACTTTGCAGTGGCGGTCTTGTTCCCAGACAGCCCTACCCGCTGTGTTTCTGTAGATCTGTGGCCACAGTCGACTCTGGCACCTTCACACAGAGCTCCCATCCCTCTTTATGTGCTGCCCTTGAAAGAGAGGACGAGGGGAGGCCTCACAACAGGCTCGGTGTGAGGAGAGTTAGGGAACGTGCCTACCATGAGATTACAGAATCTGGGCAGGCAGGGAGCCCAGAGACCCTGCAGATAGATAAGTTTGAGCACCCAGGATGTTCGAGCGGTAGCCTTCACCACGTCCCAGGCAGGCATTCCTGCTCTGCCTTAGCTCAGCTGGGCATTGGGGTCCTGGGCTGTGCACTTGGGTGCTGCCCAGAGACTACATATGCACTTGGACACTTGGCACCTCCTGACCAGGAAAGGGTGGGTTTGAGCAAGGCCATCTGCCGTTTAACAGATGGGGGCTTTGATTTGCTTGGGGCCAGAGGGCTACAATTATCGGAGCAGGCACAAGACCCCGGAAGTTATGCTATGGGGGAAGTAGCTCTGATGGCTGAAGGGACCAGACAACTCACGATCTTGTTCCTTCGTTCTTCCACTCATCTGGAGCCCATGGGCCACAGCCCTCCTCCTCGGAACCCACTCCCCAGCCTTCTCCCAAGAGGCCCTGTGGACCCTGAGTGCTCTCCCCTTCTTCTGTTTGCCAGGCCATCTGTGTGCCTCTGTAAATCTTTGTCCAGAGCTTTGGCAAGCTCCTGGTGTGGTAGGAGGCACCGGTCAACACTGACCAGCTGTATTTGGGTGATAGTTAGAGGGGAGGGGTCTGTTGTCTTGGCCTAGAACTCTAAAGAGAGAAAGCAGGTTATTTTTAATTACTGCATCTACTGCCCTTTGTATTGTTCTTGTTGTGTGGGCGACTTCCTCCTATTGTCCCTGCCCAGTTCCTCAACTGCCTGAGTGTTTCCCAAATGTTCTTTCTGGATGCACCATTTACCCTTTTGTGTTTTCAGCAACTGCCGACCCTTTACGCGCACGCTCTATTTCTGCTGTTAAAATCATTCCTGTGAAGACAGTGAAAAACGCCTCAGGCCTAGTTCTCCCTACAGGTATCTCCTTGGGTCGGTCGATTTTCTCTAACTGTGAGCGGATCATGGCATGGTTTTCCTTTCTTCTTTTCTTCTAACACGCACTTTGAGCTGAATCGTTGCATGTTTAGGAGGCATTCCGTCTCACTTCCTCAGCTTGCTTCCTTACTTCCTCTGTGTATGTGAATGTCTGTGTGCGTTTTCCTGAGAGCCAGCGAATGTGGGGAGGAACTGAGGACAGAGGCCTTGCCCCTCTTTTCTTTAGGAGAAGGGTCAGTCCAGAGGCTCAGCTTTCCCTTTGGGATGGGTCTGCGGTGCATGGACATCCTAGGCTCTCCCTAGAGGTTTCCAGCCCCCAGTACTTTAGCAAAAACTGCAGTCTCCCTGAGAATTAACCTGGTCTCACAGAGAACCTCTGAACTTAGCTGAATTTGAAGCAGCTGCCCTTAGGTGCCCAACCTAGATTCGCCTCTGATGCTCACCGGGCCATCCCAGAGCATCCCCTTTGCCTTCCCCAGTTTTACCTGCAGCCACTTCCTGCCTCTCCCCTCCAGAGGGTGGGGGAGTACAGTTCAGATGTCAGCTCTGGCTCATCGCTTCCTTCTGTACAAAGTGGGGACACATGAGGCCTACACAGTACTTTATCCAATGGCGCTTTCAGAAGTAACTGGGCTGTGTGTCCAGGAACCTATGGATGGGCTGCATCCATCAGTGTGCCTCTCATCCTTTTGAAGTGACTATGAACCAGTTTTCCCAATAGTTTGGTGACATCAGTCGCTTAGCCTCTTGATAGAGTTGGATAAGTCAGATGCTCTCCAAGGCTGATGCTTGCCCTGACACATTGTGCGTTTCGTGCATTGCGTTCAATACAAGAGGTGCTGACGAGGCAGGTCCATTCTCTTGTCTAACGCTAATGATCATTCTCCCTGAGTTGTTGGCAGGGGGCTGCTGGCGTGGAAGGAAAGGAAAGAAGAGGCTTTGCTTCTCTCTGCCCTCGGAGGGGAATGGGGATGAGCTGGATGTTTGAACTCACATCCTGCCCAGACACACACCCTGAATGTCAACCTGTAATCCTAACTGTGACAATTTTAGGTCAGGGATCTAGGCTGTGAGCAATTTGAAAACAAAACAAAACTGTGGCGTTCTGCATAGCTCAGCTGCACATAAAGAAACACTCTGCGTGTGCCTCCCAGAACTGTGTGGTCTGCCCTGGTTCCCTGCCTCCGTGACTGATTTCCTGCAGGATGGCATTCAGATCTTTTGAAGCGTATTTTGAAATCTTTCTCAAGGAAACTCTAAAAGTTGACCTGGGTCTGTTATTAGGCCCTAGTGAAACTGTAGGAGACGCCAGGACCCTGTGAAGACAGCTGAGGCTCGGTGGACACTGCTCATTGAAGGATTTAGCCTTCTGAGTCGTTTTTGTTGCTGTGAGTTTTCTTTGTTATGTTTGGAAAGTGAGACTGTCACTCGTGAGCTTTCTCGCCAGGCAGCATATCCTTCTGTCTCAGCATTTTGGGAGTCTTGACTTGCTGATCCAAGGAGATTTGCTTTTCCTTTTCCCACTGGAAAACTGCAAAGGGGTAGTTGTTCTCCATGGGACCACCCGCCCCCACCCCCCCCACCGCCCCCACTTCCGTAGTTGCCAGCCTGGTCTTCAATGAGAAGTATGGTCTGGAAGCTTGAAACATCTTTCATAAACTCTTTCTTGAACTGTGCCTTACTAACTGGTCAGAAGTCTGCTCATCAACCTAAACTTCATTTAATAAAAGGAATAAACCTGCTTTCATTTTGAAATGTTTTCAGCTGATAGTATAACTCATCCATTTACTCAGAACTCACCATTGCCGCCATGTTCCCCTAACTTCATGATGCACAGTAAACCTCTGAAAACTTGCCCCTCTCCACCACCCACAGATTAATTTCATTGACCACAGGTGTTCAAAGACTTCGCATGGCTGTAACCAGGTTCATCTCATTCCCCGGCTGTAACAATTTGCTAACCAACTGTCCTTTAATCCTTCAGGAGTCTTGGATTCAGTCTTCAATTTTGGACCTTTTCTTTTCAGACATGGATCTTACAAAAATCTGCACTGGGAAGGGAGCGGTGACTCTCCGGGCCTCGTCTTCCTACAGGGAAACCCCAAGCAGTAGCCCTGCGAGCCCTCAGGAAACCCGGCAACACGAAAGCAAACCAGGTGCGCGGAAGCTAGGGAAAGCTGTTCAAAGCCACGTGGGAAGGGCGGGAGGAGGCTCTGGTGTTTTTGCTCAGGAGGGTGTGAGTTCATCAGATACCTCTTGGGGGGGGGGGGTGTGTGTGTGTGTGTGTGTGTCTCTTACGGTCCCCTGGGACAGTCAAATCATTTGGATGGGTAGTGGTCAAAGCCTCAAACTGACAGTCACATGCTGCAGATGAAGGCACAGCAATAACCACACTTTATGTTAGCTTTGACTGAGCAGGTCATCCTGTGACCACAGCCAGTGCTCTGCAGACTGCTCTCATGCAGACTGAAATAGCTTAGGGCATGGGGGGTAAGTAAGCGGTGCGATGGGCTAGAGGTTGGGCTTCTCAGAGCTCATCCCTGCTTCCTAGAGGTTCACTGTGACCTGTCCAGGCTGGGCTGGAGGTGCAGCCAGGGGAGACTGAGAAGTGTGGATGACTCAATGATCTTGCTCCTGGAAAAGCAGAGGTGGGGAGGGCTCAGGCCTGGGATTGGCCACTAGCCAGCTGCGGGAGCAGGATCAGGAAAGTAGCTCAAAGGCCCAGTGTAAACTAGGAGCAAAGGGAGATCAAAGAAGCCACATGAAGCCCATCTCCCCACCTTAACCCATCACTTGGGAAACCTGAGGTATTGAGGTTTAGAACTGGGACTTCAGAACCGGGTAGATCTCTGTGCACACCCTGTCCCCACCACCTGTCAGCTGTGCAACTTTGGTCGAGTTATTCACTGTCTCTCAACCCTGATGAACTGTAGAATGGGGTTGATAATTGCATCTGCCTCAGGATTATTGTGAGGAAGAAGTGTATGAAGTGCTGTGTATCATGCCTGGTGGCATGGAATAGACTGTTAGATGTTAGCTGCTATTTGATTATGATTAGATTATTTTGGCCTCTCCAGGGACGACTTTGCACAGCCCAAGTATTCTGGTAGTTGGCAAATGCTGACTTTGAGATCAGGCACAGTTAGTTTAGGGTGAGACAGCACCTCTCCACTCTGTAGGGCAGTGACTTTCACACTTTAGCTGCATCAGAATCACTTGGAGTAAAAAGGTAGGTTGCTGGGCCCCAGCCTGGAGTTTTAGAATGTAGGGTTCCCACTTGCAGGTCTGAGGTAGGGTCTGAAGGTTCACATTTCTGACAGGTTCATGCTGATGCTGCTAGTGCAAGGACTGCATCTGAGAGCTGCTGCTGTAGGGGATGGGAGCTTGCTTTCTTGAAGGAAAGGGAGGGAGAAATGGAATGGAGGGGAGGACCATTCCCTTGGGACCAGAGAGGCTAGGCAGTAGGGTATGCAGACCCCTCTGGTGCAGCGGGAGTGGTGTGTTGTGATAAGACAGATATGATATGTAGGATGGAAATGGCCAGACCTAGCATCCTGGAAACTGATTTTCTTCCTTCCCAGCTACCCATAACAGGTGCCAGGGCACATGCTGGTGGATGAGGCCAGGCTAGGGTTTGAGCACAAACCCCTTTCTGGTGATGTTGGTCCCCGTGAGGGCTTCTTTGTCCTTAGGCTGAGGGCAGGCCCGAGCAGCCCACAGCCCTAAAAGTCAACAGAGTAGCTTCTTGGTCCTGCATCCCTGAGCCCAGCCCTGACTCCTGACCCGCTGGAAAGGTGGGGGTGAGGAGAGAAGGCAAAGTTATTTTATTCTAAGGCTAACCTCATCCAGCCTCTCCAAGCCTAACTGGGACGACCCACTTCCAAGCTAGAGAGCATTTGGAGAAGAGAGAATCCTAAGGGATGATGCAAAGAGAAAGGCTTTAATGTGCAGTCCCCTGGCCCAGTCAAATAACCTTACAAACCAACTGTCCCGTCCTCTGGCAGCAAATGGAGGTGGTGGAGAGGGAGCTTGGAGCTCCCTCTAGTGGTTACAGTGTGGCATTGACGTAGAACACAATGCCCACCAGGTGTACGCCTGTGCTACCAGTACCGTGTGTGGATTTGTTTTTTTTTCTGTTTCGTTTTCTTTTTTTGAGACAGGGTTTACTCTGTTGCCCAGCTTGGAGTACAGTGATGTAATCATGGTTTGCTGCAGCCTCGGCCTCCCGGGCTCAATCTGTCCTCCCACCTCAGCCTCCCAAGTAGCTGAGGTGCACGTCACCACACTTGGCTAATTTTTGTATTTTTTGTAGAGACAAAGTTTCTCCATGTTGCCCAGGTTGATGTTGAACTTGTAGGCTCAAGTGATCCACCTGCCTCGGCCTGGCAAAGTGCTGGGATTACAGGTGTAAGCCACCATGCCCGGCCCCGTGTGTGGATTTGAGGCACTTTTGGAAACACTCTCTTGTCCCAGAATACTTTTGTGTCTTACAAATTTCTACCAGCTAATTTGGTGAAAAGAAATTTCACCACATCTTTTTCACCAAACCATCAGCAGATTGTTTTAAAATGCAAATACTGTACTCGGAAGAATTAAGGGATAGTTATCAGTCATTCACACCTTACAGTAAGTTCATCTTTGTAAATTGAGATCATCGAATCCAAATAAGCATACATTCATTCAGCATTATCTATGTGCCAGGTGCTGCATGAGTCACTTGGAATTGTGATGAGAAAGGAGGAAAAGAGAGCAATTCTAGGTGCATTAGGTGAGGGCAAAAGGCAGTATGTTGCAACAGGAGTCAGGTGTGGACTTGTAGTCAGCCATCTTCCTTTCGGGCTGTGGGTAAGTCCTAGTGACTTTGAGCCCATATCAAGTATGAGGAACTTGGGCCAGATGCTTTCCAAGCCTTTCTAGCTCCAGAATGCTCTGCGACCTTAGGAAGTTTGGAAATTAGCCTAACAAATGGAATCCCTTTGATTGGTGATAAATTTAAGATGGTACAGGAGGGCAGTTTGGATGAAAAGGAACAAGCTGGGTTTGAGTAGAGGAAACAAAGAAAAAATCCACGTGCTCATTAAGTATACAACGCAGACTAGAATAAGTTAACACTGGGGAGTGGGCTTAAAAGAGGATGTCAGTAAGCCGGGCGCAGTGGCTCACACCTGTAATCCCAGCGCTTTGGGAGGCCGAGGTGGGCAGATCAGTTGGGGCCAGAAGTTCGAGACCAGCCTGGCCAACATGGTGAAACCCCGTCTCTACTAAAAATACAAAAATCAGCCAAGCATGGTGTTGCACGCCTGTAATCCCAGCTACTCGGGAGGCTGAGGCAGGAGAATTGCTTGAACCCGGGAGGTGAAAGTTGCAGTGAGTGAGATCATGCCACTGCATTCCAGCATGGAAGACAGAGCAAGATTCCATCTCAAAAAGAAAAAAAAAATGAGGATGTGAGTATAGGTAATTCAGAAATGGTAATCTTGTCCCCTTACCATGCTACCTATTGGCTAACATCCTGCTGGCTCTTGACTCTGACAGTGTCCATGTCACCCTCCGGACTGACAACTTGCTGGCCCATACCAGTCTATTGTCCTATCCTGGGGCCTAGGAGCCCCTGGGCCTTCCCTGGCTTCATAAAAACAGTTTTCAGCAGTATTTGCAGACAGCCAAGCCCAGTCTGGACTGGGAGCCCAAGTGTGAGGTAGTGGATGGCTCTTGCCAAGGATTGCTTCCTACTCCCAATGCCTTTGCAGATAGCTAATGTCAGATGGCGTCTGGCTCCCTCCCTTCTCACCAGGGACAGCATTTGTCCCCCAGCTGCTCTGCCTGCTTCCTCTCTGACTTGCTCCCTGTTTGCCACCTTCTTCAATGCCTATAGGTGTCCAGGTTGTTGATTATTTGCCTGGACTGGAAGGTCCAGTCCCTACCTGGTCCCCTGATACCCACATTTCAGCAGTGCCCCCTATTTCTAGTCCTTGTCCCAACCCCCTCACCTGGGAGAGATGATATAGTTCTGGTTTCACACAGTTCTCTACTGAGGCTGAGCACTGCCACTTACTGTCTTTGCGGTATGGACAAATTACTCCACCTTACAGGGCTTCAGTTGCCTTATTTGTAAATTGGAGATGACCATAACAGAGTTGTTGAGATTAAATGAGCTCTTTCTTCTTCTTCTTTTTTTTTTTTTTTTTTTTTGAGATGGAGTCTCACTCTGTCACCCAGGCTGGAGTACAGTGGTATGATCTCGGCTCGCTGCAACCTCTGCCTCCTGAGTTCAAGCAATTCTCTTGCCTCAGCCTCCCAAGTAGCTGGGACTATAGGTGTCTGCCACCACATTCGGCTAATTTTTTTTGTATTTTTAGTAGAGACCAGGTTTCACTGTGTTGGCCAGGCTGGTCTTGAACTCCTGACCTCATGATCCACCCGCCTTGGCCTCCCAAAGTGCTGGGATTACAGGCATGAGCCACCACACCCAGCTAAATGAGCTCTTTCATGTCAAGCATTTGGCACAGGCCCAAAGCAAGTGCTTTTTAAGAGTAACCATTCTAGTTCCTGCAGGTCAAGAGGCTTGTTAAAGATTTGAAAGAATTTCAGTTTGAAGCCATGAGGGCCTCACCCCTAGCATGGTGGCAATGGGAGTGAAGAGCAGAGGCTGAGGTCAAAGTGTCTTTTGGAGAATGAAATGACCAGGGCTCCTTGTGGTGTATTTAAGGACCACAGAGAGGTAAGACTCCATGTGGCCCAGGAGATGCCTTCCCTGGTTGGCTAGGAGAGTAATTGTGGCACTCATGGAGTTGGGGGGATTTGTGAAGAGTGCTGGAAAGAATGTTGAATTCCATCTTTTGACATGTCAAGTTTCTTGGCAAGGGAAGGACTTCCAGGAGAATGTTTCTAATGGGAATTTGGAAATTTGGAGTCCAATGTGTGGATTTGGAAGCCATCTGCATCCACATGAACTTTGAGAGAATGGAGACATTCTCGGTGGAGTGACAGAGAGAGCCCTTGAAATTGCCCAGTTAACACTCATTCTCCAGACTCCTCCATTCAAGTGGTGGCTTAACTCAAGATCCCTGACCACAGCTTCCCGATCAGCCTCCTCATCTCTGAATGTGGACCTTGGTTTTTGGATCAGAACCATCTGAAAGGAATGGCAGTAATCTTAGTACCGACTCCCTGCCCCCAGGAGAAACCTCATCACCTTATCCCTGCCTCCTGACCTCATTGCCACACCAGGTCTGAGCGTTGGCCATGTTGGTTCAGAGTGACTTGATCATGTCCCAGGTCAGGGTGTTTTCACTCCAGACAGGGAGCCTGAGTTGGTGGTGAGTGTGATACAAAGCTTTCTGTCTGGTATAGTCTAAAGATCTTGTGGCTTGATATATCAATTCCTGTGTTCTGACTTAGATGCCAGGGTCCAGTTCAGCCCTTATATTTTGTTAATTCTGTACCAGTTGGCTCCAGTCCTTACTGCCTGATTCTTGAATGCAAAGTTAGCTTTGGACATAAAGATTCTTGGACCTGCAGTCCAATTATTTCCTCTGGTTTTGACTCTCACATTTGCTCTCCAGGAATGGCAGTAGCAAAAAGGTACCATAAGAAGGTTAACATTGAAGCAGTTGAAGGTACCCCGTACCTCCATTAAATTAGAGTCTTTTTGATGAGTACATGTGTGAGAATTAGGGCCAACTGAGAAGTTGGAGGGAAAAGTCCTCACAAGAGTGCACCCTCCCTTCTGACACCAGCTGCAAGTTCAGGGGATTCACAAAACCACTCTCAGGTTTGGTACAATGCTGGAGGGACTCACACAACTTACTGAAAGCTGCTACACTCCGGGTTATGGTTTATTGTAGGGAAAGGATACAGATTAAAAAAGGCAAGAGAAGATGCACGTAGGCTGGAGTCTGGAAAAGGTACCAAATGCGGAGCTTCTGTTGCCTACTCTGCGTGGAGAGTCAGGACATATTATTTCCCAGCAGTGATGTGTGACAGTGTTCTCAGAGCATTTTCAACCAGGAAATGTACCTGAGCCTTTGTGTTCAGCCTTTTTGCCATGTCTCCATTACATAGGCATGATCCACTGCCCACAGGGCAGTTCTCAATCTCCAGTCCAACTTTGTAATCGATTGAGCTCCTGGTGGCTCAAAGCCCCCACCCCAAGTCACATAATTGGTGTGACTCAAAGCCCCAGATAAACAAAGTCACTCCTATCAGGCATGACTTTCCAAGAGCTCAGAGATTACATCCCAGAAGCTGAGGGCCAAGGCCAGACCTCTTTTTGGATAAAGTTAAATTCTCTACTGTACAGTGTGAATACAAAATAAACACAAATAAGATTTGGAACACCCTTAGACTTACTATTAACACCTGTCATCTACCTCTTAAATACTCTTACCAGAACACATCAAGACTCACTCAGTGAAAATTATCCTAAGATGCCAAGAAGAATTGACTGATCAGCAAAAGGCTTTAAAACAGGTCAAAATGAAATTAGCATAGAATGAGATGAGATAAAATAAAATATCAGGAGGCTACAGCCACAGGCCAGAAAAGATTGCAAATAAAGAACAGCTGGAGGAAAAGATAAGGCAAAGTAAATTATGCTGCTTGCAGAAAGGGTAGGTCTCTCAGGACTGCAAAAGCTCTCTAGGATCCAACTTTCCGAGGCACTCCCCCCAGCTTGGGAGCTCTAAGGTAACATTTATTGAAAGAAGCATTTTGACAGTCTCTTCAATCAGGAGTTAATAATGGATGATCATGTGTGCAAAATTTCATACTTCTGCACATAGGCACAAATGGCCCTGGGCTGCTACCAACCTTCCAAGTTCAGAAGATGAGGTAATAGATGAAGGATGATAAGATGTCAGAAATATAGCTCTCCTTTAACAAGGAAGAGAGGAACATTTAAGAGGTCCTGAGAACTGCCTTTTTGGGATAGGGGAAGGGGAACAGTTTTAAAGACTTGGAATGAGAAGAAAAAGTGGATCTATCCCTAAGGATCTTACGTTCTTAAAGCTATTTATCACATGGCAGAGATCAACAATGCTCATTTTTTTCCATGGTTTTTTCCCCCTTATGCTTTGAATTCTGATTTTGCAAAGCACATGCTTTATGCCAAATACTTTCATTTAGTCCTCTTGATTCAAAAGAGGTAGATATTATCTCCATTTCACAGACGTGGCCAGGTCATTTGCCACAGGATATGCAGTTAGCAAGATAGAGACTCAGGGCTGAAACTAGGCAATCTGATGTCACAGTGATGGTCCCTTCATGATACCTGGAGATTTAGAAGAACAGTTCACATTTCAGCTTTCCGTGACATAGCTGTTTGCTAGTGTCACTTGAATAGAACCAACCCAACTGAGAACCAGAAAGTGGGCAAAATAATGTGTCCCCAATTGCATGTACGAAGTTTACATCCTTCACTAGATAGCCCTTCACTCAGAACCTGTTGACGTTAGTATATGCATAAATCTAATAAATTTGATAGACTTATTTGACAAAGGTGGACTAGAAATAGCAACTTAGTAAAGAAGATGGAACGGTAAAAGTGATAGCTGTGAGGGAAGAAGTGGACCATTGTCATGGCATGTCACCAGGTGTTTAAGGGCCTGCCAGGTGTGAGGGGAGCTCTGAGCCAGGGAGCCGTCTGGATGCGACAGGGAGTGTGGTGCACTCAGAGGTATTTTCATGTACCTGATCTTTGATTCTCAAAGATTCTCCAATTCTTCAATTGGAGAGAATCAAAGAATCATACTCCCTGTGAGGAGTATGGGGTAAGGCTTATATTTTATAGGTGAGAAAAGTAAAATTTAGCATGGCTAGTGAACTTGCTCCTGGTCATACAAGCCGGTACATTGCAGTAATGTGAGCAAAACACATGTCCTGTATGTACCTTTCCCAACTACAGTTGTCCCTCAGTATCTGCCAGTGATTGGTTCCAGGACCTTCACGGATACCAAAATCTGAGGATGCTCAAGTCCCTTATATAAAATGGCATTGTATTTGTACATAACCTATGCAGATCTCCTGTATATTTTAAATAATCTCTAGATTACTTGTAATACCTAATATAAGTGCTATGTAAATAGTTGTTACTCTGTATTTTTTAAATGTTGTATTATTATTGTTTTCTTATTTTGTGTTTTTTCCCCCAATATTTGATCCACGGTTGGTTGAATTAACAGATGCGGAATCCGTGGATATGGAGGGCTGACCGCACGCAGTTTTTGCGGGTTGGAGAAGACAAATGGCAGTGAATTGTCTGTAAGGAAGTGGCAGAAATGTAACAGGCAACCTGCTAAAAGAATATGTAGCTAAATTTTAAAACTGTTTTAAAGGGGAAAAAATAAAATGGATACAGCTAGTTTTCCAGAATAAGGACGTTTTTGAGTGTACCTCTCATCAGTGGTTCTCCAGGTGTCGGTTACGGACTGGCAGTCTCAGCATCACCTGCAAACTTGTTAGAAATGCAGATTCTTGGGCCTCACCTCATACTTACTGCATCAGAAGTGCCAGGATCCAGGCCCAGCCACCTGTGTTTCAGCAAGCCCTGATGCAGCTACACCACTGCTATACGTGAATGCCAATCACTTGGAACCTTTACCCTACCTTGCCTTCTGCTCCAGCTCTTTTTGGCTCCCACCACCTCTCTGAAGCATAGCATCCACTTCATGGCCGATGGGGAGGCTGGTGGCTGTGGGGGTGGTAGGCAGAGTGCTAGGTTTGGATTCTGGAGACTTGGGCTGACTGCTTTGTCACTTCCTGGCTGTGCGACTTTGGGCAAGTCATTTGGCCTCTCTGTTTCCTCATCCATGAAGGAGAGTGATTACCTACTTCACAGAGTTGTTGTGTACACTGAACTAAAACTAAATGGGCGTAACAGTGACTCACAGTGGCACTTAGAGAGGTGTTCAGTAAATGTCTGTAAATCTCAACTTGGCATCTGGAAAGCCCATGTCTAGCACCTGAGGGACCCACATTGAAACGGAGGATTGGGCAGTGAGACTGCAGTGTTAGTCCCTCTTTCTCTACATGGTGAGGCAAGAGGAGGCAGCCTGGGAAAAGAAGGGGTTAAGGCTTGGCTAGATTAGGGATTGGCAAACTGTGGCTGTGAGCGGAATCTGGCCTGTGCCTTTTTTTGTACAGCCCTCGAGCTAAGAAGGGCTTTTACATTTTTTAATGGTTGAAAGAAAAATCAAAAGAAGAATGGTATTGTATGCCACATGAAAATTTTATGAAATTCAGATTTTAGTGTCCATAAATAAAGGTTTATTGGAACACAGCCATGCTCATTCATTTACATATCATCTGTGGCTGCCTTTGTCCTACAATAGCAGAGCCAAGTAGTTGCATCTGAGACCATATGGCCCATAAAACCTAAAATATTTACTATCTGGCCCTCTATAGAAAAAAGTCTGTGGACCCCTGGGTTAGATCAAGGACAGAGAGTAGAGACAAGAGATGATACAGAAGATGATAAATAGCAAACATTTTCTGAGCTTTGCCAGGCACTGTGGTAGGCATTTTGCATGCATAAATGTTCTTATTAACAACACTTATAAAACAGGCATATCATTATCTCCATTTTTCAGATGGGCAAACTGAGGCTTATAACTTGCCCAGGGTCATAGAACCCTTAGGTGGTAGACCCAGGATATGAATTGAGGCCCAGCTGCCTTTCCAGTCGGGCTTGTAACCACTGCACTCTGCTGCCTCATGGTGCTATGTGCTATGTGGATCAGACTAGAGGTTTAGGGTCTCTGAAATGCATCAGGCAGTGGCTGGGAAGGCTGAAGGGAGACAGGGGTGCTTTGTGATGTGATGAACACTCAGGAAGGGTGATTAGATTTTGAAATGTTTATGTGCCTCATTTAATGGAAAGAAGAAAAGCAGGCAGGGAGGAAAAAAAAGTCTTTATCGCAGCAGATACCTCCCAGCTTAAGTCATGTGCTGCCCCTTAGCCCAGCACCAGCACCCCTGGAAAAAGTGTTTATCCACTTCTCTCTCTCCTGGGCCTGTTAGTTGGTTGGGAGTGGTCATTCTGAGCCCACAGCAGGCTCAAGGAAGGGGAATGAGAGTCAGTGAGTAGGGACTGGACAGTAGAGAATTCTGTTGCCTTTTTGTCTGTAAAATAAGAATGTCAAGTAACAATTGTTTCTTCATCCCTGTGAATGTGAGCCTTGTGTTTTCAAAGGTCAGTGCCTGTGAGCACATCATGGTTTCGAGTGGGTTCCTATGGTAATCAGGCCATCGTGACTGAGGGCATTTTGTGTCAAACAACGGGGTGCTGGATTTTCAACCTTCTATGCAGTTTCATGCTTGTTTCCTGCAAATGTAACCATTTCTGTTTTTCCCCTTTTCTTGTTTTCATCCTTTCTGCACCACGTGTAGGTCTGGAGCCAGAGCCTTCTTCAGCAGGTATGGCTTCTCTTGCATTCTCACCTTTCTGGCCTTCTACCAAGGACCCCGGAGTTACAGGGGAACCAGGGAGTTATTCCCTGTGAGTGAGAGATTTTTTCCTCTCTATTTCTCAGATGAGTGGAGGCTTTCTTCCAGTGCTGATGCCAATGGAAATGCCCAGCCCTCTTCACTCGCTGCCAAGGGCTACAGAAGTGTGCATCCCAACCTTCCTTCTGACAAGTCCCAGGTAGGCATGTGCCCAAGGGCAGGGTGGGGACTGGTGAGTGGTACCTGTTCTTGAGTCTCTTAACTTAGACTGGTGACTTCCTGCTTCCCCAGTTGGATAACGGAATAGGTTTCAAGCTTTTGGACAACTCTGGATAAGCTCTGCAAGGACCTAGCTAAGGGAAAGTTGGGGTCAAGGGGAGCAGAGGCATGGAATGAGGTTGGTCTGTACCAGGGTGTTGGAAATAGGCCTTGATGCCTATTTAGGTTTGTTCTGTATGTAGAAGTGTTCTGAAAGAGGGAATTCATTTAGCCTTGGATATGTAGGAAAAAGGTCTGAGACGTTTTTAAAAAAAATTCTTTAGAGTGTAATATTCAAGAGAAGAATGCATCTTGTGTTTATTCCAGTTGTTTTCTGGAGATGGGGCTGTAAGAACTCCAGCAACAGTATCCTTACAGATTAAGATCAGGTAGCTGTGGCCAGACCCTAAGTCCAGCAGCCCAGGAACAGGCAAAATGGCAGTACAGCCCAGCTGTATCCTACAAAAGAAATCCCCCAAAGCTGTACAAATTGGAGTAAGGATACTTTTGCTTAAGTCTTTCCCCCTAGGTGGCTTTCCTGATCTTTTCTTTCTTCCCTCTCCTGTTGTTACTTTGTCATTTTGATGATGGGAATAGACCATGTTTTAATTTAGGTGATCTGTGATGAACATTTTTGCATACAGGAGCCACATCTGTGGAGTCGACTACTACTTCTCTCTCTCTCTCCCCCTCTCTCTCCCCTCTCTCTCTTTCTCTCTTCCTCTCTCTTTTTTTAAGACAGGGTCTCTATCTGTTGCCCAGGCCAGAGTGCAATGGTGTCATCGTAGCCCACTGAAGCCTCCAACGGCTGGCCTCAAGCCATTCTCCCACCTTGGCTTCCCAAAGTGTTGGGATTATAGGTGTGAGACACCACACCTAGCCTAGTCCTTTCTCTTAAAGGAAGCTGTGCTGCTCAAAAACTATAGCAGAAATGTGTTCCTTGTGTGGTCCGCTTCCCTGTGCCTTCCTTCTGTGAAGGTGTTCCCCGAACTCACAAGGAGTCCGCAAATTCTGCAGGTCCTTCCTAGTTCCCACCCCACTTCTCCAATGATCCTCTGGTTCCTGTTGTGAGGATGTAAAAATGCACTTGCTGCTGAAATGAAGCTGAATCAGAGATGATGTTTTTCTCCCTCTCTACAGATGCTTATCCTCCTCAGCGTGGAATTGGTTGCTTAATTGTCTGCCTTGTATGCTGAGCAACAAACACATTTAGCCTTTCTGCCACCTGCTATGACTTGCCTCCCTAGGTACAGCCGTATGCATCCTGGGTCACTGGTTAGAACCAGGAGCTGCGAATGAGCCTGGCTTTTTGAAGTCTTCATTAGACAGAGGGACTGGGGAGGTCACTTGTCCGGTAAATGACTTGCCATGGTTTTCCCGTCCCTAAACCCTTTCACAGTGTATAAATGTGCTGCCTGTGGCAGACATACTTCTTTTCAACCATCTCAAGAATGGATGCCATCAGCTCTATGCAGATCAAGAAACAGTGCTGATTAATTCAAAGCAAATGTAGAAGCATGTCCTCTTCCACTATCAGTGACTTAGTTCAAAGGGTAACTCAGTAATTCTTTTTGGCTTCTTAAGCAGCTCTTTTGAAAAGACAATTTTAAAAGCATGTGAAGTAAATAAAAATTCTTTTAAAATTTATTTAACACAGCTTTATTGAGCATCTCCGTGGTGTTCAGATCACTGTGTGAAACATTGCCCTCAAGAGGTTTATAAGGGTGAACACCCTATAATATCTTTTACAAAGTATGTTTTCTTATCTGTCACTATCCAAGAATTTTCTTTCTACTGGGGTTCCCTTTTAAGGGAACTTGGTAAATTGCTCATAAAGAGGTTTTATCCTTTATATTCAATGTAAAATCAGCCATTCAAATTTCAGGAACCTTTAGGTCATGCATTACCTCTTAGGTGTGTTTTCTGAATGGAAACATGACTTCTTGTCTATATAGTGATTGCCAGAGCTGTAAGTATGCACTGGCTTAGAGGAGGGAATTGGTAGTTTATAGAACTGTATAAACTATAAACATACCAGGATTTTCCAGAAGCCTCATATTTTCACTGACCCACCTTCTGAAAAGATAAATAGAATTTCATTTATAGCCAACTGGGCAGAATGCAGACTGCCTGTGTGGTTCCTACAATGTTTACAACAAAAAGTAGTTCCCTGCATGTAAAGTCACTGTGCCTATCCCCTTTCTTCTTCAGGACTAAAAGAAGCCCCAGGGCAGGAGACCTTTGGATCTGAGTGCACTGTTGATGCTCTGGGGAAGCGTCCTCTCTACAGGGTCAAAGCCCTGGGAAGGCTCATGCCTGATGTAATGCACCATATATGGCGAGAGCCAAAATAAGTTAGAAACTCACTGAAGCTGATTTCTATCTTTGGACAAGAAGAAATCACATATGGGACATTTGAGCTGAAAGTAAAAGTAAATCTGAGCTCAAATCAAAATGATCTTTTGCTTACCTCCCTACTGCCATTATCAGCATACCCGCCAGTCCCTTTGGTGCGTGCTAGCCCACGTGTTTTGTTTCTAGAATCGTTTAGTCTGTAAACATGTTCACTGAAACCAAGTGAGTTCACCTGAAAGCTTTTGCTGTTGCTGAATACTAGAGAGGGGCTATTCATTTTGTTTTTTTTTTGGCTGGTGCATATTCACTGGCACTGCCATGGGTGCCCTGTGGAAAGGATAGGCATTGAATTAGTCAAGGATATCCAAATGAGCTGCTTGTCCAATGAGCTTATATGTGTGCCTTGAAAACTGAGTTTAAGGAATAGGTTATTTACTATTTCTGGGTTGATGTTCTAATCTGGACTCAAAAAACTTTTTTTTTTTTTTTGACAGTCTTGCTCTGTCACCTAGGCTGGAGTGCAGAGGTGCCATCACAGCTTACTGCAGCCTTGACCTCCTGGGCTCAAGCAATCTTCCCTTCTCAGCCTCCTTAGTAGCTGGGGCTACAGGTGTGTGCCACCACACCTGGCTATTTCTTTTTTAAATTTTTTGTAGAGACAGAGTCTCGCTGTATTGCCCAGGCTGGTCTCAGACTCAAGTGGTCCTTCTGCCTTGGTCTTCCAAAGTGCTGGGATTACAGGCTTAAACCACAGTGCCCAACCTATAAAACTTTTAAATATTTTTCACCTATTCACCCTTTCTAACATTCTTTCTTCTTGCCACCTGTATGCCACAAATATAAGAATGAAATAGGCCAGGTGCAGTGGCTCATGCCTGTAATCCCAGCACTTTGGGAGGCTGAGGTGGGTGGATCGCCTGAGGTCAGGAGTTCGAGACCAGTCTGGCCAACATGGTGAAACCCTGTCTTTACTTAAAAAAAATACAAAAATTAGCCAGGTGTGATGGCAGGCACCTATGTATAATCCTAGCTACTCAGTAGGCTGAGGCAGGAGAATAGCTTGAACCTGGGAGGCGGAGGTTGCAGTGAGCCAAGATTGTGCCATTGCACTCCAGCTGGGGTGACAAGAGCGAGACTTAGTCTCAAAAAAAAAAGAATGAAATAAAATTGGCCGGGCGCTGTGGCTGACGCCTGTAATCCCAGCACTTTGGGAGGCCAAGGCGGGCAGATCACTTGAGGTCAGGAGTTCAAGACCAGCCTGGCCAACATGGTGAAAACTCGTCTCTACTAAAAATACAAAAATTAGCCGGGTGTGGTGGCACAGGCCTATAGTCTCGGCTACTCAGGAGGCTGAGGCAGGAGAATTGCTTGAACCTGGGAGACGGAGGTTGCAGTGAGCCAAGGTCACACCACTGCACTCTAGCCTGCGCAACAGGGTGAGACTGCATCTCGGGAAAAAAAAAAAAAAAGAATGAAATAAAATTAAAAATAAATTCAAAATAGACCCAGATCTTGCACCCTCCCCATTTTTGGTCAAAATTCACTTACCGATATTGATCAGACTCTAATATACTTCACTTGCGTAATTTGGAGGAAAGTTCTGGTTTTCTTCTAGAACTGGGATATCTTTAAAAATAGGAGCCATTCACGCCTGTAATCCCAGCACTTTGAGAGGCCGAGGCAGGTGGATCACAAGGTCAGGAGCTCAAGACCATCCTGGCCAGCATGGTGAAACCCCGTCTCTACTAAAAATACAAAAAATTAGCTGGGTGTGGTGACATGGGCTTGTCCCAGCTACTCAGGAGGCTGAGGCAGGAGAATTGCTTGAACCTGGGAGGCGGAGGTTGTAGTGAGCCTAGATTGTGCCACTGCACTCCAGCCTGGGTGACAGAGTGGGACTATGTCTCAAAAAAAAAAAAAAAAAGGAGCCATTAAAGAAAACCTAGGCTGGGTGCAGTGGCTCACTCCTGTAATCCCAGCACTTTGGGAGGCTGAGGTGGGCAGATTATGAGGTCAGGAGATTGAGACCATCCTGGCTAACACGGTGAAACCCCGTCTGTACTAAAAATACAAAAAATTAGCCAGGCATGGTGGCATGTGCCTATAGTCTCAGCTACTTGGGAGGCTGAGGCAGGAGAATCACTTGAACCCAGGAGGCGGAGGTTGCAATGAGCCGAGATCGCGCCACTGCAGTCCCGCCTGGGTGACAGAGCGAGATTCCATCTCGAAACAAAATAAAACAAAACAAAAGAAAAGAAAATCTAGCAAAATGCAGTTTCCTCATCTCATAGTCTAATTCCCAGTTGAGCCGCAGATTGCCAGATGACTCTTGTTGACATGAGGATCAGACTGGAGGGTCATCCCATTTCCTGACCCTCTTCTCCACTGAGACCCAAAGAGGAGCAGTGTTGAGAAGAGAGGGATGCTGTGTGAGCCTCTGGACCTGCAACCAGAGCTTTGGGCTTAAGCTGTGAATCTGAGGCTGATCATTTACCTCTGGGGCTGATTCCCTTTGTGTGGTGGTGGGCTGGGTGAGATGGGCATGGGGCTAGATTTTGAGAAACTAGGCACAGTCCAATCCGGTAGAGGCCAATTCAG
Organism: Homo sapiens; assembly: GCF_000001405.40. Classification (NCBI taxonomy): domain Eukaryota; kingdom Metazoa; phylum Chordata; class Mammalia; order Primates; family Hominidae; genus Homo; species Homo sapiens. The sequence continues at coordinate 95,416,948 of NC_000010.11, read as the reverse complement.
TCCTTCATTGCCTGGTCCCCTTTTTTGTGTACATCAAAAATGGGAGACTGTGTGCTTTTAATCTCATGCTTGTCTTCCTTCTAATAATTAGCTTCATCAAATTCTTTCCTCTGAGAAAAGAGCACATGTGTATTCAAAAATCCTTAGCATTCTCTTCTTAGGGCACGTTAATTTGTTATGCTTATGGAATTGAGTGCTAAATCTCAGTGACTCAATTAAGACATCTGTCTCCTGTGAACACAAATAAGGACGGTTCTTCCAGTTCTCCTTTTCCTAAAGGAAAAGAATGAAAGGCACTCAAAAGAGTTCCAGTGAACATAAACTTCTAAGGCCAAAGGCTCGAAGATAAATCTTGAGGGAAGGAGGTTTGAGAGGGAGTTGGGGGCTTTGGTGCTTCTCCCACTGGTGTTTAGTTCACTTGGCTCCCTTCTTGAGTCAGGATGTCTAATAAAGATGCAGTCAGCCAAGGATTGGTGTCACAATTGATGTAGCATGTGGCCTGCTACGGGCTGGGCTCAGCCTCTCTGGATACAAAGGAGAGTCAGGCCTACCTCTCCAGGTGAGTGGGATTCAGTCTTTGGCTTCACTTAGAATTGTGGATACTAGGAGGAGTCTAACCTGAGGATGTGCTGAAAAACGTGTTAAGAATTGTTTTTGCTTGAATCATGTTATGCTGTCGTTTCTAATGATCGTCCTTCTTTCCATTTCCCCTCCTCTTTCTTTTTTCCCTGTTTGATAACATATCTTGAAAATATTGCTAAAGGTTCTCTCTCCCCCACGCCCTCCTCTCCCTCAAAAGGACCGCTTTGCATGGCAGTCCCCCACCATCCACAATACCTATAAGGATTCCCTCTACCTGAGCTCACCAAAGCCTTATGTCCCACTCGGCACCCCCAGACAGCAGAACCCCTCACAACCCCAGCCTATCTCTGTCCTCCTGGCAGCTGGATCGGCTCCCAAAGGTGTGGTGTGCCCTGGTTCCTTGCTTCCGGACTCCACGTTCCCCAGTGCTTCATCCCAACCCCAGCAGCGCTATGCAGCCACCAGGACAGTTTATCATAAGAATGTGAGCTCTAACCCATGTCATGAGGCAGTTGGGATTAAAAAGGTCAGCAGCTTATATGTACCTTGTTTATCCAATAACATTTGCCTGGCGGCGTCAGAAAACTCCTCTCGTGTTGCACGTGACCCTGCCGAAGGCACTCCCTTGGAGGCTGCGGGCACCCGAGCACCGGCTCCCGGCCTTGTCTCCCGCACAGCCGGCACAGGAAAACCACCCCCTGCTCCTCCTCCTGACCCTCCCAAGCTATTCTTTGACATCCGTAAAGATGCCGTTAACCGTGGCGAGAGTCCTTCCCTGGGGACTCAGGCTTCGTTCCCAGATGTGAGACCACCTGTGCTAGGCCCCCGGGTTACCTCTGATCCCGAAAACCGGAAGAGCAAAGAATCTTACCTTTTGCAGCCGAGTTATCCAGCCAAGGCAAGAAATTAGGAATGTTTGTGTGTCTTCTCTACTGTCTCTTTCAAAACTGATGCGAGCAGCTCATTGTTCACTGGGCTGCCCTACCCTCCCTTTCCTCATTAATGTTGTTGTGGCTTGAGTCCCGAATTCTTCTGTCTGAACCTTTCAGCACAGTACTCTCTTTGTCTGTCTCTCTTTTCTGTAAATGTGTAAGTATGCCGGAGCGTGGAATCCAGAGACTAATAACATGGTGAGAAACTCATTGTTCATGTTTTATTACAAGGTGCCAAAGAAATTGTATTTACTCCCAAGCTTTTAGGCTCTATGGTGGTGTTGTGGGGTTAAACACAGCCTGCCTGCCTGTTCTGTTCTTTCTCTCTCATAAAGTGTTAAAAGGATTCAAAAATAGATGGATGAAAAGCGGAGTTGGATGGGGTTCCCTCTGTGTCATGGAGTGTCAGAAGGCCAGCTGGCCAGCTCCGACTGTCTCATGTACTCTGAGGAAAGGGCACTGATTAAATATTTCTCAGAGTACCTCACTGCATGCCCACTCTCAACCGTTTAAATATGGAATTCTTTCCTCGTATCATACCCCTTTCCATAACGACCCCCTTATTTCCACAGGATGCCACTTCCTCCAGTGCAGCCCAGCCGGAGGTAATAGTTGTCCCTCTCTACCTGGTTAATACTGACAGAGGGCAAGAAGGCACTGCCAGACCTCCAACACCTCTGGGGCCTCTTGGCTGCGTCCCCACAATCCCAGCGACTGCCTCTGCCGCCTCACCTCTGACCTTCCCGACTCTAGATGATTTCATTCCCCCTCATCTGCAGAGGTGGCCCCACCACAGCCAGCCAGCCCGCGCCTCTGGCTCCTTTGCCCCCATTAGCCAGACGCCACCATCCTTCTCACCACCACCTCCGCTGGTCCCTCCTGCCCCGGAGGACCTCCGCAGAGTCTCGGAGCCTGACCTCACGGGAGCTGTTTCGAGTACCGTAAGCTTGCTGGACTCCCCTCCTCACGGCTTTTCTGAATGTCTCCTCCCAGCAGTCACATTCCCTTTCTCACTGAAGCACTGAGCTCTGAGGACAGCACTGGCTGCCGCTGTGCCTGTGTGATGACTGGAGCCGTGTCCCCTGTCACTAGCGTGCATGCTTCCCGTGTGTCTTCCCTGGGTCTCTCGGGGCTGTTCCCCATCTCTGCAGTGCCTCATCTGCTCTGTCCTGTTGGGAATGCACATCTTTCTCCCTCAGAAGACAACATCTGTGGCCTTTATGTTGACTGGCCATGCTTTTCACAGGCCAGGTCGGGGGTCGTGTGGTGAGCTGAGGAAAGCTAAGAATTATGGGGGAAAGCAACGGCAGGCGTGGTGGGTGCTACTTACCAGGGAGCGGGGAGATCTCGGGGAGGAAGCGATTCTCTGATTCTCTTGTTGACCTAGTGAGTAAATAAACTCTCTGTAGTATACAGAAATGACAGAGACTAGGATTTTTTTTTTTTTTTTTTTTTTTTTTTTTTTTTTGTGAGAGAGTTGGGTTTAAGTGAGCAAGTGGGTCTGAAAGCCCTGTACAAATGTTAGGACTTTTACCTCAAAAGGCAGGCAATTGCTAGGGCCCCTGAGGAGAAGGTCCCAGGAGCCTCTGTGACAAAACAGTGCCCCAGTGGTCACAGGAAGTCAAAGGGCCCTGCTGCCTCAGGTCCCATCCTGTGGGTGGGGGAATGAGTTCCCATCACAGCCGGGAAAGCCCAACTGCTTAGAGAAAAAGCTGAGTCAAAGTGCTTGGGTCTCCTTTTTCCTTAGGAGCCCTGGGAATTGAGAGAATCTGATAACTTCATTGCGAGTTGTAATATGGGAATACGTGAATCTACTCACAGGGCTTCGGGTTCAGTAGGATCGAGTGTAAAAGTTCCTGTTATGGAGCTTGACATAGAGAAGGTGCCTAGTGAATGTTAGCTATGTTGCTGAGGACTTACCCTGGCAAATGAGGGCCAGGGTCACTCAAAAGCAAGTAACTGGTTAGTTAACAATTCATCATTGAGTTTCTGCCGTGGTCTAGGCATTCTGCTAAGTACCCTGGGTACAACCATGAGTCAGGGTCTTGTTCTCAAAGGGATTTTTGGAGTAGGAGGTCACTTCTCAAGCTTTGTGTACATGGGATCATCTGAGGGTCAGGGAGGCTTGTTTAAATCGTCACCCTCAGGTTATACTCCTAGAATTTCTGACTGAGTGGGTCTGGAGAAGAGCCTAGGAATCTCACTTGGTAGCAAGTGCTCAGGGGTTTCAGATGCTGGGGTCCACACCCTACATTTTGAGATACAGTCATGTAGTGGGTCATGCAATTGGCTGATGGAACTAAGCGTTTACTGACATCCCTTTGTGTAAAGATGTATGCCTGCAAAACTGTTCCAAATGGCTTGTTAAGCTGAAGCCAGTCATGCAGAAATCAGGAAGGAAACTTTTCATTTGGCTTATTAGATAAATTATAATGAGGCATCAAACACATCAAAGCTGGGAACCGTTACATCCTGAGCTGGGGCCTGTTCTGAAATCTCTAGTGCTGTGCAGTGTAGTTAGGTCAGCACCAGGCCCAATGTGACCCACGGCCTTGGATATCCTTCTAGCTTTGAATTTCGCAGCTCAGTCCCATTGAAGAAAAATGCTAGATGTTTCCCTGGTCTATTCCCGTCTACCTTCAGCTGAACTTAGAATTTAGAAGCCACTCTTGTTTTGGGGAGTTCAAGCATCTTCCCTTTGACACAGATTATGTTTGCCTGGAGTAGCAGGTAAGGTGTCTTATGTTTAGTGTCCTCATAGACCATTGTGAGTAGTTTGATTGTGTATTCTATAATTTATTTGTGTAGACCTAGGTTTTCATATCGAGTTGGTTTTAGGTGTACCAGGACAGATTCGTTGGGACAGGGTCCTCAGTTTCTCAAACCTGACTAATCAGCCTGGTGTAGACCTCCCAGAAGGACCTCAGTTTGGCCTGATAGCTTCGGGTTTGGCCCTGGGTAACAGAGGTGAAAAAGGAAACTACTTGGATTCCTCTTCCTCCTCTGTCAAGAGGAGGAGCCTCTGTGGATGGTGTCTGAGCTGTGAGCTGATGCCTGCTCCATCTGTAGCTAGTTGAGAGAAAGAAGGAAGAATAAAAGTCATGTTAATTGATTTGAGTTATTTTAATCAATAGCTGTTTTTGTGATGTTCCAGAAATAAGACACAAAATAAAATCTGTAAAGTGCTTAATGCTCATATGATCCACCCAAACATCACATTAGGCATTTATACTTTAAAGAGCTGTATGCCTGATATTTTGTGTTTCTTGGATGCATTCAGGCAGTTTTTAATGATATGTCATTTATCATAATTATATCACTTTGGAGATAAATTAGGAAAAGTGTAGTTATTTTTCACTTTCTAAATGGAGGAATCAAGGTGAGGCACTTTTGTATAAAATCATACTGTGCTTCTCAAGTCTTGAGAAAAGGTTTTATTCATGACATTGAGCTGCCCCTCATAACTAAATAGCGGCGGCTATTTAGTGGACTTTCAGAAGAGATAGACTGACCTAGGCAGTGTTGTGAAGTTCCTACTGTGTGTTGGGAGCTGTCCTGGGTGCTGATGCCCATATCCTCTTTTGATAAGCATTTGTTTTCTTGCTACAAACATTTGCTCAGACACAACATTGCTGAAAGATCCCACCTGTCAGTCACGTGACATTTACTAGCACCTGCTATCTGCAGGGCATTGGGCTAGGTGTGAGTGAGGGGGTGGCCCTCATCTTGTGGGTACGTTCACAGGAGTTGATCTTTGATTATTGCTTCAAGATAATTATTGCCTCAAAAGTAACTATTTAAAATCTTGTTCTTAAAGCCTTTTAAGAAGAGCATCCTCAATTTATGGTTTATAAACTCAAAAATAGAAATGTATAGATATCATGAAGGAAACTGTCTAAATATTCTTAGTACCTTTTGGGGTCTTATTTTGTTTTAAAAGACTGGCATTATCCCCAATATGCAGATTATAATGTTAGTATTAATAATTTTATTGGTATTTCTGGCAGAGACCTCAGGTTTTTAAAGTCAGGATTCTCACAAGTCTTAGGGATCTTTGTCACTTTAATATTAGAGTGAAAAAAATGTCACAGTAGGATAGGATAATCTCCAAATCTCAGAAGCAAGCATCAGTAAAATTGCTCGGTGATGCTGATGCTAAGAGTAGCTTTCTGAAAAAACTGTTGCTCAACTCCTCCCTGTTCTTACATTGATGTCTTCTTGTCCTCACATTGTCTTACATTTCTCTGTACAGTGTACTAAACTTCCCTGATTTTTCCCAATTAAACCAGCTCTTGTTCTTGGATCGCATTTGGAATTGCATGGGTTTTGCATGTTATTCTACTTGGATTTGAATTTGGTTTTTCAGTAACCAGATTGACCCACAACTGTTAACAGGTGGACCTAATGAATGATGTTGCTGAGACTTGCAGTAACATTCACCTTCTCTCTCTCCTCCGCCCCATACTAATACCAACAAAGAGGATAAGCATTCCGGCTTAAACTTCTAACTGGAATTAATGATACGATGTATCTCATTGATTGCATTTCTTTTTATAATTAAGATCATTGTAAAGCTTTAAATTTCTTCTTTTTAAAAAACATTAACACTAGCTTTTTATATTTACAGTTAGTTACATTGTTTGTTTGTTCGTTTCAGGATTCCAGTCCTCTACTAAATGAAGTTTCTTCTTCCCTTATTGGAACTGATTCCCAAGCCTTTCCATCAGTTAGCAAGCCTTCATCCGCCTATCCCTCCACAACGATTGTCAATCCTACTATTGTGCTCTTGCAACACAATCGAGGTAAGAGAGGCTTGTGCCCCACTCCCAGCCCACTGGAATCAACATAGCTATTCCATGATACTTGGGTCAGAAATTCTGTTATTTCACAGAAATTTTCACAAATCCCATTGTTTCCCAAGGCCATTTGCCCCAGTTTACTCACTCTCATGGCCCATAAAATAAATCCCAGCAGACAGACAGAGGCCCCTGATCTGAGGTGATATCAGGTGTCTGAATAAGTAAGCTGGGTTCGTTCCACTTCTTGGGTGTTCATGATTGTCTTCTTCAAATCGTAACACCAAAAAAAAGGAGAAAGGAAAAAGTTTGTGTCTCTTGATGGTAATAGAGATTTAACTTCGAAAATCTAGGTACAATAATACCTCTTTTAAGTAGTATCTTAAATGATTTATTTTTTTGACATAATGAAATTTAGAGAGAGCAGAATTTTGAGTATCAAATTTAAAAAAGAAAACATATTGTGTAGACAATTTTCTGGAATGTAAAACACGTTTTTGTACCTTGAAAACAGAGACTATTGAATTTTTCTTGAAGACTCACTGGCCTTCATTCTTGCCAGCTGTTTGTCTCTGTACTATGTGGCTCTAGGCAGCTCTGCTTAGAGTTTTCATGTTTGTTTTCTGTAGTGTCTCTGACTGCTTCTGGTTGGTTTTTCTGCTTCTCTGAAAAGCAGAGAAGCTTTGAGTTGGGGTGAAGCGGAAGTTCTTTGGGTATATGTTGACCCTTCTGCTTTAAAATTCCAGACGATGATTCTAAATCCCAAGTTTTCCTTTTTGGAATTCCATACAGGAATAAACTTTGTCTTTACAAAAGTCCTTTGCAGCATGAAATGTAAAGTTTTCAAGCTGTTTCCTCATGTAGAAAGGGCTTGTTAGTCTGAATTTCTGATAACAGTGGAGGTTTAATTATTTTGTTCAGAGCTCACGTCTTCCTTTTGACTCTGTGCTCTCTGACTTCACAGTTTTCCTCCACTCCTCCCCCTCCCCCTTCCTCTCTGCATTAATTTGAATGAGAATGGGACTGGAGTCTATTTTTAATTGTTTTCCTTACTAAATAGAGTTTTTCTGTTTCCTGCTTCTAACTTGAAAAGCAGATGAATAAAACATTTTCTTTCACTTCAGATCTTTCCACTAAAATCTTAAGGTTGTTTTAGTAGTTTTGTATTTTTTTCACTATGTGTGGCTCCTGTATTAATTTTCACCCATGAATCTGGGTTCTTAATAAAAAGGGCCCCAGCTCCCACACGGAACCATGCAGGAGCCCATTCTCCTTCAGCGGTGCCATGCCCCTTACTGGCAGTGGCTCTCCTTGCCCAGAAAGTGTCTGTAATGTGGGACAAAGTGAAATTTTGTTTCTCTGAACTTCCTTGTGACTCATATTTAAAAAAAAAAAAATTCAGTCAAACAGAATTAAGTTAGTTCCCAGAAGGACAGGCAGTTTCTTTAAAAATGGGATTTATTCCCAAGGCAACTTGGTTTTTGGGAAATGCCAAGTGTAATGTCAGCTGCTTCTGCCAAGTCCCTCTGATGACACCTAGTGAGACATCTTTGGGCACAGAAATGCCTGTAGTTCCTTTTTGTTTCTTCCTTGAATAGATGGATTCCTTTTATTTACCCAAATGCCTTTGGTTCTTGCCTTTCTCTGTTGTCCAAGTCCTGCCCTTGGGTTTAAAAATCAGAATTGTGCAGCCTGAGACACACATCCTTCAGAAAAGGATACAAGTAATGACATTCATTTTTTGGAATTAAATGATAGATTTCCATAAAGAGCAAAACCATATGTTCACTAAGCAGGTGGGGCAGGAAGCATCAGGAAGAAGAGAAGAGCCTCACTGGCCCAGCCCCGTATTACTAATCATAAATGGGGTTTAGGTCAAGTGTTTTTGGCATTGCTTTGGAATTTGCCTAACCTGGCAGCTCTGCTTTGCTTCATAAACAGTACCCATAAAAATAATTTCTTAATTATTGCAAAGTCTCCTGAGGGAATAACTTTACTCCACTTCTGGAATTCTAGTTTTGTCATCCTAAAAAATGCCTCCCTCCCTGCCCCCCCCCCCCTTTTTTTTTTTTTTTTTTTTTTGCCTAGACTGTCCCAGGGCATAGTGTGGCAATAATCCTGTCTCTCCAAGCCAGCTTACCCCTACTAGAAACAGAGGGGCACTGAGCCTCTGGCCTGGTACTGATGGTTGTGAACAACACAGCCCTTTCCCCTTCTTTCCTGAGTTTTCACACCACATGGGTATGAAGACAAATCGCTTACCATCTGTCTGGGAGGGAGGCTTTGAATCAGAAAACTCTCAGGATGAAAAGAGGTGCGTGGGTCCCCTTGCTTAGGGCTTCTCAGTCTATGTGCGTCGGATCCTGAGAGTCTTGTTAACTTGCAGGTTCAGCCTCAAGAGGTTTGGGGTGGAGGAGACGAGATTCTACATTTTCAGCAAGCTTGCTAGGCATACCAGTGCCACTGGCCCACCGACCACATTGAGAACTAGAGCTCAGAGGTTCCCAGACTTACGGACACATGAAGCAGTCTAGGGATCACCCTAGGGTTTTTCATTCTAATGCTTTAAAATAACACCACTAGAAAGTGGCCACTGTTACCTGTGTTGCATGTCATCCTATGAAAGAAAGGCTATTTCACACCTCAAAACTGGAGACAACATAGTCTTTTTTTTTTTTTTTTTTTTTTTTTTTGAGACAAGGTCTCACTCTGTTGTTGAGGCTAGAGTGCAGTGGTGCAGTCATGGCTCACTTCATCCTCAACCTCCCAGGCTCAGGTGATTCTCCCACCTCAGCCTCTCGATGCCAGTAGTTGGGACCACAGGCGTGTGCCACCACACCTGGATAATTTTAAAATATTTTTTGTAGAGACGGGGTTTTACCATGTTGCCTAGGCTAGTCCTGATCCCCTGGGCTCAAGGGATCTGCCTGCCTCGGCCTCCCAAAGTGCTGGGATTATAGGCATGAGCCACCGTGCCTGGCCAACGTGGTCTTTTTCATTTATTTATTTATTTATTTTTTGAGGCAGGGTCTTTCTATGTCACCCAGGCTGGAGTTCAGTGGCACGATCTTGGCTCACTGCAACCTCTGCCTCCCAGGTTCAAGTAATTCTCATGCCTCAGCCTCTGGAGTAGCTGGGATTATAGGCGTGTGCCACCACGCCTGGCTAATTTTTGTATTTTTTAGTAGAAATGGGGTTTCGCCATGTTGGCAACATGATCTTTTAAGTGGAATACATTCACTTCTGCCAGCTGGAGCTCAGCAGCCTTCAGTGTAGTGTGTGGGAACCGTAGGTCCCCTTAGTACCAATAGGGCCCTTTGACATAACAGACAAGGAAACTGAGGCCGAGAGGTTTAGTGAATTGGCCATTGTCATCTGAAAGTTGCTGGCAGAGCTGAGGCCAGAGCTGCACTGGGCTTCTGCATGTTCAGCCAGTACGAACCTCATCCATGTGGCAGAGGTGGCCAGGCACCGCTTCCCAGGCTGTGAGCTCCTGAGCTGCTCGCTGTTTACTTCTGGTTCACACTGATTGTAGCAGGAGGGTGGGAACGCAGCCAAGGGGAATGATGACAGTACCCACGGGTTGGCAAATGTTCTATTTTTATCTATGTGGCTGCTTTATATTTAGCGGCTGTGGAAGGTAAAGGTCATTTTTGTACTCTCATCTCATAGCACGTACACATTAGGACTCCACAAAGGAGATGTGGCTTCCCTTCCACATGAGTGCCCAGGATGGTGAGAAACCAATAACCCTTCAATGCCAAGGACCAGCAAGGTCTTGATGACTAGAATTGGAATGAACTCTGGACTAGGAGTCAGGGATCCAGGTTCTAGATCCAGCTGATTTTCAGTGTTATCTTGGGCGATTTGTGCCCCTTATCTGAAGTTTCTCGGCCATTGCTGATTTTTTAAGGATTTTTCTTGTACTCCGGACAAGCCAGATTACTATAGTGACTAAGGCCAGGCTTTCGTTTCCTCCTCTGTACAATGGGAAAGAATAATCGTACCCAACTACTAGAGTTGTTGCAAAGTTTACAAGTGTTATTTGCAAAAGCGCTAAAACAGCGCCTGGCATTTAGCAAGCTCTCAGGAGACGGTCACTGTCATGGTTGTGATTATAATTACATTTCCCTCAAAAGGTACCAAGACTGGGGTCATATAAGGCCTTGCTCACTTGAAGCTGGAGGGTTGGATGGATTCCCTTCTATGATGGAATCATCTTGAGATAAGATGTAAACAGCTAGAAAATTGTGGCAGTCCCCTGAATCCTGGTGTAGATCTGGAAGCGGGGCAGGCTGGGAGACACCACACTGGCATAATGGGAGCCACGCTAATACCCCTGCAGTCAGCTGGCTGCATGCACATTGTACCATCTAAGTCCAGAGGACAGTGAGGACTCAGGGTTGAGATCCTAACGAGTTATGCCAGGGCTTCTTGGTCTTACTATGTGCTGTATAAATCTTACTTACACTGTGTGTTCTTTTATCACAGAACAGCAAAAACGACTCAGTAGCCTTTCAGGTAGGTGAGAAATATTTATTTATGTGTTAATCCCTGTTCCTGTTGAAACCGTCTTCCGGTCACCGCCCGATATTCAATCAGCAATATCTTCCAAGATCCTCTGATGTCTTGGGGAGACTCTTTGTTGCTGGACTACCAAGATGATGAAAATAGGCATAGTTCCTGCCTCCCTGGAGCTTGCAGGGTGGTGGACAGACCAGACCAGTGAGCCACACTAGTAAACATGTCCCATGGAACTGTGATAAGGGCCTTGATGGATAAGAACAGGATGTTCTGGGTTAAAAAGAACCAGGAGTCCAGCTTTAGATGCAGTGTTCATGGCAGGCCTCTCTGAAGAGGTCATCTTTCTGCTGCTTCTGTCTCCCTTCTGGATGTGAGGAGTCAGGGGTTGGGAGATATGGGCAAGTTCTCTCCTTTTTGGGTGGCAAGCCCAAATGCCAGTAGATGCCCCTGGGGTGGTGGGTCCAGGTGAGAACCTTCCGACCAGCAGTGCCCAGAAGACAGTGTGAGAAAACTGCTTCTTGAATTTGAGCAGGCATCAGAAATTCCTGGAGAGCTTGTCGAAACTCAGATTCCTAGGCCATCCCCCTAGAGATTTGGATTTAATGGTGGGTATGAGTAAGAATTTGCATTTCTTTTTCTTCCCTTTTCTTTTCTTTTCTTTTTTTTTTTGATACAGCATCTTGCTCTGTCACCCAGACTGGAGTGCAGTGGCACAATCATAGCTTACTGCAGCCTTGAACTGCTGGGCTCATGTGATCCTCCTACCTCAGCCTCCTGAGTAGCTGGGACTACAGGTGTGCACCACCATGCCCAGCTAGTTTTTTTTTTAAAGTTTTTTTGTAGAGCTGGAGTCTCACTATGTTGCCAAGGCTGGTGTCAAATCCTGACCTCAAGCAATCCTCCTCCCTCAGCCTCCTAAAGTTCTGGGATTATAGGCACCAGCTACTGTGCCTGGCCAAGAGAATGTGCATTTCTGCCCAGCTCCCTGGTGATGCCAATGCTGCCCTCTGTGCTGACCGCACTTGAGTGTGGCAGGTGGCAAGAGTTGACAATGGTGGGGAGTGACTGCAAATATAATCAGACATATACAAATATAATTAGCTCACCCTTTGATAAAGTGTGTAGGATTGGGACCATGTCAGAGTAGGGAGGGAACCCAGGAAGGGGAATGTGTAGCTATTTCCTTGTGGCTTCCTGTAGCCATTCTGCTTTGAATCCTGGGTCTGGTGCTGCCTCAGGCAGGTTATCTAAGTCTCTGGGCTTCAGTTTTCTTACTATCAAGTGAGGAAAGCTGTAGTGCCTCCCAGGTTGTATGACGATCAGATGAGATTCCGCTCATTAACAGCTCAGCACTGAGCTGCTGCTTAATAGATGCATGACTTAATAGATGTGCATTCCTGTTACCAGGCGGCGCTCTGTGGGTTCACTTACCATTGTATTCAGGGCTTCCTTTGTACCCTGCACTGCACGGGGCTCTGAGGCTACATCAGGGAACTGTGCTGCCCTTGAGCTGCTAATAGTGTGGCGCAAGAGTGTGTAACTTTTCTTTGTTAATGGACTCCTTGAGAGAAGCTATTGAAGGCAATAGATTGATTCTAAAAAAAAAAAAAAAAAAGCCACACGTGTAAACATGTGCACATGATTTCTGTGGATTTGCACACACTCATGAATTTCAGGGTTCAGAATCACTGATTGGTGGATAACAAAAGCCACTGTTTTCTGAACAGCTGCTACATGATTTCTGTGCAACTTCATGCCACTGCTGTTCTGTGATTGGTGGCGAGCCTGGGTGGGGAGGACATGGGGTTCTCACACCCTCTCAGCCTTATCAGGACTTGGCTCTGAGACCAAGACAGGCTGTGGTTGACCTCAAGGTGTCCTTGGCTGTCCCTCCTCCAGCTGCCACTCTCCAGCCCACCTCATTCTCTGGCCCCAGCCGAGGTTGCTAAGAGTGGTGGCTCTGAAAAAAAAAGGTGGCTCCTGTGGGCTCCTTCCTGTTGGTGGGAATTTGAAAGAAGGGTAGAATAGATAAAAAAGGCCTCCAGCCATACGTTAGGAGATGCAGAGTTTGGTCCTAGCTCCTTCTTCTTGGAGCTGTGTGTTTCTGTGTGAGTGACTTCATCCCTCTAAGCCAGTTTCCTCATATGGGAAACAAGGGTGGTAATCCTTGCCCCAGCCTGGAGGAGGTGTTATTGTGACAGGAATGGGGAGGATGTTTTGTGCATTGAGAAAAGACATGTAAAAATTTGAGGGTGGGCCGGACGCAGTGGTTCATGCCTGTAATCCCAGCACTTAGGGAGGCTGAGGCAGGTGGATCACAACGTCAAGAGATGGAGACCATCCTGGCCAACATGGTGAAAACCCGTCTCTACTAAAAATACAAAAATTAGCTGGACATGGTGGCACGTGCCTGTAGTCCCAGCTACTTGGGAGGCTGAGGCAGGAGAATCGCTTGAAACAGGGAGGCGAAGGTTGCAGTGAGCTGAGATCGTGCCACTGCACTCCAGCCTGGTGACAGAGTAAGACTCTGTCTCAAAAAAAAAAAAAAACAAATGAGGGTGGCTCCACCGTGCTGGCAGCTCAGGCTTATTCCTTGGCTCTAAAATAAGACTGATGCTATCGCTTTCTCTGAGTTTTGGGACAGATCTGCTGATGATGTTTGATAGAGTGGGGCCTAAAGTAGGTGCTCACTAAATATTAGTTTATGCTTTAAAAGAAGTAGTACAGCTTTGTTCAGGAGCTCCTGAAAGAGAGAGGGCTGGCTGGGTTGGCACTCTCTAGTCTCTTAGAGCAAGTAAGGCTTAGCCATCACCTGTGGGGACGGGACTCCAGGGCTGCCAGCCTCCCTCTCTGTAGCAGATTTTTGTTGAGTCTCCATGAGGCTTGATGTTCAGGGAGAGTCATCTGGGAATGAAGCCTACATGGTGTTCTCAGGTACCTCTCAGTCCCCTTGGGGAGATGGATGGGATAATAAGATAAGGGCTGGGAGAGAGAGGCTGGCATAGGGTGTAGAGAGGCCATCGTTCTTCTGCAGAGAAGTGTGAGCATTGCTGTAATCCTCAGTCACCAGCTCTCAGTGTGAAGAAAAGGGAAGCTATCCCACCTCCTTCAAACAGAGGCCCCATCTGAGGTTATCAATATTGTCATTTATTTAGTGGCCCAGAACCTTCCATTTTAAAGCACAGTATAAAACTAGAAGGAGGCTAGATTTGCAGTGGCTCACACTTGTAATCCCAACATTTTGGAAGGCCAAGATGGGCAGATTGCTTGAGCTCAGGACTTTGAGACCAGCCTGGGCAACATGGTGAAACCCCGTCTCTATAAAAAAAAAATACAAAAAATTAGCTGGGGCCAGGCGCAGTGACTCACACCTGTAATCCCAACACTTTGGGAGGCAGAGGCAGGCAGTTGGGAGGCAGAGGTGGGCAGATTCCTTGAGCCCAGGAGTTTGAGACCAGCTTGGGCAATATGGCAAAATCCCATTTCCACAGAAATACAAAAAAACTAGCCAGATGTGGTGGCGCACACCTGTAGTCCCAGCTACTTGGGAGGCAAAGGTGGGAGGATCACCTGAGCTCAGGGAGGTCAAGGCTGCAGTGAGCCATGATCATGCCACTGCACTTCAGCCTGGGTAAGAGAATAAGACCCTGTGTAATTAGAAAAAAAAAAAAAAAAGACTAAGAGGAAATGCCCCCAGGATGTCATGTGAAGGATCAGCATTTTCCTACTGAGAAAATAGCAAGCCCTCATTGTAATATGGATGTCAATACCTGGCCCTGTCACCTGCATGGTACAGTTAAGTGTCACTTTGGGTTTTCATTATGTAAAGTGACACTTTTTCTTCAGGGGCTCTCTGTATATTGAAATCCACTCAGTGATGAGTCACATGACCACAAGCTTTCAAGTAAAACAATTCAGGGCTAAATTTTGTAGATCAAAAGGACACTGGCAGCTTTAGGAGAAATCCATGGACTATCAGCCTGATTTTTTCAGTCAAGTGTGATTGTTGTTAGAGTCACCTGCCTTGACCCTGAGTATGGCATGTCTGTGATCCTCACCATGATCTTAAAGCACCATGTAAGACTGAGCTTGAACTCAGCCTCATCTGCTCCTTTCTGCTCACATTCAACAGAAGGCCTTTCCAGGTGGGAGGAGAATGTTCAGCAGAGCCACATTAAGGGTAGACTTGGGTAACTCAAAATCCCTCTACACTTCCAGGCTTCCTGCCAAATCCTTGGCCTTGCATTGCAATTTTCTGGGAGCATGAGAACTCATTCCATAAAGCCAATCTGTTCTTAACATCCTTTGACATTGATGGTGATGATGCCAGGGATCAGGCTTTCTGAAGCACTTACCAAGCCTTGAAATCATTTGGATGTGGGCAGTCACGACCCCATGGAGGAGAATGAAAGTTGTAAAACCTGAGCATGCTGGAGTCATTGTTTCCCCCACTTCTACAGCGTCTCCTCCACTTACAGACATCTCTGACTTTGTCACAACTTTGCATGTGTCCTCACATTCTTCCTTTTCACCCGAGTGTAGTCCCCCAGCCAGCAGTCTGCACCTGTTCCTTTCTTAAAGACGAGAACCTGTCCATAGTCAATCAATAAGCAGGTTTTAACTGAGCAATTACTAATTGCCACAGCACATCTTGATGCCCTTCATCCTTACCTCATGGGCCTCATTCTCACTGACAGGATTTTAGGCTCCCTTGGCCTAAACTTTTTTTTTTTTTTTTTTTTTGAGACAGAGTCTTGCTTTATTGCTGAGGCTGGAGTGTAGTGGCATGATCATGGCTTACTGTAGCTTCGAACTCCCAGGCTCAGGAGATCCTCCCAACTTAGCCTCCCAAGAGCTGAAGCAACAGGCATGTGCCTGGCTAATTTTTTAATTTTTTGTAGCGATGGGGTCTCGCTATGTTGCCCAGGCTGGTCTTGAACTCCTAGGTTCAAGCAATCCTCCTGCCTCAGCCTCCTGATATGTTGAGAGGCATGAGCCACGGCACCCAGCCAGCTTAAACCTTTTTGTCCCTAATCCTTTGACCTCTTGAATTACCATCTAGTACATTCCTTCCTCTGTGCTGAACTCCCCACTCACTCCCCCAACTTCCTGCTTACACCTTCAACCCTCTGTGCAATCTGGCACCCACCCCCACTGCCCTCCTGAAGTTGCTCCCTCAGAGTGTTCCTGTGACTTCTCTCTTGCCTAATCTAATGCCGCCTCCTCCTCTGCTTCAATTTCTGGGGTTTTTTTTTTTTTTTCTTTTGAGACATTTAACCACCCACTTCTTGGAGTTCTGTCTTCCCTGGTTCAGTGGCACCTTGTGTACTTTTCTGGTTCATCTCCTGTCCCTCGGATTACTTTGCATCACTTTGGGGATTCTTTTGCCTTGCAGCTATAACTGTGGTGCCCTTCCATGCATGACTTTAGCGCTTTACTCTGGCCTTGCTTCTGTCCACCACTGAGCTCTGCCATCTCCCTGGCGTCAGCCATCACTTTTGGGCTGATGCCTCCAAAGTTGCACTCCTGTTAGGGTGTCTCACCTGGGCCCCTTCATAGTTCCTCTAGGGATCTCTAGGGCATTCCTACTTGAGTATCTTGCTGTCTTCTCAAAGTTACCATAGTCCATATGGAAGCAGCCATTTCTCCCTCCCATTCCTAACCCAATTCTAACTTCTCCATTTGGCTTAGGCCAGGCTTCCAGACTTGAAACCTTGGTACCATCTTTGAAAGAGGCAAGACAGGATGTGGTTCAGAGAGGACTGCTAGAGTCAGGTGGACATTAGGCCACATCACAGCTTGGCTATGAGCTGGTTGTGTGGCCGCAGGCAGGGTACTTTAACTTCTCTGTGTATTGATCCTTTAACTATTAAAAAAAAAAGGTGATAATAGTTTCTTCCTCATAGATCTTTGGGAGGATAAAATGAGAGAACGTAAATGAAGAGTTTATTGCATTGCTTGGCACATAATTAGCTCAGTAGTCCAGAGGCCCCCAAGCATTTATTTAAGCTGTTCCTCTGGAGCACCCTTCGCTTCCTGTGAGTCTGATTGGCTTCTCTTCTGAGAATCGGCCTTTGTCACCCTGCATTCTCATTGCTGGCTCACTTGGTTTTTCTGCCCACTAGACTGTAAGCTCCCTGAAGGCTAAGATTCTGGAATGCTCACCTTCATGTCCACAAGGCAGAGCACAATGTCTGCCCAATAAATAAATGTCATAGCTTGGAAGCCAGATTCTATTAAGTAATTTTATAATCTTAGGTCATATGTGGTATCTTTGTTAGTGCTCTATATCTTCCAGTCTTGAACAAAAATAATCTATAATGTATACTTAGCAATGTACAGCTTCCTGAACACTTTGGCATAAGTTATCCTGATAAGTCCTCTCACCACATTGCTGTGAGCTTGCCAATAGAAGTGTTATCCCTGTTTTTGGATAGGAAAACTGAGGCATGGAAAAGTTAAGTGACTTCCTCAAGAGGAATCGAAAACTTTCAAGTAATGTTAGCCCCATCCTGTGGTTCTACCTGTTCCTTAATTTCTAGAACAGTCAGAACTACTCAGTTGACCAGAGCACGATGTGCATACCTCTGCAAAGCTCTGATCACACTGTTGGCAAGGCTTTTTTTTTTTTTTAAGGACCAGATGATAAATATTTTAGACTTTGCAGGCCATATGGTTTCTGTCACAGCTACTCAACTCGGCCATCGTAGTGCAAAAGCACCCATAAATAATATGTAAAGGAATTGGCATGGTTGTGTTCCAGTAAAATCAGCCCATGGGCCAAAGTTTGCTGACCCCTGCTCTAAACAGAACTAATTCCAGTTGAGAATTAGCAGACACGCTTCCCCCCAGCTAGCCTGTTCAGGAGCGTTTTGTTTTGCAGCTACCAAAAGAGCTTCAGCTAACAATTGCTTTTCATTTCCAGATCCTGTCTCAGAAAGAAGAGTGGGAGAGCAGGACTCAGCACCAACCCAGGAAAAACCCACCTCACCTGGCAAGGCTATTGAAAAAAGAGCAAAGGATGACAGTAGGCGGGTGGTGAAGAGCACTCAGGACTTAAGCGATGTTTCCATGGATGAAGTGGGCATCCCACTCCGGGTATGTATATTGACTTAGAGGTCCTTCTTAGGCTTCATCTTAAGCTGTGACAAGTGTACACTCTGAGTACATGTGAACCCCATCACACCATCGTCTCTGTAAGCCCCATGAGTGCCAGATCCCCCAGAAGCTATGCTCCAGACTTGGTGTACAACAGCTTTTCCCAAAGTGGGTGTTGGATGTTATAAGTCCTATGAATAAAGGGTTTCGTGGTCAAGTAAATGTGAGGAAAAGCTGGGTGGACCAAGTCAGAGAGATTTCTCTGCTGTAGAACTTTTCAGAGGCTTTGAGTATGTGAGTGTTCTAGGGACAATGTTATGGGCAGTCTTCATTATTGTTCTGTGTGGAGCATGTTGAGAAATTCCTGGTCCAGGGTAAGAGAATCCTGGGGAGAGTGTGAGGCCCAAGGTCCCTTTTGACAGGTTCAGGAAGATCTCCCTGGATGGGAGATCACATGTCATCCAAAGTGAGTAGGGAACACTAAGGGAACCTCAGAATGGATTCCGCCAGCCAAGCCTCCAGGACAGAGCAGGTCTCATGGCATCCCTGACCCAGCTCTCCCCGGCAGCACAGGCCTGCCAGTCCTGCAGGCCCTAAGGAATTCCAGGGAACAGGCTCCAATGGGCAAGAAACATTTAACATAAAGCTAGGCAACTTTTGGAACTGGATTTGGGTGAATTCCATTCTTTTCCATGTGTCTACTAGACCATTGCCTGCAATATGTTCCACTGTGATTTCCATTTAACAAATATGTCCCTTTGGAAGAGGCCAATAGAAACCACAGTGGACTAAGCCTCAAAATAACTCTTCTCTGGTTCTAAGTAGTAATATAGAAGGAGAGTTATTCCTAAGAGAAATCACAGCTACCATTTGCTGAGTACATTATCTCATTTAAGCATCACTCATCCAAGTGAGTAATGGATACTAATATCATTTCCATCTTATAGATGAGGAAATGGGGACTCAGGGATTTGTTACTCATCCAAGATTGCACAGCTTGTGGGTGACAGAATGGTCTGTCTGACTCCCAAACCCTTACCCCTAACCGTCACGTTGGATGGCCCTTCCACTCACCTTCTCATCAGCTCTGTGACTTTGGGCAGTTTGCTTTGTCATTCTGTATCTCATTTCCTCTTCTGTAAAGTGGGAGTGAAAATATCTAGCCACCTATCTGTCACCTTCCTTGTTTTATTTTTATCTTAAAAAAAAAGCCCAACCATTCCAACTTTGTGGTTAGGGTGAAAACTCTGGCAGTGGATGCTATAACGAGTTATGTTTTAATGTATGCATTCTAAATCTGGCCCTATGCAAGGTGACTCGGATACATTGCTGTTGAATAATCTAGAATGGTTGGGGGCACAGCATGATAAGCAAATATCCTTTGTCTCTTATATTTCTAGGAGACTTTCCTTCAGTTTGGCACAGTCTATATATGGAGAGATTCTATCTAAAAGTGAAATTTTAAAAATTTAAAAATGGATACCTTTCAAGTGTATCCTCATCCACTGTTTTCAAAATCTGTATCCTTTCAGCCAAATATTACCCTGTAGATTGAGGTTTGGGACTCTTGGTTTTTCTCTTTCTAAAAAGTTTTGCCTTTTTAAAAAAGATAAATGTGGCTGAGTTTTGAATTCAGATATTGTTACTTTCCATTTTGATTTTGAAATCATAGGAGGTCTGAAATGTGTCAAGATAGTCATTTAATTTTGCTCTTTGCCTTTGTTTTTCTACAGAACACTGAGAGATCAAAAGACTGGTACAAGACTATGTTTAAACAGATCCACAAACTGAACAGAGGTACTGATTTTCATTTGTAGAAGCTGTGCTGTGCTATGTGCCAATACACGTTTTGTGGGCCTGAACTCACTTTGCTAGGATGCCAGAAGACTGGGTCCTGCAGTTGGACCTCATTAGGTACTGGTCTGCCTGAGCCCAGCCATGCACCTTCAGAGCACAGGAGGGAGGAAGCACTTGTGTGCCTGCCTCAGAGGTGGAATTTGAGATCTGCTCTCAAATCCTTCCTCCCAGATGTGGAATGCAGCAGGCTGAGCCCAGCACTCTGCCTGTGCTCCAGCATCTGTCTGCCTGGGATGTGAGCAGCTCCATCACCCACCTGCTTCCAGCTTTAGGTACATCTCCCTGTGTCAGCCCATGACTGCCTTGTGGGCAGAGTGAGTTGAGAATGCACTGAACTGGGAATTAAGAACACTGTTCTCTGGCCGGGCGCGGTGGCTCAAGCCTGTAATCCCAGGACTTTGGGAGGCTGAGGCGGGTGGATCACCTGAAGTTAGGAGTTCGAGACCAGCCTGACCAATGTGGAGAAACCCCATCTCTACTAAAAATACAAAATTAGCTGGGCGTGGTGCCACATGCCTGTAATCCCAGCTACTTGGAGGCTGAGGCAGGAGAATCACTTGAACCCGGGAGGCGGAGGTTGCGGTGAGCCAAGATTGCGCCATTGCACTCCAGCTTGGGCAACAAGAGTGAAACTCTGTCTCAAAAAAAAAAAAAAATGTTCTCACCTGGATTGAGTCCCCCAAGCACTCGGGTAACCTTGGACCAATCATGTACCTTTCTGTGTTTGTTCTGCTTCCTTTCCTCCGGAGAATGTCACAGGTCTAAAGGAGAACACATTTGGCCTTGTGAAGTAGAATGCATAGTACGCCTCTCAGGCTGTGTTAATACGAACAATAATCTGCCCCAGCTGAGAGCCAGCCCTTGGCAGGTAGCCCTGAGAGTCAGTCAGGAGCTGACACACCAAAGCCCGCTCAAGCTGAAAGAGCAGCACTTCCAAATCAGATGCCGGCTGGGCTATCAGCAGGTGACCCAGCATGGAGAACCGCAGGCCAGTGCTTGGGCAGGACATGACCCCACCGGCTCCCATCGCTGCCTGTGCCGCCAGTCAGCTGATAGGCGGGATGCAGCTGCACTGTGGGAAGGGTACCACTTCTCCCACAGGCAGAGCATCCTGCCCTTCCCCTTACCCACATCCAGTCTGGCTGCCTGTCATGGATGACACATGAAGGCAAAGAGAAAGTGTTCTGGTCAGTGTTCCCACCTAAGTGCAATCTCTCTGATGAGCTGCGGATGCCAGCTAACATCACTGTTAATTAACTCCTGCTGGGTTCAAAGTGAACCTGGGTGTGCCCCTGTTCAAACTGTTTCTAAATATCGAAGTGCTCTAAATATTGAGGCGTTTAGCATTTCCAATGAAGAGTAAATCCGCTGTGGTTGGGTGGATGAGCGTGGTCACAGTGGTGAAACTAAATGCTTGGATTTCTGTGATCAGATGGGGTCATCTCCACTCATCACTTCCTGAAGTCACTGCCCATTTCGTCTTGCAATCTGTGACTCTCACCTTTAGACCCAGCTTTGGAAGCCTAACTGCAGAGACATTAATGCATGTAAATGTGCAAAATATGTAATTTTGCCCCACAGGCAGCTTTGGTGTTCTCATGTTATAGTTCTTAATCTAAATTGTAGGTGCTAAACAAAACTACCTGCCTTAATGGTAGGCAGAGGTATTTGAAAAATTAATGATCTACTTGTTTGCTGAATGTCCACAATACAAGCTTTGATTTAAAAAAATCATGTTAGGATAGCATGTTTATTACATACTATTTATTATCATACTTAATATTTCTTGCCTATCAAAAGTAAAAACCTGATGCTTTATGTTAAATGTTTCTTGCCCATTGGAGCCTGTTCATGGCAATTCTTTGTCCAAGAAGAGTAATGGTATTGTCTCTTTCTATGTGTCTCGGTAATTCAGGCAAAAGGACTGGATTTTTAAAAGCAGTTTGAATTTCTTTCATATCACTAGTGAAGCTTAGTATGTTCCAGAATTCAAGGAGCCTAAATTGTATGTGGATTCCTACTCGTTTATTCTCTCCATTTGTATCTTCCTCTATTCTCTCTCCCAAACCTGCTCCTCTGCCTAGACACTCCTGAAGAAAACCCTTATTTCCCTACGTACAAATTCCCTGAACTTCCTGAAATCCAGCAAACTTCCGAAGGTACCATAAACTTAGACAGCATATCTGTTGTCCGAGCTTTAAATTAATTCTTATAGTTCCATTGTAGGCATAAGATTTGGGCTTTTAGATTTTATTTTCATAGTCATTTTTGGCTGGTGAAAATTTTATTTCACTCATTTGCATGATGTGCTATGTTAAAATAACTAAATCCTTTCTAATTCATTAATCTATTTTTAAGTGTGATGCCTGTGTGCTTTAATAACACTAAAATAGGTAATCAGTCATTCGAAAGAGTCAATTGGGATTTGTCACTTCCTCTACTTCCTGGTGGATAGTTTCAAAATCCACTGCTTTTCTCTGCTACAGAGGACAATCCTTACACTCCCACCTACCAGTTTCCTGCATCTACTCCTAGTCCTAAATCTGAAGGTAATTAAAGGAAAATTGTGTGCCTCTCCGTACTGGTGCTGCTACTTTCTTTTTTACCTTGGGGTTTTTCCTGGTGGCTAAGGGCTGTTTCCCAGTCATTTGCTTCCCTCTAACCTTGTGTTTTGTGGTGGTGTCTCACTCCTTGCTGACTGTATCACCGGAGTCTATCCAGATGGTATTTTAGTCCTATTCCCCTAGGGTTTACATGATTAACGGGGTAGCCAGTGTTAGCTTAGTTACAATGTTTTGAACATGTGGGGCTCTGGTCAAAGCTGCCTTTACCCAACTACCCAAGGCTTTGTACCTGAGGTGGTCACCTGATGCTGGTGGTTGAGCAGTGACTCAGGGAAGCTGAGTCATTATAGCGGGTGGGCAGGAGGTAGATCTGTAACCGTCAACAGGAAAATTACCCAGTTCTCATGCCTGCAACTAACTCTTTTCATGGGCCCTCAGGGTATCTCTCTTTGGTAGGGAATTCCTAAAGAGGTATCCAGGTATAAGATTCAGTCATAGTGGGAGATGACATTTCTTGAAAATAAGGGTTTTAGCTAAGCTGGAAAACATTTAATGAAAGAGCTGGATAGGAATTTGTACCTGCTGGGGAAGACAGTCACATTTGTGTCTAAGAAATATTATTTCTGGGGAAAAAGTCTAAATGTCAAGGAAGTTTCTAAAATGTGAGTTAGGGGCAACATCTTGAGAATTATCCTAATAGCAGGGATTATCTGATCTTTGGATGAGTAATCCAGATGAGGGTGAATAGATACGGTATGGAGGAGGAAGTTTTGTTAAATACTGTTCTAGGATGAGATGTTGAGTGCTCTGAACTTCATTCATTCAAGTAGTATTGAACACTTGCTGTGTGCCAGGCACTGTCGTTGGAAGTAATGCCATGAATAGGACATGTACCCCATCCTCAGAAGTTCCCATCTGGCAGAGAGTTCAGCAAGGTCACTTCAGCTGACTGAGTCCAGTGTGGGGGCAGTTGTGAGAGCGTGTGTCCAGAACGCCACAGAAAACCTTGCCGGCACACAGTGGGCCCTCAGCAATACCTGGAAAACAGCGATGATGAAGGCTTTGGACTGTGGAGCCAGAGTTCTTTCTTAGGGATGAATGCCAGTGCCACCATCTTGATGCTTCTCTACTCTAATCTGCTCAGCAGACCATCCCTCTCAGCCCTTCTCATCATTGGTAAAGTTGTTCATTCAATCATTCACCAAACTCTTACTGATCAGTCATATATGAGATGACACACTGGGATGTGTTGGATACAGTTAAAATACCATAGGCCATTTTTGGTCTCTCATATGCCCCAGTAATTGGTTTCCAACCATTTCATACCTGGGGCCTATTTTGAATGAAAAGAAAGGTCTACCAAACAAACCCAGACTTACAGAACTAAAAGCTGATAATTTAATTCTGATCAGTGTCTTCCTCAAGGCCAAGAAGAGTCTATTTGGTGTAGAGAGCGCAGTCTTTCTGTCTCATGATACTGATTACCACACAAAAGCATTGGTGAAGAAACAACTGACTGAGTTGAGTTAGGGAGTTTTTTCAGAGTAATTTTGACTAGTTGCAATTTTCGATTTGTGCTTTATTTAGACTTGCAAACCCAGCCAAACTCGTAAGATAAGAGTTTCCTTCAAGGCAACAAGCACAGAGCATGCAGAAGGCACAGTATCCCACGGACACAGGCAAAGGAAGGCCCACTTGAAGAAATCCTGTGGAGAGGAACAGTGGCTCCCATCAGACTGGAAGACTGCCTTAGGCCTGCCACAGGCAGCACCCACAGCTTCCACAGTCAGCTTGGCTGTTGGTCCAAAGACAGGGTTTCATGGCCGCACAGCCAGAGCTCCTGTGTCATCAGCCACCATACCTAGCAACCCCTGCTGACGATCACGTCTGATTTTTGGCATGCATCAAGTCCAGCATATGGGGAACTGGATTTATTTTGCATAGAGGCATAAACAGTAAGGGATGTCATGATAACTTATCACATATAATTTAGAAGCAAACCTTACTATTTTTTTATTTTCAGAGACCGAAAGGAAGAAATAGTCTTAAAGAATAAAAAGGAAAAAATTAGGTTGGATATAAAAAAATTAATAGCAAAGATGATTAGACTTTAACACAAGTTTCTAAAAAGACATCCTCCCTGGAGATCTTTTAAAAATAGGGTAAATTCCATCTCACGCCCCCACTCCTGCCTAGATGACATATCCGGGCATAGATCACTGATGTATTCAATTAGATCAAGGCTTCTTACAAGTGATGGAAACATTTGAGCTAGATCATTTAAAATAATCACAGGGTTTTTGGTTTTGAGGTTTTTTTTTTTTTTTTTTTAAACCATTTCAAGAGAGTCTCTGGATTTCTTGATCCTTGATTTGTGGTTTTCATGTTGTCTGTGAGCTCCAGCAGGGCCTCATCAGCCCTGTCCGTGGTGCTGCTCCAGCTCTGTGCTCCCCGATAGGTGGCCCTGCGCTCTATGCACATCCTTCTTAACATAGGAAAGATGTATGCCTTTCAAAGAAAGGCATTCAAGACAGATCAGCACCAAGTGGAGGCTCTACCCACAGATGTTAATGTGCATTAAGAAACAGCGTTACTGAGAAATCTGAGCCATCATTCCAGAGTCTCTCTCCTGGGGAGAAGTTTGTTTTTACTGCTGGGTTTTTTTGTTTGGTTTTAATTCAGAATTTGGAACTAGAATTATTTGTAATAAACCTATCAAAGCCTAGCCTAAGGGCTGCCATCTCTGTCTAAATTCTAGTTGTTTATACAGTATAAAAAAGACATTTCTAAAGCTCTCAAAGCTGATCCTCCTCAATAGTAAGGGACTGTGTGAAAGTTTGTTTATGCTGGCTTAGCAACCTTCTTTTTTCCCCCAGCTACAGTGAAAAAGCAAACTTTTGGCCAGACTTTTAGACTATAAATAGAGTTATCATGTCTCAGTCAATGAGGGTTAAAATGTTCTTTTTAAAAAAAGAAAACTTTGGAAATTCCAAGAAGGGGCAGTCACTTTTAATCATTTTGTAATCTTGGAGACTGCTGTCTACGGGATGGAAGAGATGTTAGCAGAAGGGAGGGGGCAAACTGTGCAGAAACAGCTTCAGAAATGCAGTCCCCCACTTTCTTCCCTGCTGCTTTAAGGAACAGCAGTGTGGTGGCCAACATCTCAGCAGCCCAGAGTGGTAATCCTATTAATAATAATAGTCTTATAATGACATAACCACCACCTCAGTGACTATGTGGCTGTCATTAATTGAGCCCTTGCCACATACAAGTTTCTGTGCTGAATATATCACTATTGTTATCTCATTTTCATTCTCCCAGCAGCCCCATGAAGTAACTCTTCATTTTATCAATGAGGAGTATGAGGTTCAGAGAGATTAAGTAATATATGCAAGATTACACAGTAAGTAGCAGAACCAGGATTCAAACCTAGGTGTTTGGGGCTCCATTAACACAGGCTTTTACTCAACGCTGCTATACTGCCCTGCAGATTCCTTTCCCCTTCCTGACTCTGTGTTCTTGCTTGTCCCCTTCTTGTCCAGAGGCTCTCTGGTATCTGACTGCAGGCATTCAGCTTCCCCTGAGTCAGTCCTGCCTCAGTCTGCTAAGCCAGTACCTCCCAGATGGTGCCTGGAAATATATAGTTAGGGACCCAGCACGGTGGCTCATGCCTGTAATTTCAGCACTTTGGGAGGCCGAGGTGGGCAGATCACCTGAGGTCAAGAGTTCGAGACCAGCCTGGCCAACATAGTGAAACCCTGTCTTTACTAAAAATACAAAAAAAAAATTAGCCAGTGGGCGTGATGGCAGGCGCCTGTAATCCCAGCTACTTGGGAGGCTGAGGCAAGAGAATCACTTGAATCTGGGATGCAGAGGTTGCAGTGAGCCGAGATCGCACCACTGCACTCCACCATGGGCAACAGAGTGAGTCTCTGTCTCAAAAAAAAAAAAAAAAAAAAAAAGAATATATAGTTAGGAAAACTCCTCAAGTGATTGACAGACAGGATTGAGAACCACTGGGATGGGGAAATACCACTCTTCCCAGCCCCCAAAAAGAGATGAAGAAAATTGGCCAGATGCAGTTTTGGGAATATGGATATAGGATGAGAATGGAGAATGCAGATTTTATAGAATTAGCGCCCCCTACTCTGAACACGCCCAAATGATGTTGGCTCACTTGGCACATTTGATGTCAAGAAGAGGGAAAATATTTTCAAATAATGGCTCAGAATTTGCAGCAAAACCAGATAACTGGTATGTTACTTCATGGTCCGTGGCTTCTCCTGACTTTCCGTGACCTGTGAGGACCTCCTGGACCATGTCAGTGAGAAGGCGAGTCCAGGTGAAGCCCCAGAGACCAGCTTTTTTCCCATGCTTTGTGATGCCTCTTCTACCACTTCAGGCTGGTGGTGGCCACTGCCACCTCTCGGTGATGTCACTCAAGACACCACCTCTAGGCATCCCCAGGTTGTGGTGTCAAAATGGTCTGTCTCAGTGCTTCTTCCTCATTCCTAGAAGAGATTGCACTAAGGCAAGGATTTAAAGAGGTGCATCTTCTCAGGCACAGCTGTAGTTGAGTTAAAATAATTCTCTACTGGCCTTACAGGATTTGTAAGAATAGCTTTGTTTTGTTTGAGTTCAAGCAAATAATTCTATTGTGAAGATGCTTGGCCGGGATCTGTGCCTCCTGCCCCAGACTCCAGCCAGTACTGCCCAGGGGAGAGTCTGAGTCGTTCTCCTAATGAGAGCTTCCCAGGAGATCTCCGCCTAGCAAGTGCAAAAGGCATTGACTGGCCTGTGGGACAGTTAAGAAACGGTAGCAGTTACTCCCTTTCCACCTTCACGGCCCAGGAGTTCGATAGCAGATGAAGACGGTGAGTCTTCTTCTAACCCTATGGTTCTCCCAAACTTTCTCCTTTAACTTATTTTTTGCCCCACCTCATTCTCTTCTTCAGAGTTCTATTTTTTTCTCTGTGTCTTCTATAACTACTGTACACCCTATCCTGGTCTTTTTTTTTGCATTCTTTAGAACTTGATTGCCACATCTGTAATCCCAGCTACTCAGGAGGTCAGGGCAGGGGGATCACTTGAGCCCAGGATTTTGAGGCTGCAGTGAGCTACGATCACACCACTGTACTCCCTCCAGTCTGGGCAACAAAGTGAAACCCTGTCTCTTAAAAAAAAAAAGAACTTGATGGCCTTTAACTAAAACATAGACAGCTTTGTAATGCTTTCCCCCAAGCTCTCTGGGCTTCCTGACGTCCTTGCCCTTTTGTTTGTTCTTCCTTTCCCACCCCACCCAGACTCAGTACCCAACTCTACATCTGTGTCTTTTCCCCTGACTACTATTTTTGTTCATGGGGGTCATGTATGACTATCTTTACCCTTTTATCCTTTCTCTTCCTAAGTGTGGGGGGTAAAGCCAGAGGAGGATTTAGGTTGAGCAGTGGAAGAAAGATTGTGTCAAAAATGAGCCATTAATATTTGGAAAATTGTTTTAAGTTTAAAGGCCTGAGAAATGCATAAAATTGAAATTTAATTGATATAGGCAAGTGGTTATGCAAATGATTTTTGCCCATCCTCCCATTTTAGTCAGGCAATTTTTTAGAACAACTTTCAACAACTACTTTCTTCAGTTGTCTTTGAGATTTTTATAAATTAAAGAAAAAGAAACAGGAAAAAAAAGTGATTTGGAAGCTCATTTAAAGTCACTGTGGTTGAAAAGGCAATTATGTGGCTCCTGGCAGTTGTAGGAGAGTGGCTGTCCCCAAATCGAGCTACCAAGGACAGATTGCCAAAGCCCAAGAAGAATCATTGTGTAAACATTAGAGCTCAGCTGGACCTTCAGAGGCCTAAGTGAGTTGTTTACCCTGTGTAAATCCCATGCAGTGTTACAGCTTCCTGCAAATCACTGGCATAGGAAGGTCTGAGTGTTGCTGCCAAGGTTTGATGTCTGCTGCTTGGAGCTCTGAGGAGCACAATTAGCATGTGGTTCCACCATGAGCAGAAACCACAAGATTTCTGCACAGCTGAGCCCACTCTAGCATTGTTTTAAAGGGCCTTTGGAGAAATACTGAAGGCCGAGCTTCAGGTGCTAGGTAATAGACAATTTGAGAAACATTTCATTTAATGTGTCTTAACTATATTGAGCACACTTGTCCCATTTGGCTGGCTCTAGTGTGGAGAAATGCAGACATGCTCCTTACACTGTTTTCCCATTCCTTGGTATTTCTAACTGCATACCCATCATCCCCAGTGTTGACTTAGCCTCCCAGGAGAAGGCAGCAAGGAACAGCAACTATTAATAGAAGGTGTAGAGGCCGGGCAGTGGCTCATGCCTGTAATCTCAGCTCTTTGGGAGGCTGATGCGGGTGGATCACCTGCGGTCAGGAGTTCGAGACCAGCTTGACAAATATGGTGAAACCCCATCTCTACTAAAAATACAAAAACAAGCTGGGCGTGGTGGCAGGAGCTTGTAGTCCCAGCTACTCGGGAGGCTGTGACAGGAGAACTGCTTGAACCCGGGAGGCAAATGTTGCAGTGAGCCAAGATCGCACCACTGCACTCCAGCCTGGGCAACAGAGTGAGACTCTGTCTCAAAAAAAAAAAAAAAAGAAAAGATGTAGCAAGAGTGACTCAATGTTATCCATTGTCCCTGGAGACCAGCAAGAGGAAAACTAGAAATGTGAGGCAACTCAGAAAACTTGCTTAAACATCACTGAGGGCGAGGGGATGCAAAAATCGGGCAAAGGCTTCAGGGGCTGGAAATTGGCCTGGCCAGCAGTGCAGTGCATGCCTTGAGTTTCAAGACAGCATCTTTCTCTGCCTCTTCCATAATAACATGGTAATAGAATAGCCAGTCTTTCAGCTTTCCCAGGATTGGGCAGATGAAGCTGGGGTGAAAGAACACAGTAGGCATCTCTGTCACGGGGCTACTAGATGACATAGGGAAGTGGAATCTGAAAGACCTTAAATCCATTTCTGCTTTGTCTGTCTCACTCTGCAGCTAAGGGCAAATCTTCTCAACCTACTTGGGCTTTCATTTCCTTGTCTGTAAAATGAGGTATTTAGTTCCTCTTGGAGTTTTTTGCAAGGGTGAAGTGAGATGACGTTAGTAAATTACCAGCCATTGTTAGTCACTTAATACTGGGAGCTACAATTATTATTTTTATTCATAAGCTGAGGTAAAATATCCTTCCATTAGATTTACAAGACAAGCATCGAAAATTAAAATAATGGATTTTACAAGCCCTAGAACTTGTCCTGTGTTATAGTTGTTCAGATGAATCTGTATGACTTGTTTGTCCTGTTAAAAGTTCATGAGCTGAAATCCACATATCAGAACCTGTGGACCCTTTGGGAGAAATGAAAACTTGTTCACAGATACTCTCCTGCCCTGTGTTAGCCTGGCGTGGGTGAGATTTCTCTACTGACACTGAATAAGAAACAAGTGTTTTTTGTTTTTTTTTTCTTTAGAGACAAAGTCTTGCTCTGTCATGTCACCCAGGCTGGAGTGCAGTGGTACAGTCATAGCTCACTGCAGCCTCAAACTCCTAGACTCAAGCAATCCTCCCACCTCAGCCTCCCAAGTAGCTGGGACTGCAGGTGTGTGCTGCCATGCATGGCTAATTTTTTAAAAATTTTTTTGTAGAGATGGGATCTCGCTATGTTGCCCAGGCTGGTCTTGGGTTTCTGGCCTCAAGCAATCTTCCCGCCCCAGCCTCCCAAAGCACTGGGGTTATAGATGTGAGCCACCAGGCCCGTCCAAGAAAGGAGCTTTAAGCACATTCAGTTCTTCAGACGCCTCTGTTACCTGCATCCCCCAACTCCAACTTTCCTGCTTCTCCCTCTCCTTTTCAAAGTACATACATTGTTAAACTTCCCAAGTAGTGCTGTTTTTTTCCGCATCTTATAAGAACTATTTCTCATTTTCTTCTTCTTACTTTTTTTTTTTCTTTTCAAGACAGAGTCTCACTCCATCAGCCAGGCTGGAGTACAGGGGCACAATCTTGGCTCACCCCAACCTCTGCCTCTGGGGTTCAAGCAATTCTTCTGCCTTAGCCTCCCAAGTAGCTGGGACTACAGGTACATGCCACCACGCCTGGCTAATTTTTGTATTTTTAATAGAGACGGGGTTTCACCATGTTGGTCAGGCTGGTCTCAAACTCCTGACCTCAAGCGATACACCCACCTCAGCCTCCCAAAGTGCTGGGGTTACAGGCATGTGCCACCACGCTCAACCAGTATTTCTCATTTTCTTCTAATAAACCTTCTAGAGTTCCACATTAGAAAGCTCTAGATAGAAACATTTTTTAAAGAGCTCAGGCTTAAAAAAAAAAAACAAAAAAACCTGAATATTTAAATGCCACTCCTCTCCACCCAGTGAAAACTTTGCTTCTTACTTCATGAACCAGGTAATAGTTATAAATTAACCTTCATCTTATCATCTACTGATAAGCTATAATTTCTCCATGATTCAGAGATGTACAGGGTTTTGAGCTAAAATGCTAGGCTACGTTTTAAGCAGTGCATACATCAGCTTCTAACTAGCTAACTTTTCATTTGGGCATTTTCATTGCAGCATTTTTTCTAATCAAGTCCCTGTAATCAAAGCTCATTTTTAGTTTTCTTTGACATCATGGCATTTTGTCAGTATAATCAGACGTTCTGTTTAAAAAAACAACTGTCAACACACAATTTTTCAGAATAATCTTTCAAAAAATCTTTTTCTGGATCCCACTTTATCTCTTTCCCCTGTTCTATTTTCAGAAGATAACATAAATAAGCTTACACACTCAATTTAAAATAGTGAAAGGCTTGGCTATGTTGGTAGAAAAAAACCTTAAGCCCTGTTCAACCTTGATATTGATAAATTCTTGAAAGTGAGGGAAGGAAGTAGGGGAAAAGGTACCTTGGTACCCGATGCCTGTCCCTTATGTGGGCCAAGGGAGACCTGAGACAAATAAAAATGGGGAAAAGAGGGGACAAGAAGGAGTGATTGTTAGAGAGGCTGTCTGAATAATGCTTTATCAAAATAATAGCAATGTTAGCTTATTTATATTTCATAAAATATTCTGGCCTTGTCTCTTCTGAAACTTAAAATGATTTGCATAGAAACAAGGACTTGATTAACACGAAGTCACCACCATACAGTGGATTCTTTGACTTGTCTTTGCAGGTTAGTTCATGTGCTTTCCTAAAGTTGTCATGAACTTTAGGGAAGGAATTGGGTCTTCATTCCATGTATGTGAATTTTGAATCCAGATTAGCAAGATGTTAGAAATGGGAAAGGCTAACTATTTCAGACTAACTCTTTTTGGTGTAGTGCTTTGGAGGGACCATCATGGATGTAGTGACTAGATAAAGTGCATTTTCAGGACAGTCCCACTTTAAAAACCTGTTCCCATCAATGTGCCTGTGGTCTGATTTTTAGTTCAGAAGATACAGCCACTTCCACAAGGGCTTCAGGTCTTGTATAGGTTCTGCAAGTTTTAGAACCCAGTGTCTAGCCTACGTAGGAATGTGTGTCATGCCTTTGGAGAGCCACCTCCCACCATAGAGACACGCGTGAGTTTGATTTGCTCCAGAGATGCAGTTTAGATACTCACTCCGAGTAGTACCTTTGCAGAGGAAGCCGTTTGACGATGGGTCTGTTGTGTTCCCAGGAAACAAATCTACTCAGGGAACCAGATTGAGGTGGAATCAAAACAAATTTTGATGAGGGTTTTCTCAAATTCTTCTCTTAGCTGCAGAACTTCTTTGTTAATGATGTGTATGAAAGCTTACCATATAAAACAGGTCAAAGCTGAGGCAAGAAGCTAGAAAACCCACCCTCTGGGCCTCTCCTTCCCACCCAATAGCAGCCCGAGGCCCCGGTAAGAGGCCTTTCAAGACACTGTTGAACTCGGTGAGCTTAACCGTACACTGAGCTGGTGCAGCCGGGGATCCATCTCAGCCCCTGCTTCCCACTCAGCCAGACCCAGACCCTGCATTCCAGCTTTGGTTGTGTGGATTCTCTAGAGAAGGACCCTTGGCTGTTTGTCCCCATGCATTTCTTGATGTCAGGCAGCAGCATCTGCCAGTTGTGACTGTCCTGCCTGGACTACAGGTTTGGTTGGGTGTGCCCTACAAACCTTGCTCCTCTCAAACGTGCTCTGCCGTGGTGTAGCTTCTGGCGCTTCACTCTTCTGTCCGCTGGGATCCCTAGGGGGGCTGGATGCTCGTACCAGACTGTGGAAATGGGGAACATACAACTTGGTTCTCTTACCTTAGCCAGACTTCTCCTGACTACATTTTGTTTTGTTCAATAGATGATGATTCAGATCTGTACTCTCCCAGATACTCATTTTCTGAAGACAGTAAGTGACTTCAAATAACCTGGTTGTGGGGGCGGAAGGGAAAGTGGTGGATGAGGGAAGATAATTGCCCTGTTCTCAGTTTTCATGAGTTTTAAGTCTTTTGTCTGCACTGTCTTTCTCCAGCAAAATCTCCCCTTTCTGTGCCTCGCTCAAAAAGTGAGATGAGCTACATTGATGGTGAGAAGGTAGTCAAGAGGTCGGCCACACTACCCCTCCCAGCCCGCTCTTCCTCACTGAAGTCAAGCTCAGAAAGGTAAGTGCCCGCTTGTCTCTCATTCATTCAGCCTGGGCCTTGTTGTTCATTGAGACCTAGGAGCCTCCATTCTTAGGAATGTGGAATTTGAGTCTGTCCCTTGTCACCTATTAGCAGTGACTTATTTCTTAGCCTCAATGTCCTCCTCTGTAAAATGGGGATAAAAATAGCATGATTCCTAGTAAGGATAGTGCAAGGTTAAAATGAGATAATACCTGTAAACATTCCTGGTAGCACTTAGCTCCTAGTATGGGAGCCAAGTTAAGAGTATGGGCTTAATTAATATTGACTATCATTATCATAACTTTTTGCATTTTCACAAGAGAAATCTTAACTGCAAGATTTGTCACATGTTGTCATATTCTTTTTGCATACTGTGTTCACATATTCATAGCAATGACTATAACTTAAAAAGAAGCCACACTTTTTAATGTCCATTTACTCATGCAACATGTATTATTGAGACATAAGCCTTGGACTTGTTCTAGTGACAGCATTAATAAATCTCTTAAAATGCCTGCAGCAAACAAAACAGTTTTCTTTTTCTTGAGTTTTTTTTTTTTTTTTTTGAGACGGAGTTTTGCTCTGTCATCCAGGCTGGAGTACAGTGGTGTGATCTCGGCTCACTGCACCCTCTGCCTCCCAGGTTCAAGCAGTTCTCATGCCTCAGGCTCCCGAGTAGCTAGGACTGCAGGTGCACACACCACTCACGGTTAATTTTTGTATTTTTTTAGTAGAGACAGGGTTTCGCCGTGTTGGCTAGGCTGGTCCCAAACACCTGACTTGAGTTCTTATCTCTAAAAATGCCCTCTGAAGCAATCTCCTCATGCTATTTGGACAGGAGTTCCATGCATCTTCTAGCCCCAACTTACACCACTTCTCAACACACAAAAGGCTCTGGCCAAACAAAATTATTTACTTCTTCCTTAAATACACATCCAATTTCACACCTCTACCTTTTCCAACCTCACAGACAAATTAATGGCTGTTTTTAAAAGCACCACACGAACTTAAGTGGCCTCTACCTGAGGAGTTTGATAATTAATTTGAAAAGAAACCTGGGTATACCCACAAATCCTTTATAGTTGCCTTCATCCAGAACCCACTGGGTGTATTCCCTGCAGATTTAACCATATATCATGGAAGGATATAGGTATATATAAATCATTGTCTCTGCCTTCAAGAAGTTTACAGCCTTGCATGAAAAACTTAATCACAGTGCAAAGTACGGTAATGCACAAATAAAAAATTTGCAAACTAGAGCTTATAGTAAACAAAACAGCTTGGTACTAGCATAAAAACAGACATATAGACCAATGGAACAGAATAGAGAACCCAAAAACAAATCCACACACCTATTGTGAACTTATTTTCCACAAAGGTGCCAAGAACATACATTGGGAGAAAGACAGACCCTTCAATAAATGGTGCTGGGAAAACTGGTTATGCAGAAGGGTGAAGCTAGACCCCCATCTCTCACCATATACAAAAATCAAACCAAAATCAATTACTGACTTGAATCTAAGGTCTCAACCCACAGTTACCTCTTCCCTATTCCAGTGTGGAACAGGGAAGAATGCAATTATGGTAGCAACTGACATTTATTGTGTGGTTACTATGGGCCTGGCACTTTGCTCAGTGATTACATGTGCTGTCTCATGTAAATTGTTTAGTCCTTACAACAACCCCATTTTTCAGATGAGGAAACTGAGATACCAAGAGGTGAAATACTTGTCTAAGATCACCTAGTTAGCAAGGGGTGTGGCAGGATTTGAACCACAGTCAACTGGCTCCAGGACCTGTGTTCTCTCTCACTGCTCTAGTGTGAATGGGAAGTACAGGCATGTCTGTGGAATGAAAAGCCCATAGAGCGAAGCAAGGTGAAAGATTTTTCCAGAGCCAGCTTTGCTGCTGCCGCCTCTGTTCCTGTTGCTTTGTCCACTCCCCTTCCTGGTGCCTGGTTTTGAGCACAGGACATCTCAAGCCTTGTGAGAAGCGAACACCAAACTTTAACTGGTTGTTTTGAGAAGCAAACCAACACAACTAAATTGTTCACCCTGACTCCGATGTTATGCTTTGGATATAACAGTTCTTTGATTACACTACAGCCATCCAAAGTCAGACCGTGTCGGAAGCTAATGCCAGTTGTCATGAAAATAGCTCTAATAGAATTTTCTTTCTGCAGAAATGACTGGGAACCCCCAGATAAGAAAGTAGACACAAGAAAATATCGTGCAGAGCCCAAGAGCATTTACGAATATCAGCCTGGCAAGTCTTCCGTTCTGACCAACGAAAAGATGGTAATGTGCATATTAAAGTTATTTTGTCTCACCGTGCCCATGTTCTTTAATCAGAATGCATTGTGCAGTTGGATTACATTCTTTCCCCTTGAGATAGACTTAACTTTGTTTTGAAGATAATGACAAAAATGAAGTACTTTTACCCTTTTCATTTTTGCAGGTGTTCATAAAATAAGTCCCGCGAGTCTGCTTTTAAAAAACCCTCTTATTGTGGCTCTGTTGCTTTTTTTGTGCATGGTTTTAACTAATATTAATTTTTCTACTAACATAAAGATTGATTTTGCTGCTGTCTTTTTTTGAATGTCTAAGTGTTCATTTATCAGGCTTGTCATTAAGTGGACTGAAGTCCAGTTTTTTTTAAGTGACTCTGAACAGGCATAAATTTTGTACAAGTTACTAGAATGTCATTAAAAGCTACATAACTAATAGGATGTTGTGACTTGGAAAAAAGGCCCAGGCTGTTAGAATATATCCTTTAGGTCTTCCTTTTTTGACAAGTGCAATATTGAGGACAAATTTCATATTCGACCTGGTTTATGATTCCCTATACAAGTTTACATCTCTAAGCAATTATGAGTGGGGAAAATGGTTTGTATGCATATAGCAGACCACCCTGGAAAAGCGGCCTCTTCTGTGAAACAGGAAGAATTCTTACACATTGATTAGTTTCATACCTGCCAATCATGCATCCTTTTATTAACCCTTCATTGGGAAAAGCTGTTTTGGAATTGTGATCCTGGTTAAGGGGTTCTCCAAAGCTCCATAAACATTGCAGTCCTCCAGCAGGACAGCAGGATGGAATTATTATGCTGGAGTTTGGTTTTTATTAAAATACGGTCACCACAATGTCTACAGAATAAGCAGGCCTCTGAAATGCAGGCTCAAATTATGTTCCCTCCGCCTCATCGGCTCTACATGTTTTGAAAGAAGAATCGATTTGACTTCTACTGAGATAAAAATGTGACATCTCTAAAAGCACTGAAGGATAAGTCATTTTAATTAGGAAAAAAGGTCAACAGGTCACAGAAATACTTAGAGTTGTCATTCTTCAGCGTTCACTATGCACCAGTTATTTCAAGCAGAAAGTTCAGAGAGGAGCACAGAATTTCGCCTTCTCCCCACTACTGCCCTTCTTTGGAGGTTCTCTGCTGTTAGAAGATACTGTACGTAAGAAACATAGAAGGTAACCTTGCACCCAGGTGCTCCTGCAAAGAAAGTCGTGCTCCTTGGGTTTATTTCCAACACTGGGACCCACCATTACATATTAATACATTTAAATGATTTCAGGGACTCTGTAGACCTTTGAGTGTTTTTGTTTTGGCAGTATTACCATTCATAGATTTTCATGGCTCTTACCGAAGGCTCCCTTTTCTTAATTTCTCCTTTGTTTCCAGCTCCTTTCCCTGGTTCTTAGTCATTTAACCACTACTCAGAACTAGGAAAAACAACATAGTTTAGTTTTTCTCATTGATACCGCAATAGTTTACCAGGATCTTCCATACCACAGTTCTTGGGATCATTTACGTTGTTTTTACAAACCCTGAAAAGTAACACATAGTGCCCCACGGGGCCTTCTTGGAGAATGGTGGTGAGCACGTACATGGATTGCAAAGCTCCTCTGTGTAGTACCAAGCCCTAAGCCAAGCCACTAATGGGGCATGAACACCAAAGGCAGGCCAAGGAGGAGTAGGAATGTCCAATAGTTTCACCCAGTTTAGCTCTGTTCCTCCAAAGAGAAGTTTTAGTTGAATCTTAATCTTTTGACAGTCTGCCCTTCACAGTAGTTGAATTCATCCTTTATGTTTGATTTTGTTTCCTGCTGTTTTTATCACATGGACAGAAAAGGTGAAGTGTGAGT
Organism: Homo sapiens; assembly: GCF_000001405.40. NCBI lineage: Eukaryota > Metazoa > Chordata > Mammalia > Primates > Hominidae > Homo > Homo sapiens. The sequence continues at coordinate 95,379,826 of NC_000010.11, read as the reverse complement.
TTCAGCATGTGAGTCTTGGCTTTTGGTATCTAGTATCTGGTTTGCCAGAATTTGAGCATACACCCCCATCGCCCCAAAACACACACTTCCGTTGTTAACTGTGGGTAAGTATACTAACTAGTGACAGATGTAGAATGTAAGTCTGCTCTCAGATATGCACTACCTCATTTTAGGAGAAAAAATGCTTTTTCCATTTGAGGTACTTACGTCTGCTTAACTCTGGCAATTTAAATTGTGACTTCATAGGCACATCTATGCATGGTTAGCAGGAGAGGTTGCCCTAGAGCTCACCTTGCCCTGGAGCATACTCTAAATCATTCCAGAAAGATGAAAGAAACACTGTACTGCCTTCAAAACCCCCTACAGAAGACTTACAAACTTGATGACCTAGTCATCTATTTGAAAGACTCATATGAAGGTCTTTTTTTTTTTTTTTTTTTTTTTGTTGAGATAGGGTCTCACTCTATCACCCAGGCTGGAGTACAGTGGTGTGATGATGGCTCACTGAAGCCTTGACCTCCCAGGCTCAGGCAGTCCTCTCACCTCAGCCTCCCAAGTAGCTGGGGCTACAGGCACGCACCACCATGCCCGGCTAATTTTTGTATTTTTAGTAGAGATGGGGTTTCACCATGTTGGCCAGGCTGGTCTTGAACTCCTGGCCTCAAATGATCCACCCACCTCTGCCTCCCAAAGTGTGGGATTACAGCCATGAGCCCGTGCCTGGCCCAGCTAATTTTTTATTTTTTGTAGAGATGGGGTTTCACCATGTTGCCCAGGCTGGTCTCAAACTCCTTGGCTCAAGCAATCTGCCCCTCTTGGCCTCCCAAACTGCTGGGACTACAGGCTTGAGCGACCAAACCTGGCACGTATGTGGGTCTTTATCTCTACTTGGTCCCCTCTTATCATAGTAGGATACTTTTTTCTCTTCTAGCCTTGGAATTGGAGATCTATTGGTCAGTCCTTGCTTTGTCAGAAATGGCCTTTTTCAGGACTCATTCTTTTATACCTTCCTCTAAGTCTCTTACAGAAGTTCAGTTCAGTTAAATATATACATACATACATACACACACACACACACACACACACACATATATGTAGTAGGACGGACAGATATTAAAAGAGGGATTACAGACACAGTGTACATTTTAGAAGTGTAAAACAAGGGGATTTCCCCAGCTTGGTTTCTTCCCAGTTCATCCTCACTTTGTGTTCCTTTCCTGGCTTTTCAGCATGGTCATTTAGCCCTGCTTTAGCTTGGTGTCATCGCAAACTTAGTGGGCCTGCCCCCCTGTCATGTGGAATATGAAAAGGGGAATATGGTATAGTGTAAAGAACACTGGACTAGGAATTGGAAGATGGGGTGGGTCAAATGTGATAATATGGGTACAATAACTGAATATTATGAAGTGCTACACAGACATACCACATTCAGGCGACTTACTTAATTGGAATTTGAAGCTGGTCTCTGGCTTCCATTCAAGAAGCAAAACTGTCTTTGAGGAGAAGTTGGCATTTTTCTGGTGAGTTACCTGCCCTTTTCCAAGGATTTTTTTTGAGCTGGGAGAATAGCCTGTGGTACTAAAGAACTTTGCCAGGCATTATGGAATTTTTCCCTGTCTGCCAGGCCAGAGTTCCTGCTCTGTGTCCAGAAGGATGTTTTTCTATTGGTCTGTTCCATAACAGGATCCACAGCTGAGTTATACTTGGCAAAATCAAATGCAGATGTGAGGGCTGTGTGGTATCACCTTTTTAGCTTTATCTCTGGGCAGCTCAAAGGACTGAGGCTGGTTGCTCTCACCCATCGCTGTTTGACATAACCTCCTGATTCTATTATTGTCACAGCATTAACCTCCACAGTAAAACGATCTGCAGACAACCTTTGGGAATAAAATAAGTTAATTACTTCAGGATCATGAGTACCAAAACTTTCAGGCAGTTCCCCGAAAGAGCTGGTACATTTTATTTAAGAAAAAAAAAAAAAAAGCCTAACCATTCCCAGAGGGCAGTTTATAAATAGTCTTTGTAAAAATAACAAACATGAAATAGATTCATGAAACCCCATCATATTAGGATCTAGAAACTCCCAATGTCTAAATTGCCACTACTGAGTAGTTGTGTTTTTGTAGGTATTGTACCTCCTTTCACTGAATTGAATAAATATAGAATCCATTTACTACAGGGAGGGCAAGGCTTCTCCTTCAGGATTTAAACCGTAAGTCCCTAAAGACATTTGGAGGAAGTCTTATCTGGATGCAGGAGGACAGACCTTGTGTTTCAGTATGATTTTCCCTCCGATTTCAACCTAGCTTGGTTTCAGTTAAAAGAAGGTTCCCTGCCATATTTCCATAGTCCTCTACCTGTAGCAAAAGTGAAAGTAATGCTAAAGATTCTTTTAAAGATCTTAGAAAAAGGGATGGTAAAGGTCACTAAGAAAGTTAGCAGCCATTTTTCTACAAGCTGCAAAGGGGATGTTAACTGTGTTGTAAGTAAAGTACAAGAAGAGCTGCTTTGTGAAGCACTAGCATTAAAGACCTGCACACCACACATGGCAACCCCCTCCCTCAGGTGTTATAGCCCAGAAGTAGTGAAGTTTGTTGTGCAGTGTTTTCAATCTCAGTAGAAAGTGTATGCATTTTATATTTCAGGTTATTGTAGAAAATCACCCCAACTCTCTTTTTGCGATTATCAATGTTTTTTGAAACATATATACATACTTAATTAGTCATGAACCTCAAACACTTTTCCCTGATGTAAACATTTCTCCAATTTATGAAGGGGAAAACATGATTTGCTTTGCACACATTCATTTTCCAACTAGTTATTTCCAGAAACACGTGTTATTCCATGAAATAAGGTGCCAGAACTTTATACTTATTTGGTTAAATATTATATCCCATGAAATCAAATTATCAGTCTATTGATACCTCATAGTGTTATATAAAGTGAGAAATCTAACTTATTTTTGTCATATAACCCAGAAGTTTTTTTCCCCTTTGTTCTGTTATCTGTCTTGTCTAGCTTTTCTTTCACTTTATTTTTTCCCAATTCTTTAACATTTATTTGTTAAAACACGAAGTATATTCTGTCTGTATTCATCCGCCATGGATACTTGTTTAAAATGTTTTTTCACTGTGTCCTCTGTCTTTACTTATATCATTTTTCACTTTCACTTTACTGTGTACGGGACATGGTTTCCTACCTACTCATGTGCCATTAAAGATGCAGTATTAACCAATTGGCTTTTATAAAGTGTCAATATTTGTGTTTATTTCGAAAACCTTAAGGCAGCTTTGCAAATAAGTACTAAAGTTGTACTAGCCCATAAAAATCAGCTCTACTCAACTGGCATAGATGGCTAAATGTTTGGTGTGCTCACCAGGTCATTTGCTCATAACTAATAGTTCTTTGTAAAGGGCTTTCTTTTCTTCCACATTACTGAAAATTATTGCAGAATGCTGTTATGCCCAGATTCAGACTTGTTGTGTAGGCAGCAGTGTGGTGCAGAGTTGTCCATCTATAGTCCATTTTCCTCTGCCTTAGGGCTGAGAATGATTCACTTACTGTTCCCTGCCTCAATTTCCCTGTTTTTATAAACCCATCCTCTCCCTCCTGTTTTTGCTGTTGTCAGTAAAAACAGATGATTGCTGCTGTTGAATGCAGCTCCTGTATATACCTGGAAACCACTGCATCTCTACTGGCCTGTTCCTATGTAATCTTTGCATAATGTTATCCTTCTCTTTCTTCCATTTCTCTATCACCAACCCCTATAGAGTCGGGATATAAGCCCAGAAGAGATAGATTTAAAGAATGAACCTTGGTATAAATTCTTTTCGGAATTGGAGTTTGGGAAACCGGTAAGTTTAATAGCTTCAGTGGTTATACACCTTTTAAACTAATGCTGTGGATGCGTTGTTGCTGCTAAAGAATCAGATGTTTGTAAGGAATTCAGAAAGTGGGGAGCAGTCATGTTGGTTGTCCGTAGTGGGATTGTCTCTTCTCACTACAACCTCTGAGCTTTCTTTTGCCTTACTTCACTGAGAAAGGATAGTGAGCTCTGGAAGTATATCTTGCTGGAATATCCCAGAGAAACACAAATAATCATTGCTTGTCTTAGACCTCCCCCCACTAACAACAAGTACCACATGCCTTGCGGATGGCATTATTTCAGCCATTGTTTTCACTTCCTTGACCAAAGTCTTTATGGTCTGTGAAAGACAAGCTGAAAATGTGTTACACACTGAGAAGACCAGCATTGTCTCTGCTTTAAATAGCATTTTTAAAAGCACATATGTAAATGAAGTCCCAGAGCAGGCCAACAAGGACCTCTTTGTGCAGATGTGACCCACAAATGCAACCCCATTATAGGTGACTTTTAGGGAATGATTTCTATGATGTAGGATATTTCCCAAAGTTTGAAATGGGAGTAAGGAATTCTAGCATCTTTAGTATTCAGCCTACAGTTGCCCCATGATATCTCTGAATTGGCTTTGGTACAAATTGACTTTTGGCACTTAAAGGAGGATTTTCTTAGCCTTGCACCCAAAGGAATATAAAATAGAAGGGAGAATTGAGCTCATCCTTCCTCTAGAGATAACGAAACTGACTTTAAAACTCTAGTTATTTTAAAGTCTTAATTATTACAGCTGCAAAAAGAATTTACAGGTAGAGGAGTTAAGTGTATAAACACATTTTATTCAATGATTGTATGAGACTTTATGCATTGGATCCAGCTTTTGAGTTTCTGTGGTCTGGGATGATAGTTTTATTTGCAGACAGGAATGTATTTTATAGTTGAGTAAATAAAATGTTTTAAAATTTTTTATTAAAACAAAGACAAAGAGAAATTAAGTTGGTGCTTAGGAATTGCTCTTTGATTTGGCAGTGCTGAGCTTTGAAAGTTCAGGCATCTTCTGAGTTAAGAGCACCAGACTTGCAAACAGCCTGCTTGTTCCTCTCTTCTGGTCCCTCCTAGACACTGTCTCCCGATAGCAGCTGAGCTGTCCTGGATGAACAGCGCCACCTAGTGACCAGTGGAGAGGGACGCATCTGACCCAAAGTCTGCACCCTCCTTCTCCCCTCCCCAAAGCATTGGTGCACACCTCATTTCTTCTCCTTTCTCTCCTTTCTTTTTTTCGCCTCTGCTGTTCACCATTCAGACATCAGTTAAATCTACCTCAGGCAATCTTTTCCACGTGCAGTATTTAACAGTATCCTAACCCTTTCTCTTTTCTCCTTTTCTTAAAACCTGGTCAATTATGTCACCGAAAAAAGCTTTTGCTGTGTGTAGTTGTCTCCCCACCCCCAAAACAGACCATGATTGGTATATGAAACAATAATGCCATACTTTAGTCAAGGAAAGCAAAAGCTATTAAGTTATGTTTAATAGAGTCCATGCCGTTGATTTTTCAAGTCTGTTTCAGAATCCACACATTTCTGCCCATCTCATCTGCCAAACAACTAAATTAGTTTTATCTAAAATATTAGCTTTCAGGAAAAATGGTGGAATTTTTTCCCTAATTAGTTGTGATTGTTTTACTAAATCTATCATTACAAATAATTTTTGAGGATAATATATAGTATTTTAATACCAGCATACATTTAAATAGTCTCCATGCATAGCTTGATAAATTAACAGTATTGCTGCCAAAAACTTCACTCCAGGTACCACACAGCTAACTTCAAACAAATGTTGAGAACACAGTCCAGTTGTATACTGGGGCTTTCCTCTAGCTTGTCTCCCCACCCCATTGCTCTAACAACCTCTTAATTATTTAAAGACTCAGAGATGCTTTTTCAAAGTAGCATTTTCTCTGAAGCCACATGCATTCTTTGCACAGGCCTCAGAGTTCTTCTAATGAGACTGCTTCTTTTTGTGTAGGTCTTACTTTAAAAGATAATACTTGTGAAGACTTGCCAAATTAACTAAATCAATGCCCATATCCTGAGGAACAGTCCTGAAATGAACAGCTCCTTATGGTCTGAGGCATCCTAATGGTGGGCTTATTACCTAGTTGAACTAACAGGGTTTGGGAGGAAGGTGTGGTAAGGATAAATTTTTTCTTCACTTCCTACTGCAACCACTCTGCCACAAAAGAGTAAGAGACATAAATAAAAGTGGCATAAACCATGGAAGCTGTTTTGGAAAGCTTTTCAGCCATTCAGAAGCAGAATCAAAATCCTACCAGATCATGGGAATCAGCATTTCTACTTTTTTTTTTTCTCACACCAACTGGGGACCACTTTCCCCAGTAAAGCCTGCCAGAACTTTGACACTAGACATTTACCCTGAACTCCTTGCTTCCTCCACCCCTTCGCTTTAGCCACCCAAAATGAACTGAAATTTCAGCAAGATCCTGACTAAAAAGATACCTTTTTAGCTCCAACAAGTTGTTAGAATAGCAAATAGTTCAAGACTCCAGGGACCATTTTTGGACAGATTATTTAAAACCAGTTTAATTTGTAAACACTGCCCTGTTTATTGCAGTAAAGAAATGATCGTAAGTCATTAGGCTTTAAAAAGTCTACTTCTGCAGATGAACAGTCCAAGTGTATTAAGTGCTTAAAGATGAATGGTAATTGGTAATATCACTTACTTTATGAAATGCGGAATATACATGTGCAGAGATGACATTACTGACCTGTTGCTGTCAGTGGTGAACACACCTTGGAATCAGATTACTTCTCATTTGCAGATTTATTACAAAGAGCCTGGGAATCAGTTTTTTTTCTGAGTTGTTTTCCTCTAATTTCTATAGAAATTGACATGATTTCTATATGTAAGAGCAAGTCAAAATTTCACAATGTAAACCAATTTGAATGCTTCCATGGAGTTGGCTATAATGAAATTTGCACAAAATTTTAGGAGCTATTAATGATCTCCTATTTCTTATCACCCTAGGGGTCATTATGTAAGAAAATTCAAGTCTAAATAGACAGAACAAGTAGAAGAGAGGATCCAGAGTTAGAAGTCACCTGTAACCTCTGAATGTTCCACCCGCTGGACTCTTCCCTCATTAAACTTACAACAATCTTTTGGCAAATTTCTGTCTTAGGAATGCAGCTGTAAATCTGACTTGAAGAGTTAAAAGACAAAACAAAAATAACCTTACAGTCCCCTCTTTAAATTCTGGGTTTAAACTCTGTTCTCTAAGGGGGATGAAAAGTATGTTTCTACCACTATCAAGGTCTAGTTAAACTGTAAAAGGAGGTTTTAAAACTACTGGTATGAAATTGTCTAGTGTACTATTTAACACCCATTTTATATATGAATTTCTTTGCTACAAACCACAGAAAGTAAATTTGGTTCAGTCTGTTGACCAAACCTCTAGATTCACACATGTGTTAATACACAATGAATTTTACAGCAGAAGACTGCCTCAAAAATGTGGAATCTTCAGTGTCAATCTTAGTTTGAAGAGAACAATGAGGAATTTAAAAGTTTCTGTTTTTGTTCAAATTTGTTAATGCTTTTTTTTTCTTTTTTCCCCCCCGTCTTTTCTTAAGTTTTCAATATTTAGAATCCAACGATGATTTGCTCTTGAAACATAGACATAGAAACAGACTTCCTAGGTAACAGTCCCAGCTCCCAAATCCTCAGGCTTCCGCTCCAGCAGGCAGCCTTGTGTCCGTAGGCAGCACCCACTCCCCTTGCTTTTGAGTTCACCTTTCTGTGTTGATACAGTTCTCCCAGTGTACCCCTCCTTGTTTGAGCCAGTCTCCATGTTTGTCTTTATGTCTTTATGCTCATTTCTTCATTTCCTCCTCTGCTTCCCGTCAGCCTCCCAAAAAGATATGGGATTATACTCCTGGAGACTGCTCTATCCTTCCTAGAGAGGATAGAAAGGTAATTCCGCTGTGCCTCCTCCGTTGGACTGTGTGTGCTCTCTAGCCTTGGTTAGTGTGAGTGTGTTGTGGGTTTGTTTGTTTGTTTGTTTGTTTTCTTAAATCACTTTTGAAAAAACTTGATGCTTTTTTTTTTTTGGTTAGGTAATAAAACTATGTAACAAATTCTCTAAGACATATACTAATGTTTAGAGGTTTTTAAAGCAATTACGTATTCTTCTGACATATAGTATTTGTCACTGTCACCACACTCTGAAAAAAGAGAAAATAGGCATTTCCTTAAAGGTAGGTTTTTGTAGTTCTCCGTAGCAAGTAGAATAGCTTTTTGAAGCTCTGATGACTTCAGGATTTCTGCTTTATATGCCTAATGTTACATTCTCTGTTTTCATGTCTTCAACTAATTTCCAGTGAGCTCTTGTGTTTTAATCATGCTATCTTGGCCGTATGAAAGTATAACACTAAGAAAAAAATTCATTTTTTTCAAACGTAACCTTCCATTCTTTCTCCCTTTCCTCTAAACTAAAACCTTCTTTCCCATCTTTTCTTTCTTGAACCAGACTAATCTAGACAAAGATCTCAGCCTCTGCCAGACAGAGTTAGAGGCAGATTTAGAAAAAATGGAGACGCTTAATAAAGCACCCAGTGCAAACGTGCCACAGGTATTTCCTAGTTTTTCTCATGCCATCAGTTCCTTTTCAAGCTGTGCTTTGTTTTCTTCTTTGTTCTATGGTTTTTGATGTAGTTGAGGTGACGGATGGTGATGCTGGCTATTTTAGGCTGCATGGCTTTCTGACTACTGTTTTAGACTCCTTCCCCCACACCTACCCAGTTCATTTTTGCTTGGTTTTCTTTTGAGCTTGGCATCTTCCTTAAAGGGGATTCTTCAAATATATGCAGAGAGGCTGCTGATTGAAACTACTCTCCCACCTTATTCTCTTCCTCTGCTTTCCAGGGGCGACCTTTTAAGTTCCCTTCCTTTGCCTCTGTCTGCCTTCTCTGAATTTTCAGGGAGCCATTTTTGGCAGTTTCCATGTCTTTTTTGCAGCCCTGGGAGATACCAACCTCAAAGATCAGTTTCAAAAACTCAGCAGCAGTGCTTTGGGTACCCTTTCTGTGCATGGTGCTCTCAGAGTAGTAGTGTTTGTCATTTTAAAGTTCAGAAAGTTCTCAATGAAAAATGCACTCAGAGGTCAGATGGCCTGGACACACAAAAAAAGTGTTTGAAACTGAGTCTGCCATGATATTTTAAAGGGAGCTATGTCAAAATGTGGTTTATTAAAGGGTATACGAGAGAGAGTAAGAGAGAGAGAGAAAGACATCATGGTAAGTAGGTTTCCAAGGAGGAAAAAACCAAATGTTCATAGAACTGCCTGGAGGGCTCCCTGACAAAACAAAAGAGACTCTTAAAAGGAAAAGGTATCTTTAGAGAAGGTACAAAAGGAGGCCGGGCGCGGTGGCTCACGCCTGTAATCCCAGCAATTTGGGAGGCCGAGGCAAGTGGATCACTTGAGGTCAGGAGTTCAAGACCAGCGTGGCCAACATGATGAAACCCAGTCTCTACTAAAAATACAAAAATTAGCCAGGCATGGTGGCAGGCCTCTGTATTCCCAGCTATTTGGGAGGCTGAGGCAGGAGAATCGCTTGAATTCGGGAGGCAGAGCTGAGATCACACCTCTGCACTCCAGCCTGGGTGACAGAGCGAGACTCCGTCTCAGGAAAAAAAAAAAAAAAAGATACAAAAGGAATATGGAGCTGAGGAGGCCAGGAAGGTCCACAAACCATGACAGGAAAAGTGGAAACTGCTGATGGACCCATGCCACACTTAAGCAGAACCAAGACAGATCTCCAGCCCCAGTGACTTGGGCACAAAAGTCATGAGAGCAGCAGAGACTCAAACCAGGGAAGGGGTGAAGAGACCGGGGATTTGGTCTGGGGTAAGAGAGTCAGGAGCCAAGGAGCTGCAGGTTGCTTGAGGGTGTTAGGAATTGGGGATCCAGAGACAGCAGAGCATGAGGAAGCCAGCAGGGCCAGGGGTTAGGCTCAAGCTCTCCCTCAGCACTTGAAGGAGCCACCAGAGGCACTGCACACATGGGTGAGGCAGACAGGTGATGGGTGGGGCAGGTGGGGTGGGGTTAGGGGCTGAGTTTCCAATTAGGGTGAAGGAACCAGATTAGCCACTGTGGAATTGAAGGTCCCAGGTGAGAAGAGATCACAACTAGCCCTGGAGTGAGAATGGTGACTGTGGCTGTGGTGAGAGCCCTTGCTGGGTGTGCCAGCATGCAGTGAGGAGGGCAGATGCAAGCCAGGTCACTGAGGATGTTGCAGTGGGATAGTTTAATTAACTGGTGTAAAGAGCAAAGAATTGGGGGATGGGATTAAGACAAAGACAACCTTAAGGTTTTGGCCAGGCAGATGGAAGAATGAGGATGTGAGCACGTCACAGAGGACAGCTGGGAAGAAGATCAGGGCAGAGGCAAGGTGAGGGAGTTGGCTTTAGGTAATTGACCTTTGAGGTGTTGGTTGGGTGTCATATAGGTAATATCCGGTAGGCAGTTGGAACTCTAAAACTAGAGTTCTTGGAAGAGGCATGGGCTTAAGATGGGGATTGGAGTCACCTGAGGAGAGGCGATGGTTGAAGCCCTGGGGATAGAAGAAGATACCCAACTAGGGAGTAGATGAAAGACTGAAGAGGGGATTGTGTTGAGAGAAAGGATGTGAAACCAAGAACTACCCATGGGGACGTTGGGTGATGTGGAACAGGAGAAGGGGAGAGGGAGAGAAAGGAGAGTTCACAGAGGCGGAGGGAAAAGCGAATGATGGAGCAAGAGGAGAAAGCATGAGATCTTCCCAGATGTCCAGAAAGGTGGACTCCCAGGAAGGTCAGTGGATGTGATGACTAAGATGTTTCCAAAGGCTTTGGAGGTTGCTGGGTGAGTAGTTCTTGGGAGTTAGAGTATATGGCAAAGAATCTGGAGCCTGCAGAGGTACAGCACTGAGTGAAAAGATGTGGCCGTGGGAGGAAGGAAGGGAGGGGAGTGTTCCCAGAGGACTCTACAGGGTCAAAGTTTTTTCAAGGTGGAAGACTGGACAGGACAGGTGTTCAGAGATAGGAGACTCAAGAAGGAGAGGATGGGCAGGCAAGACAGTGCAGCCAAAAGGGCTGGAGGATGGATGTGAAGGTAAGAGGGGTGTGCTCTCTGAGGAATAATTGGGGTGGCGTGGGGTACAGTCCTCATCCCAGAGCAGAGGTGCCCTCAGAAATGAAAGCATACAAGCCCAACAGGTTTCAGCAGGCAGGGGGCTAGTGGGTGAGTTTGCCTCTCCTTCCCTGTCATTTCCTTTTCTCTCTTTCACAATCTCTTCCTTTTCTTTCTGTCCTTTCCTTAAATGTCTCTTCTCCAAATAGCTAGTTTTTCTTAAAATGGTCATTATTAGAGATAAGGCCATTATTTAAGGTAGAAGTATCTTTAAAATTAACCTTTGCATTGATTTATTCAACTACTCCCTTATTTTTAAAAACAAGCATATCAAAGCATTTGCATTTTTCTCTCCAAGACAACAGAAACCCTAAACTACAGAATTATGTTGCTTTTTCTCTGCATGTAGCTCTTGGTTGTTTTCTTCCTTTTGCGTGGTGCCTGGTAATTTTATAAAGCATTCCCTTATTCATGCTGAAGTGATCATTAATGTAGTTGGTGAAATTGCATTTCTCCCCATTTCTGCACTCCTAAATTTGCAGGCATACACAAGTTATCTAAATACAGTGTGGTATTTTAAAGTATGCTTTTGTACATGCTGGACCTAAAGTGTTGGGTGACCCTCTCTCTGGATGTGGCATTTGGGGTGCATGAAGGGCTCTGCATTGGGCTCAGAGGGGGGTCTGAGGGCTGTGGAGAAGCTGGTGGAGGATGTGCTGTCCATGTCACTAAAGCATGTTGGCCCACGGTGGGCCATTGCCCAGTGACCTGTGACAGAAGATGAGTATGAGCCAGGAGGCCTTCTCCTGACCCACCCAGAGGGCCTTGGCTGCATCCACTGGAAGGCAAAAGACCAGGAGTAGGAGAGCCCACCTGCCCATACATTCTCCTTCCAGAGAAAGAGCACCACCCTCCACCAGCACCGAAGACCTTTTCCTTCCAGCCCCCCTGACTTCCAGAGGTCCTGGTCTAAACTAGGAAAAAGAAATTGACCTCTCTCTTTTTCCTCTTGGCTTGAAACATATGAGTCAAAATAAATCATCTACATTATTTTTTTCTTCTTTTTTTTCTTTTTTGGACATGTACAGAGCTCAGCCATCAGCCCTACTCCGGAAATTTCTTCAGAGACTCCTGGATAGTAAGTTGCCATTTTATTTTGTTTACATTGCTTACTATGTTAAATGTCAGAAATGGGAAGAGAGAAGTTTATATTTTGGACCCAGAGTGTGTTTTGTTTGTATCAGCCTAATGGCTCTGAATGATGTACAGTTTGGTGATAAAAAGTGATCTAATTATAGTCTTCAAATTATTTTTCTTCTGTTCTGTCCTCCTCTTCCAAATTAATTTTGTGATGATTTGTATTACCTTTTATAAAGTTTTCCCCATTTTAGCATCTTCACCTTTAGAATGGGAGTTTATTTGTCTAAGTTTAGAATCCAAGTTCTTGCCTGGCATGGTGGCTTATGCCTGTAATCTCAGCACTTTGGGAGGCTAAGGCAGGAGGATCACTTGAGCCCAGGAGTTCAAGACCAGCCTGGGCAACATAGACCCTGTCTCTACCCAAAAAAAAAAAAGGAAAAGCTGGGTATGGTGCTATGCATCTATAGTTCCAGCTACTTGGGAGGCTGAGGCAGGAGGATCTCTTGAGCCCAGGAGACTGAGGCTGCAGTGAGCTGAGATTGTACCACTGCACTCCAGTCTGAGTGAAAGAGCCAGACTGTGTCCCAAAAAAGAAAGAAAAAAAATCTCATTTGCTGGTTCTTATGGGGAGGGGAGTGTGACTGAGACAGGCCACATCTGGTGTAAAGATTGTGGGAGGGGGCTGGGTGCAGTGGCTTACACCTGTAATCCCAGCACTTTGGGAGGCTGAGGCAAGCAGATCACCTGAGGTAAGGAGTTTGAGACCAGCCTGGCCAACATGGTGAAATCCTGTCTTTACTAAAAATGCAAAAAATAGCTGGGCATGGTCCTAGCTACTTGGGAGGCTGAGGCAGGAGAATCACTTGAACCTGGGAGGCGGAAGGTGCAGTGAGCTGAGATCGCACCACTGCACCCCAGCTCGGGTGACAGAGTGAGACTCCATCTAAAAAAAAAAAAAAAATAGACGGGGGGAGGGAGGTGCCGAGAAGGGGCTAATTTACCTGATTCTCACATAGATGGGCATCTGTTTTCCTCTGTCAGTTCTTAGGACTCTGGATGATGCATGCATACCCCACTCCTTTGTGGGGTGCCACCAGCCTCTTCCCCTGCCAAACCATCCTGAATCCTATAGCAGATTGCCTTTCTCAGCACTTTGCTGTGAAGCTGTTATCCCAGCTGAAAATGTTCAGTGCTACCCTCACCTCCTGTTCTATATGTGATAAATAGCAAACATTTTAGCTTATATAGATAGGCCCTCGTGGAGCCTTCCTGTACCCAGGCTCACGTTAGTACCTCTGTGGTCCTTACTTCTGTTGCTGTATACCTGACATATACTCTTGTATTTTTATAATTGCTAGTGTATTATAAACTCCTCAAGGGCAAGGCCCCAGTCTTCACAGTGCCTGGGGCACCCAGTGAATTTAGGAAAGGAGCTTGTTCTGGTAGGAGCTTTTCTTATTTTGTCACCATCGCATCTGTGTCTTGTTCTTTGAAATATGACAATGAGGGGAAGACACACCTATTACCTATGCTAGTAGGGTTGGATAAATCCACAATGAGCAGAGTTGCTGAGTGTATAAGGTTTTTTTTTGACAGATATTGTGGTCTCTGGGACATATCCTACCTACATTGCTGGAGAATGTGCTTTACAGGAAGAGTTTCATTTGAAAGTCAGCAGGGATTTGGGTATTTTGGTGGAAAAATGGAAAAATTTAATCTATTTAGGGTAGTGATCAAAAGCTCTAGCTAGATCCATCATGTTAATTTTTCTTCTATAAATATGTGTGTTTCATGATTAATATACCCAGGAGCATAAGAAGAAATTAAGAAGACATATTAAGACAGCAGCTAGAGAAGGACTGCCTTAGGGGACAGTTCCCACCTTGGAGAAGGACTGGTGTAAAGTCTCTTGCATTCACTGTGGGGTTGGTGACTCAGTCGCCAATATGACAGGTGTCAGGGCTCAGGTGTAGCATCACAACCCGTGTCTCCTACTCTGGCTTTGCAGCTCACTCCCTTTTAAAGAGCTTCCAATTGAGCCGGGCCTTCAGCTCTAAAAATGACAATAAGTCACAGGTCCTCTAGGTCCTAGGATGTGCCTTCAGAGATGAAGCCCACCAGATGACCCTAGGCTACCTGCAGATAAAGGGTGTCCTCAAGGCCACAGCTCCGAGCAAGCTCTCCTTGGTCCCCCAGGCCACCTCTTTATTCTCAGCTTGTCACTTTGGCAGTCCTGACTGCCCGTGTTAACCCTGCTGCCTGCTCTCCTCGTTTACCTCCTCACCTCCATCCCCCTAAACTGCACAAGACGGAAAGGGCTTCATGGGACAGCTGGCAGAGTGAATTCCCTAGCTCTACTGGATCCAAGGCACTAAGCTCTGTATTCTAATAGGAATGTAGATATAGTCCCTTAATAGTTTTGGGACAAAACACACACACACACACACACACACACACACACACACACACACACATAAGGTTAGTAAATGAAAAGGCCAAGTGGCAAATGCTACCACAGGCAGTCAGGATAAAGGAGCACAGGTATCGAATAACATCATTTTAACAATTTATCAGGCATTTACTACGTGCCAGGTCCTGTGCTTGGTATTTTATCTACCTTACCTCATTTAATCCTCTGAACATTCCAAGATGAGGCATTATTTTTAATCCCCATTTTATAGATGAGGAAATAGGCACATCAAAGCAGTGTAATGCCATAGTTCCTCAGCAGGTTCAGGGCAGAGCCATATCCAGATTAGGAACGGTGAAGCTCTAGGCCAAGGGACTAGGGTTGGCAGTAAACTCTCATCTGCCCCATACTGATTCAAAATTTTGTAATAAGTTAGCAGAAGATATACTAAGGTTTAATGTTTTCAAGCTATTAAAAAACAATTTAGACCTGGCGTGGTGGCTCACGTCTGTAATCCCAACACTTTGGGAGGCCAAGGTTGGGGGATCACTTGAGGCCAGAGTTCAAGACCAGTCTGGGCAACATGGCAAAACTTCCTCTTTACAAAAAATACTTTAAAAATTAGCTGGGCTTGGTGGTGCACGTCTGTAGTCCCAGCTACTCAGCAGGCTGAGGTGGAGGATTGCTTCCCCGGGAAGCGGAGGTTGCAGTGAGCCAAGATCGCACCACTGTACTCCAGTCTGAGTGACAGAGCGAGACTCTGTCTCAAGAAAAACAAAAAGCAAACACCCCCCCCCACACACACACAATTTAAGCAACTATTTATGATATTGGGTTAGCAGGATTGGAGGGTACTAATGTAAGCTGACTAAAAGAGCAAATTGTTTTCAGACACTGTGAATGTGCGTGAAGATATTCAATCTGTTAATTTACCAAGAATTCTTATTTATATCACTGAAAATAGGTCTTCAAAGCCTCTGTTTTTCAGCTCTCATGAAATACTTGGCAGGAATAAATGAGTTTTTTCCTCCTGCTAGTCTACCATTTGGGGATTTTTCAGTAATCGGGCTTGGTTTTCCCCCAGTTTATCCAAATGAATAAGATTTTTTCATATCTGGAATTGGTGAGGAACCAGCCTAAATGGGGTGCCTGACACAAAGGAAAGCATACAGTAAATGTTTGCTCAATGAATGGATGGATCTGTAAATCTTAATCAACTGAAATCCAACTTGGTTAGCACTGAGGCAGGCAGCTTGTAAGTTGAACCTAGTGCCTTTCACTGGTTGGACAGGAATGATGTGTAGGCAGAAACATTGGCAGGACTTGACCTTAACCCAAAGAATGAAGGAGGAGGAGTCACAGGTGGCCCAGGTTCACAGTTTTGTGGCAACTGGAGAAGTGATGGTGTTGTTTTAAGTCCACTTTAATAAATTGGACAGACTTCAATTGATAATTTTATTAACTAACACTGATTACATATGATAATATTAAAAGAACTGGGAACAGAGAGGAATTCACCCATAGTCCCAATATCCAATACAACTACAAGTCCTTGCCTTCAATATATATATTTTTTATAATTAACATCACAGTGTGTGTCCAGTTTTGTACTTTATTTTCCTAGCATTTCAGATCTATAAATCAGTAGTGGTAACTACTCATTACTTTCATTTCAATGTATTTCAGCATTGATTAACCTTCTTTGCCTAACCAAAGAGCTTTACTCTATTTGACCAGCAGGTGGCACTCAAGAACAAGCTGTTCTTCCCTATATGGTGATGGTAGACTAGCAAACGCTTTTTCCCCTTAATCTGATTTGAGAACAAAACACAGATCATAACCTGAAGAACTATATGAAACAGTAGAGGTCCTCCGGGACTTTACAAATGTGTCAGAAATCTGTATGCATGTAGGCATTTAATTTTATAGAATCATTTATTCCATTAATATTTATTGAACAACCATGCAAGGCACCAGATATGCAAGGATTAAGAAGATAAACTTTCTGCCCTCAAGGGGTTCCAGGTGTAATAGGGGAGACAGATTTGTAAATAACCAGAGTCCAGTGGGGTAAATGCAATGATGGGGCCCAGGAGGGAGGAGTGAGCACCTATTGTTTTGTGGAGGAAGAAAGGTTAAGCTTTATGGAGGAGGTGCAAATAAAATGTGAATAACAATATCAGTATAGATATAATTTTTTTCATGCAGTACAAAAGGCTATAAAATGAAACTTCTAGAGGATTATCTAGACTCCTTCCTGCAAAGCCACAGTTAACAACAGTTAGGTTTTTTTTCTTCTTCTTCTTCTTGAAATAACTAAATTATTTTGAATGGTGAATGTAAGCTTTATGAGGCTGGAACTTTTTGTCCGTTCTGTTGCCTGTTGAATCTTCACCTAGGAGAGCGATTGACACTTAATAGATGCTCAGTAAATATTTGTTGACCGAATAAATGAGCAGTAGAATGACATGATGAGATCTTTTCTAGACAGAGATGACTGGAG
This sequence comes from Homo sapiens, assembly GCF_000001405.40. Classification (NCBI taxonomy): domain Eukaryota; kingdom Metazoa; phylum Chordata; class Mammalia; order Primates; family Hominidae; genus Homo; species Homo sapiens. Next base: position 95,362,734 of record NC_000010.11, on the reverse strand, counting down.
GGCATCAGGGCTGGAGACTGGGGGAGCAATGCGTGTTTGTTGTACAGTTGTAGGTGAGCAATGATAAGGCGGGAGGTGGAGAGTAAAGGGATTAATGTGAGCTGTGTCAAAGATAGGGAAGAAGCAGGACTTGGTGACTGATTAGGCTTAAGGAGCAAGGAGAGAGAGAGAAGGGGACCGATTTCCTGAGCTTTCTGGGTTGTGTGATGGAAGATGGTTTGGGACACGTTGAGTTTAAGATGCCTGAGAAACATTCAGGTGGATGTCTAGAAGGCGGTTGAATGTATGTGTCTGGAGCTCAAAAGAAGGGTCTGTGTACATAACAGATTTGCAGGTGGGTTTCTTGTACAATCTCCCCATGCCTATTAGTTTTGCAAGTGAAAGAAATTGAGGCCAAGAGAAACAGACTGTTCGCAAGTTTTTAAACAAGAGTGGGTTTGCCTCTACTGATCCACATTCCTTGTTGGAGTCAGGTGGGAATCCCAGTCTCCAGGACTCTGTCCACTGCCTCCGGAACCTGCCCGTTAGCACAATTGGAAACAGTTGGCCCTAGGATGATTGCTCTGTTCTCTCACTTTACTCTTCCAGTGAGTGTGTTTTTGTTGAATCCCCTTGAAACTCAGCAGCCAGCTCTGCATCTTAGCCAGAGGCTGAATTCTCTGTGCTAGCTCTTCTTGCTTGCTCTTCCTGAACCAAAATCTGGGTTAATCAAGGCTGCTCAGAGCTGAGCTTCTGAACTTAACTTGTTTTGTTAAGTACTCAGCTGCTATTCCTGATTGGACCTTTCTCAACCAGCTGAGGGGATAAGGCTGCTTCTCTCATCCTCTCTGGTACACTTGGACAGAGCAAGTACTCTGTGACCTTGGGCAAATGCCTTTGACATTCTGGTCTTCAGTTTCCCCTTTTGTACAGTGAAACAAATGGTCTCTCTTCAACATTAGAAGATCTGATGGATATGATACACTTAAAAACACTGTTGTGGCTGGGCATGGTGGCTCATGCCTGTAATCCCAGCACTTTGGGAGGCCAAGGCGGGAGGATCATGAGGTCAGGAGCTCAAGACCAGCCTGGCCAACATAATGAAACCCTGTCTCTACTAAAACTACAAAAAAAAAAAAAAAATTAGCCAGGCTTGGTGGCAGGCACCTGTAGTCCCAGCTACTTGGGAGGCTGAGGCAGGAGAATCACTTGAACGTGGGAGGCGGAGGTTGCAGTGAGCTGAGATCACTCCACTGCACTCCAGCCTGGGCGACACAGCATTGTTGTAGAGCTCTTGGGTATTGTTTTTAAACAAGGAGTGCCTCAGTTTCAAAATGTTACCCATCTGGAAAAAGCATGTTTTGTTAGCTTTGGTATCAGAAAAAAAACAATTGGCTTGGCAAATCCATTCTGAGAGATTTCCTGAGTGCTAGTTTATCATTCTGGTAGGAAGCAGGAAAAAACGGTGATAATGGGTGGAATAAGGCCAGAGAGTGAGGTGGCTGAGGGGTTGGGGTGGGGTGAGATCTGACTGTTGGTGAGGTAGAGCAGAGATGTGAGGTCAGGCAGCCAGTTATGGTCAAGAGTCATGACAGAACAAAGTTATTAGGAACTTAGGAAGATGGCTTAGAAGTTCTGGACAGGCTGGGCATGGTGATTCACTTCTGTAATCCCAGCACTTTGGGAGGTCAAGGTGGGTGGATCACCTGAGGATAGGAGTTTGAGATCAGCCTGACCAACATGATGAAACCCTGTCTCTACTAAAAGTACAAAAATTAGCCGGGTGTGGTGGCGCATGCCTGTAGTCCCAGCTACTAGGAAGGCTGAGGCAGGAGAATCACTTGAACCCGGGAGGCAGAGGTTGCAGTGAGCCAAGATGGCACCACTGCACTCCAGCCTGGGCGACAGAATGAGATTCTGTCTCAAAAAAAAAAAGTTCTGGCCAAAGCTGAGGCAATTCAAAGGATAGCAGGCACAGCAGAATGGAAGCTGCTGTCAGTCACTCTGTTAAAAGAAAAACTTTAGACAAATTAAATTTAGCAGATTTATTTAAGGCATAGAAGGATTTATGTTCAGGCAGCCCTTAGAACCAGGGGCAGTTCAGAGAGCTTCACCCAGCAACATGGGCAGGCAGCATTTATAAACAACAAAAGACAGCAAGTACAGCTACAGCTGGATTGGTTGCAGCTCCACAGTTGCCTATTTGGGCATTTATATAGATGTGGGCTGATCAGTTGGCAGCCTGGGATTGGCTGAAGCTTGGCTGCTGTGATTGGCTGAGACTCAGCTACTTGTTATAAGAGCATACTCTTAGATTGTACTTTGTTTACATAGTTAGGTTGCAGAAGAATAGGAACTCAAAGTATGGATGCAGCCTCAAGCCCAATTTAGTTTACTGATCTCCAATGCTTAAGGAGGTGTGGTAGCCCCAAACCAAGGTGGGAGGGGCTTCAGACACCATACCTTCAAAAGAGACCTCAGTCACCACAGCTGTTGGTCAGCAAAGATAAAGGACATCTATTCATGGATGTTTTTGCTGTTGAAGTTATACAAAAAAGAGGAAACATAGCATTAAACTGAAGGGCAAAATCAGAAAATGCAACCAAAGGGAAGAGGGTGGATAATGAATAGGAAATTTAGAAAAGGGACATATTTATTTTTAATTAGGAAATTCAAAATTATAAGCCAGTTTAGATCAACTCACATTTATTTAAATTGGCATATGGTGCCACAGCCTTGCAAGCTACCCTCAGGTTCTTCCATCTCCTCTAAGTAAAGAGGAAAAGCATTTGACCTCCACATCCAGGCCAGAGTGAATTAAGAGGGTCCTGGGGGAGCTCTGACCCCCACCCTCGGCAGTCCCCTGAAATAGGGTATATAAAGCCCTTAGCCCCAGGTGGGTACAAGGTGAGGCTCAGTAAGTGGCAGCTCTGCGAGGGGATTACCAGTGCCAGAAGCAATAGTATTGCTCAGGGGACTTTATTATTCTAAGGTGGAGATGTCGCGGTATTCTACCAGAGTCCCCACCTCTTTTCCATTTCTGACTCCTGTGTCTGGTGCCGCTTATCTTAGGGGTGTATTCATGGTGAGTAACACTCAGCAGTGATGGTGTATACGGAGCTGGAGCATCCCTGAGCTCCCTCTGGTTCCTGTGGTGTGCAAGCCACTGCCTCCTCAGTTGTAGGAAAATGTTGTATCTATTAATAAAACAGCAGCTGAAGGTTGGGCACAGTGGCTCATGCCTGTAATCCCAGCACTTTTAGAGGGCAACGTGGGAGGATTACTTGAGGCTAGGAGTTCAAGACCAGCCTGGGCAACATAGTAAGACCCTGTCCCAACAAAAAAATAAATTAATGAGCAGTAAAATAAAACAGGAGCTGAGAGAGAATACTATCCGTGTAGTGCTCAATGGCCTAGTTCAAGTTCCAGCCCTGCCATTCTGCTAACCTGCCTACTTTGACAAATTACTGAATCTCTCAGTGCCTTGTTTCCTCATCTAAAAAATGGCAGAAGTAGGAATGTTAGGATTGAAGTGATAATGATCAATAGGCACGGTGCCTGCCACATAGGACGCCTCACCAAGAGGTGTGTAGAGTTGTTTTTGCTGTCATTACCAGTGACCATGGGGACTCAGAGGCTGCAATTATGCACAGAAAGAAAGGCCAGTTTCCCGGAATGTAAAAGCATCACATTATTGATCGTTGCTGGTTGAGTAGAGGAAAATATAGCTGGACAGATGTGTGATCAAGCAGTCACAGTTTGTGGCCCCCGTAGAAGCTAGGTGGGGGGAATATGGGTGTTCACTCTGTAATTCTTTAAGCTGTTCTATATGTTAGTTGATGTTCACAATGAAACAGAGGGATGAAGGAATTCCACCTAGCAATGGGTCTTCAGAGCTGAAAAATCTATTTTGATACCAGTAACCTGAGTTGGGTAGGAATAAAAGAAGCTCAGCAGAAGCCTATGTGGTTCTGCGGGATAGGAGTCATTCACTTAACTGAGAAATATGTGTGTGTGTGTGTGTGTGTGTGTGCGCGCGCGCGCGCGCGCATGTCTGTGCATGTGCGTGTCTGTGTGTGTGTGTGTGAATGACAGTGTGTTAGTGGCAGGCATAGAAAAGTGGGATTAGGAGAAGGGAGGGACTCAGTGAGTAAGTACCCTTGATTTTTTTTTCTGTGCCTCACCTCATTCCAAAAGGAATTTGTGGTAACTTGCAGAAATACCTCGATGTTAACAAGATAAAAATAAATGGAGGCTATAAAGGAGCAATTGTTTATGCTTATACTACATGTCAGGTCATAATCTTCTGAACACAAACTTTGAAAGAAGTGAGTGCAAATGTGGCTGTGATACTAAGAGCCCATAGAATCCCAGGTTCCAATTTCACTTGGTCACTGATTTTTCTGGAGACCCAAGACAGTTGGGCTTCCCCCTTTCATTGATGATTTTATATTCCAAATGCTTACGAAGAATAACCAAGAAAAATAATCCAGGTAGTGGACTTGAAGTAGCTGACACTGCCTGGCTACGTGACAGAGGCACGTCTGACAGAGAGCTTGACTGCACCATCTTGCGTGCAGCCATTGGGTCCTCCTGCCCTCCCCTATGTGTGATCCTCCCCCTGTTCTCCCCTATCCTTCCTCCAACCCTTCTTCCCCAGGCAGCGTTCCACAGAATTTTTCTTTTAAAGCACAAATGTAGCCATTCCAATTAGAGAACTTTGCTGTTTGGTCAAGATTCCTGAGCATTCAGGGCTCCATGGGCCTGTCTGTAGAAATGTCTGTCTAAATAAGAGCACTCTTTAGAAAGGACAGTTCTTGATTAGGATACCAGGTGTATTTCTTGTCCTCAGCAGGTAATGTGCTGTTTGAAAAATGTTAAAAGCACTAACTCCTATTCTTATCTTTATTTTTTCCCTTTTCTCTCTTTCTTTCAAAATTACCTGTTCATAGTATATATTCTTCCAACTTCCATGCAGTGAAGAGGGAATCAGACGGGGCTCCTGGGGATCTCACTAGCTTGGAGAATGAGAGACAAATTTATAAAAGTGTCTTGGAAGGTGGTGACATCCCTCTTCAGGGCCTGAGTGGGCTCAAGCGACCATCCAGCTCTGCTTCCACTAAAGGTAATTAACTGGGTGAAGCCTGCAGGCCTCTGTCTCCCATCCACCTCCATTCACTGAGCGTCGGCCGTGGTGAACCTCCAGCAATGGGGATAAGTCCTGCCTTGTTCAGACCCACATTCAGGCCTCAGAGCCCTCTTAAATTCCCTCCCCTATTTTCTTACCGGCCATTTTTCTTTCTGGTTTTAATAGTTTCTGTTCCTTTGACCCCCCAACCTTGTTCTCCTTCAAGATTTCTCTCTCTCTCTCTCTCTCTTTCTCTCTTTCTCTCTCTCTCTCATTCTAATTACCTTTTCTTAGAAATTAGCTGAGCTTTAGCCATTCCTAACTCTAGCAGGGTAGCCATTTTTTTTTGTTGTTGCATCCTTGCACCTGCTTTGCAGCACAGATTATTTTGCTTCCGGACCTCGACTGGAAATTTTTTAAAAGCCCTTATGACAAATGAGCATGTTACCTCTCCTTTTTCTTTTTAGCAGCTTTCAGCTTTAACCTAATGGGTCTATTTATTTTATTCTGCATGCTTACCAGTGGATCGTAAAGGTGGGAATGCTCACATGATTTCTTCATCTTCAGTCCATAGCCGAACGTTTAACACTAGCAATGCGTTAGGCCCTGTGTGTAAGCACAAGAAGCCCCTGTCAGCTGCGAAGGCCTGCATTTCGGAAATCCTTCCATCCAAATTCAAACCCAGGCTCTCTGCTCCCAGCGCTCTTTTGCAGGAACAGAAGAGTATCCTCTTGCCCTCAGAGAAGGCTCAAAGCTGTGAGAACCTTTGTGTTTCTGGTTCTTTAAATGATTCCAAAAGAGGCCTCCCCCTCCAAGTGGGAGGGAGCATTGAGAACCTGCTCATGCGCTCCCGACGGGATTATGACAGCAAGTCGAGCAGTACCATGAGCCTCCAGGAGTACAGCACCAGCGGCAGGAGGCCCTGTCCTCTCTCAAGAAAGGCTGGGATGCAGTTCACCATGCTTTATCGGGACATGCACCAGATCAACCGATCTGGCCTCTTCCTGGGCTCCATCTCCTCCTCCTCGAGTGTGCGGGATCTTGCCTCCCACTTTGAAAAGAGTAGCCTGGCATTGTCCAGGGGTGAGCTGGGCCCCAGCCAGGAGGGCTCGGAACACATCCCCAAGCACACCGTCTCTTCCCGCATCACCGCTTTTGAGCAGCTGATTCAGCGGTCCCGTTCCATGCCATCCCTGGACCTGTCCGGAAGGCTGAGCAAGTCTCCCACACCTGTGCTGTCCCGGGGCAGCCTGACCTCAGCCCGCTCGGCCGAGTCCCTACTTGAGTCAACCAAGCTCCATCCCAAGGAGATGGATGGGATGAACTCCAGTGGGGTCTATGCTTCCCCAACATGTAGCAATATGGCACACCATGCCTTGAGCTTCAGGGGCCTTGTGCCTTCTGAGCCTCTCTCCACCTGCTCTGATGACGTGGACCGCTGTTCAAATATCTCCACTGACAGCAGAGAAGGCAGTGGCGGCAGTGTTCATGGAGATTTCCCCAAACATCGCCTCAACAAGTGCAAGGGCACCTGCCCGGCCTCATACACCCGCTTCACCACCATCCGGAAGCATGAGCAGCAGCAGACCTCTAGACAGCCTGAGTGGCGCCTGGATGCCAGAGGGGACAAGAGCACCCTCCTCAGGAACATCTACCTAATGAGCCCCCTTCCTTTCCGGCTGAAAAAGCCCCTCCACCACCACCCCAGACAACCTTCCCCTGGTGACTCCTCAGGCCTCCTGGTGGGCCAGAAGCCAGACCTCCCCAGTCAGCCCCATCAGGACCAGCCCCCTTCTGGGGGGAAGCCCGTGGTTCCCACACGCCTGTCTTCCCGACACACCATGGCCAGGCTTAGCCGCAGCTCAGAGCCCTCTCAGGAGAGACCCACGGCCCTGGAGGACTACCCAAGGGCCATTAATAATGGAAACTCCGTGCCATACTCAGACCACAGCCTGGACAGGAACAACAACCCACAAAGTGAACTGGCACCATCCCGTGGAGGTGGCATTTTGTGTGTTTGCCTAGTCTCACCTGCCCGTCCCTCCACTTTGCTTGCATTATCCCGTCCTCCTCTGTGCCCTTGGTGCTCATTTTCTGGTCTGTCCTTTGTTTTCTGTTTGTTTTGCTTGGCAATTAATCATGGCTCGTAGTGGCTGCACTTCTTTAAAAACAAAGCCCCCATGTCATTTAGACTAACCACCAAACTGTGTTTCGAAAGAAAAATTGGCCGTTTAGCTCAACTGAGAAATGTGTTCATTTGAACTCTTGAACCCCTTGCTGTTTGCACCAATCCCCAACATACCCCATGGTTTTTTGAGAGGCAGCCTCTCTCAATGGCCCTATATGTGTGTGAGTGTGTGCCTTGTCCCTATAAGGTCCTGCACGCCTCTTTGTAGGGACACTTTACAAAGAAAGTTCTCTCATTTTGCTCACCTTTTGCCTTTTGAGTAGTTTTCTTTGCATTAAACTAGTTCACAAATAAATCCAAAAAATGGGGTGGGGGGTGGAATTTTTTTTTCCTTCAGAATTCGACCATTGATCATTAATCAAGAATGACTTCAAAATTTTGATATTTATAATAGATGAAAGGTGAACTCTTTTCGCAAGCTGGTTTCCAGCGAAATCTTTGCCTGTTTTAACTCTACTTTGTTGTTTTAAAGATTCAGAATCGCCAAGACATTTTATACCAGCTGATTACTTGGAATCCACGGAAGAATTTATTCGAAGACGTCATGATGATAAAGAGGTAAATCCCATCTTTTAAATCCATTAGTTTTTGCTTGGAAAAATGTATGAAGCAAGTACAGATTCTTGACATCTATCAGAGAGGTGACATGATCTAGCAATTAGAGGCAAAAATTGAGGCTTTCACAAGTGATTTTTTCATATGACATAGGCTCAATCATGCCTCTTTTAGTGGACTTTTCCAAAAAGTAGGACTGATTTCCCCACAGGCACTAGCTTATAAATGCCAAGTCCAGCCAGCACTGCTGCATGGGAGATACAGAGATTGTCCACTGCTGCACTTAATGCCCTGTAAGCTAGAAACCAGAGTTTGCTCTTTCATCCCCGCTCAACCCCACCCTTGATAATCCCTAAAGAAATCCACCTGCATATTTCTCCAATACTGCCCACCCCTCTGTTGGCACAAAGCATTGTTCAAATTGAGAAGGGTGCAACAGGAGAAAGAGGAAAATGAAAAATAGTAATGACCTTGATACATTTTATAAAACAATTTGAGGAAGTTGCCTATAACTCTCTTGCTTTCAATTCAGAAGAAGGCAGATACACCAAGAAATGCTGGAAAACCCCAGCCAAGAACTTCAAAATGTGTATATTTTCTTGTAGCTACTGAAATGCCTGTCCTGCCATGGGGTGACTGTCAGGGCCTGAGAAAGAGCCCCTTTTCTTGGGGATTTGGGAAGAGGAAGTTCTTCATATCAGCCAAATGGGCAAAATCACAAGCTTCTGCTGGGATAAAGCATTGTGATGATACATGCTTTCTGGGCCTCACATCCCCAAGAAAAAGAGTCCTAGAGATTAAACAAGCTCCCAAGCCCATATTCCTGAAATGAATTAAGAGCTGGAAAAATCACCTTGACCTGGTAGCAGTGGGGGAGGGTGTGCGTGTGTGCACAACTCTGTCCTGGTCACGTTCAAGTCTGAAGCCCTTTTTCTCTGTTGTTCTGCTTTGTTGAGTAGTTCCAGAGTTTAGGTGGGGTTTCCCGAAGGATTTAGGATAAGGCTGACTTGGGGATGAGTAGGATGATGATAATTATTGCCACCAGATGGTGAAACAAAAGACAAAAATAAAACCACCGTGGCCAGGTGCAGTGGCTCAAGCCTGTAATCCCAGCACTTTGGGAGGCCAAGGCAGGTGGATCACTTACTTGGTCAGGAGTTTGAGACCATCCTGGCTAACACAGTGAAACCCCATCTCCACTAAAAAATACAAAAAAATTAGCCGGGCATGGTGGTGGGTGCCTGTAATCCTAGCTACTCAGGAGGCTGAGGCAGGAGAATTGCTTGAACCTGGGAGATGCAGGTTGCAGTGAGCCGAGATGGCGCCATTACACACCAGCCCAGGTGACAGTGCGAGACTCCGTCTCAAAAAAAAAAAAATGAAACCACTATACCTCTCCCCATCTCCAGGCACAATTGAACAGTACTCAGTAAGAAACTTGCACCTGTCCATGGAAAGAAACAAGAGGAAGCATTTGATGTATAGTTATTATTTGTAATAACTCACTAATGATGAGTGTCCATCAGGCCATAGAGCAGATTCATTTCTATAGCTCTTTGTTAACCATTTCCTGCCACAAGATATAAGATTCCCATGTATGTAGGCCAGGGCTGCTATGATGAAGGAAGGTGAAATTCCATTTTAGTAATATAAGCCCTAGTCTCTGACCTAGAAGGTTTTATGGGACAATTCTTGCCTACCACATGGGAGGTGTAGTTTATCTAGTGGTTTAGCAATTGATATATTAGAAGTTACATAAGAAGGTGAGCAGTTGTCTCCTAAATAACACTGGCTCATAGATTCTTAAAAGTTTTGTGTCTTTATCCATGGTTTTTGGCTTATATGGTTAAACTACAGGGCTGAGGGACTTACTAAGGTGAGATTCAAGTACTAGATTGGGAGCTTTACCCCATTCGATGTCCACTTCCACTGATTATGTTTAACTCCAGCCAGAACACAAGGGGCCTTGAGTAAGAACTGTGGCAGTTTCAAGCATCACTCCATTCCCGTGGCTACAGAAACAGCTCACACTCCCCAGCTCATGGGGTGTCAGTCAGGCCCTCCCCATTGCAAATACTTTATCATTGACATGGATTTTCAGAAAATGAGACATATCAGACTTGGCAGGAACATTAGTGGTCATGTAGTGAAGCCCCTGGTTTAGTCCAGGAAGGGACCACAGCAAGGTAGTAACTTGCCCAGGGCTGGATAGTAAGTTAACTTATACCAATAGCAGAGCTAGAAACCAGGGCTCCAGATGCCTGGACCAGCACTCTTTCTATGGCACTGGGCTTCGCAGAGGACTTTCTCATGTCTTTTCTAATTTAATCTTTACAACTTATTTGAGTACTGGAAATCCCACAGCCATTTGATGAGTTGTCACTTCGTTATTTGTAGTCTTTGGAGAAAAATCGGGCCCACCCTCCTTTAGGGGTGCAAGTCACATGAGGCATTTAATTGCCTGCTGGACGAAGCCTACTGTCTTCCAATGCTAAGAATTATCCATTCTAATTCATGCTTTCCTACAAGGAAAGTTAATCCCAGGAAAGTAAGATTGTTTAGTATCAGAAAACACATTAAAATTCTATTCCATGGGGTCATTTTAATGGGCATTGAGGGCATTTGGTAAAAAGCAACATTGTTTGATTTTTCAAAGAAGCCTTTAAAAATAGAAATAGATGACTTTTTCCTTACTCTAAGAGAGAATATTTCTTCTAATCCCAGGTAGCGTTATTCTTAGGGTTTTTTTTTAATATTTATATTCTCTGTCATTCCCTTTAACTCAGCTTCATTTCACCCAGTGAAGAAGTCATTCAGTAAAAAAGTAAGTGATGCTGTCAGCCACATAATTAGCCTTTGGTGCATATCCTAAGGCCTTCTAAAAATTGTGCCTAGGGGAAGAGTTGGCTGCCTAGAAGGGGCATCATCCTTTCTGAAATGGGCAAGAACATATTAGAGTAAGAGATACAGGAAGCACAAAAATGACCTGGTGCCATAGACTTCACTAGCAGAAGCCTATAGCAGGTTTAATAGGCCTGAGGTGGGTAGGAGGAATTGGCCAGCCCTGGTCCTGCCAGGGGAATATGCTGTAGGAATATATCCCTGCCTAAAAACAGGGTAGAGATGGCACTTCCAGCCTCCTGCTGCCAGCCCAGCATGGTTGGGAATGCCCTGGATGTGCCCCCTGGCTCACCTGGCCTTTTGCTGCCAGAAGCAAGAGGCTTTGGGCTGAGCCGGGGGTAGGTAGTTTGCTGGACAGTGTAATCATGTGGAATCATCCTTCCCCTATCCCGGCTTTTCCAGTGAAGTGCTGCCTCCTTTCTACAGTGCTTGGAGGGTGGTTATGATGGGAGTGTAATAGTTGTGGCTCTACAGCCGTTCTGACAGCTGAGTCTTAAAGCTTCTGCCCCATTCACCCAGTACCTCCTTCCCTAATTACTTTTGTTGGCAGTTTTCTAATATGCTGGAACAGATGATTCACTGCCCATTTTATGCAATTTTATGGCAGAAACTTTTAGCGGACCAGAGACGACTTAAACGCGAGCAAGAAGAGGCTGATATTGCAGCTCGACGCCACACAGGCGTCATTCCGACGCACCATCAGTTTATCACTAATGAGCGCTTTGGGGACCTCCTCAATATAGACGATACTGCAAAAAGGAAATCTGGGTCAGAGGTCTGTTTTGGTCACCTCAATCTGCTGCTTGACCCAAAGCAATATTTGCCTATTTGCCTCCCCTCAGCATTGTCCTCTGTAGGCCAGTTTAGTTCTCCAAACAGCATCTGTCATCCTGGCCTCCCTTAGGCTTGCTTTGGCTTCTTGCGGCTGGTAAATAGACATGACCCCATTATGTCCTGTGCTCTGTATGTTCAAGCATGCCTGGCTGGGGGACCGGGATCTGCTGGCACATGCCCCTGTTGCATGCCTTAGACCATTGGCTGCCTTCATGAGTCCAGCCCTCCACATCCTGCATTTTATCATGCTACTGTGTTGCCTGTGCATTCTGCTTAGAAACCTTATACCTGAGTCCATATGCATTGGTAGCTATGGTGTGGACAGTTACACAATTCTTCTTTGAAAAGATGGTTAATGAAACTTTACGAAAGTTAGCTTAACAATAATTTATGCCATTTACAAAGGCCTCCAAATTTAGTGACATTAATTTTGAAATATAGAACAGTGCTGCTGCTCACATGTAGGTGGATGAATTGTGTGAAGTGTTCAGCAGTGCTGCAGTAGTGCGCCTCACTAAAGAATTTTGAAGCCCAAAGACTTTTGCAGTTAGGAAAAACCCACAGAGGGTAAGAGAGTTCTCCAAGGGACGTTTCATTTGTTCTTTTAGTTTTGACATTTCCAAGCCTAGATTATGAAAGCTTAATATTATAAGAGGAAAGAGAAGAACAAACTTTGAAGTGATTTTTATCCAGATCTTGGCCTCCTGCACTAAGGTCAACATGTCGAAATTCTCATGCTAGCCAAATGCTGTATCTTGCGTAAGAGTTTATGCTTTGCCATGTAACCCTTAAGTAGCGCTGCTGAAGATGATCTCTTTTAGGGAAAATGGGTAAGTCTGGGATTTAGGGTGGGAGCTAGGGGAATGGGGGAATAACACCCAAAGTATGTACTGTTTTATAACCTTTCAGTACAGTAGATTAATATTTGTTTCTATCTTTTTTATTTTATTTTTTATTTATTTTTCTATCTAGAGTATCATTGCCTATCTTTTTTATTTTAGAAATATGACTGGGCATAGTGGCTTACACCTGTAATCCCAGTACTTTGGGAAGTCAAGGTGGGAGAATTGCTTGAGCCCAGGAGTTCGACACCAGCTTGGGCAACATAGTAAGACCCCCATCTCTAATTAATTAATTAATTAGATAGATTGGTAGATAGCCAGGTGTGGTGGCACATGTCTGTAGTCCAAACTACTGAGGAGGCTGAGGCAGGAGGGTTGCTTGAGTCTGGGAGCTCAAGGCTGCAGTGAGTCATGATCATGCCGCTGCACTCCAGCCTGAGCAACAGAGCAAGACCCTGTCTCAAAAAAAAAAAAAAAAATGTGTCTGGGAAGAAGAGATAGTGAAAAGAGGGAACCAAATTAAAAGAAAGAAAGCTGGCTGGGTTTAGTGGCTCAAGTCTATAATCCCAGCACTATGAGAAGCTGAGCCAGTAGGATCACTTACGGCCAGGAGTTCGAAACTAGCCTTTGCACCATAGGGAGACCTCGTCTTTACAAAAAAATGTATATATATAGAAAAATTAGCCAGGCTTGGTGGCACACGCCTATAGTCATAGCCACTTGGGAGGCTGAGGTGGGAGGATCACTTGACCCCAAAAGTTCAAGACTGCAATGAGCTATGAACACATCACTCCACCATGGATGGCAGAGTGAGATCCTGTCTCAAATTTAAAGAAATTTGAGGCTGTCTCAAATTAAAAGAAAAAGGAAAGCTGGGGAAGAGAAGGAGACTCTAAAATGATGGAGAGAAAGAAAATCTATCAAGGAAGAAGCAAAAGTTAGCGAATGTTAATTGCAAGGGAAAGATAGCCCTTGAGCCCTCAACATTCCAGCTCCTCCTCAAAAAGGCCCTTCTCAGAAGGCTCTGGGCATGGTTTGTCCTCACTGACAGTCCTGCCTGCTTGTAGGTAGAAGAAGATGGGAACAGGTGAAGGCACTACGGCTGCACACTTACACATGTACATGATACATGCAAACAGAAATGCACCGTGGGTGGAATAACCACAGACAGAGGCAGGCAAACTCAGCTCAGTGAGCCTGCCTCCCTTCTAGAGCAATGCTTCTCAAACTCTGACAAGTGCGTTAGCATCCCCTGGAGGGCTTGGTAAAATACAGACCCTGGGTCCTATCTGCAAAGTTTCTGATTCTGCAGTGGGGCCTGAAAATTTACATTTTTAACAATTTCCCAGGTGATATTGATTATACCAGTTTAGGGACCACATTTTGAGAATCACTGCCCTAGAGGTTGACTGTGGACTAGAAAAAGTAGAGACCAACACATCCCAGGTGCACCACACTGTGTCAATGCACTTCAATCCCATTCGGTAGGACTTGGGTGACCACAGGTTCTGTGTAAGACCCTATGGGAGGCAGAAAGAACTCAGTCTGTGCCCTTGGGGAGCTGATAGTGGAAGTCTCCCTCTTATACAGTTATCTCTGTCCTGTAGTAAGTAATACAATACTGTGAAAGCCAGAGGAGGGAAAGATGGATTTAGCCTTGGGAGCTATAGGGAGATAAAGAAGGAGAGGATGTTGCTTTGTATAACCATCGATGACTCACATACACGTCTCAAGAGTTCAATGGAATCAGTGAATTTTAACAGGTCTTTAATGAAAAAAATCTCACCACCCCACATTATTAACCTAAGTCTGCTTACAAAGTAACCATAAACTACACAGCTATATAATTATATTGATTTAATTGATAGGAGATATTGTTTTGACAGAACTCAGTTACCAAAGTGTGAATGCTGTGCTGCTTTGGTATACATTTTTTAAAGTTCACACAGCTCTACAGCTGGGTGACATGAGGTAACCTACTTCCTTGTGTTTTTCTATTGAAATCACTGTGAAATTCGTATCCTTATAATTTTGGTCATTTAGTTTTCTCTTGTGAACTTGTCATTTATCATTAACCCCACATCCATTATTTTCTTGTTCACCTGCAACTGTGAAATTATGCCCTTTGGTTACAGACACAAACACAGGTATTGAAATTGTGTGGCTTTAACTAGATTATAAGGTGATCATTCACTTGGCCCCCGTACGTTTGGTATAGATGGGTAGATAGATGAAAACATCAATGTGAAAATGCAGACTTTAAAAATGCCTGTGGAAGGCTAGGCACAGTGGCTCACACCTGTAATCCCAGCACTTTGGGAGGCCAAGGCAGGAGGACCGCTTGAACCCAGGAATCTGAGACCAGCCTGGGCAACATTGTGGGACCCTATCTGTATAAAAGTTACCCAGGCGTGGTGGTGCATGCCTGTAGTCCCAGCTACTCAGGAGGCTGAGGTGGGAAGATCACCTGAGCCTGGGGAGTCAAGACTGCAGTGAGCCATGATTGTGCCACTGCCCTCCATCCTGGGCAACAGGGCAAGACGCTGTCTCAAAAAAAAGAAAGAAATTCCACAGCCGGGCGTAGTGGTTCACACCTGTAATCCCAGCACTTTGGGAGGCCAAAGTGGGTGGATCACTTGAGGCCAGGAGTTAGAGACCAGCCTGGCCAACATGGTGAAACCCAGTCTCTACCGAGAAATACAAAAATTAGCCTGGCGTGGTGGCACATGCCTGTAGTCCCAGCTACTCGGGAGGCTAAAGCAGGAGAATTGCTTGAACCTGGGAGGCAGAGGTTACAGTGAGCTGAGATCGTGCCACTGCACTCCAGCCTGGGAGACAGAGTAAGACACTGTCTCAAAAAAAAAAAGAAATTCCAGATAGAGGAGAGGGTAGGAGGGGGTTCAGCTGAGGTGTAGCAAATAGATTTGACTGGAACAGGAACAGTGTAGTAGAGATAAAGGCAATTCTGTAAGAGTAGGGAGAAACTACCCAAAGGCCTTCACCTATGGCAGGAATTGAGATTTGAACTGAGGGAAAGTTGAGAGCAGCAGCCAACTTCAAAGCAAGGAAGAGATGTGAGGAAGAATGTTAGGAATGTTATTTGTGCTCCTGGGTGACAGATTAGAGTGAAGAGAATGTGAAATCAAAGGAAGCTTTGTGTCAATGGAAACTAGATGTCAGCTTTGAGCAACAGGGTTGTGGAGGGATGGAGGTGTGGAGGGAGGTCCCTCCTGACTTAATGACACACTTGATCAGGAAGTGGAGAAGGGGCAGAGGCTGACTTGGACCTGGGCATCTGGGAACAGAGGGCTACCCAACAGGATTGGAAGTCTTGGCAGGAGTCATTTGAGCTCAGGGACCACTTTATCTGGCTTTTTGGATGATGTCACAGACCGTAAGAAATATATGGAGTTGGAGATGATGTGAGAAGTGAATCGGCATTTCACCTACTTGCATATCATAATTTAAGCAAGTAGATGTCTCTAAGGAATAAGACAGTAGATAAGGAACATCTTAGGACTTCTGGCTGACTTTGTCTTTTTGTTTGTTTGTTTTTTTAATAGCCATGGTTCACATGTTTTGAGGAACTGTTACCTCAGCTTTGGGACCTTTCTAACCATCTCTTCCCCAGATCTGGCTGTTTTTAGGGGGATTCTCATGAATGACATACATAGTTGACTAAACATTTATCTAGTGTTCTACTAAGGTCAGACAAATGCAATTTTGCCCAGATTTCTACACTAGAACAAACTGGCTAGAGTGAATTTTTCTGCTTTGCTTTCTAGAAATTTGTGAAAATGTGTCCTTGTTGTCCATGAATCCTGATTTTAACTTGTCATTGTTTCTTATGTTCAGATGAGACCTGCCAGAGCCAAATTTGACTTTAAAGCTCAGACACTAAAGTAAGTGCCACCAGTTATATTTATTTGTCTTTTTAGCTGCCTTTTTGAAACACAGCAGTTTGTTTGTAGAGTTGGAGAAATAACAATTATAAAAATTGTTGTTAAAAAAAAAAGAACAAAACAGTAGTTCATAGAGTTTGCTATGTGCCAAACACTATTCAGAGTACTTTGCTTATGTTAATTCCTTATGGAGTGGGTGCTGTGATGATCCCCACTGTTCAAATGAAGAGACCAAGAGACTATAAGGTTAAGGAACCTGCTCAAGCTGGTGTGATAGAGTTGGAATTCAAACCTAGGCAGAGGTTGGGGTCTTATACCCTGCCCCACCCTGCCTCCTCCTATGTAGTGGCTCTATTTGCTCAAGTGGTGGCTTGATCTGACCCATCTTTTCTGTGGAAGGATCTAGACCAGTCTCTAGGGAGATAACTTTACCCATTTTGCTACAACATCCCAAGAGATTAAAATCTTACATGAACCCACAGGAGACTGGCGTTTCTCTTAAGTGTGTTCTTCAGAGTGCTAGCCCTGTAAAATTTTTCTCAAAAAGAGAGTTCTGTTGTAGAATGAGTTGGGAAACACTGCATGCTCTATCTATACCTCCCACCCACTTTGAAGAGATACTTTGTTGATGACATATTAATAGCTCCAGAAGTCTTTCAAGAAAGGAACCTGAAACACGATTTGGGAGATGCTACCAAAGACTGGGTTCCATAAGGAAACAGCTGGCTTTTTATCTAATAATGGATTTAAATAGTCCATGAGTTCTCATTGGCAGCTAAAAGTACAATGGTCAGTGGCCACCCCATTGTCCTGCAGATGGATGGTTGTGCATCTGGTGATCAGAGGGAGAGCTCCCTGTCCTTAGATGCTGGGAAATGCTGTGTGGAGCTAACCAACCATGGTTCTGATCTCCTGGATCACAAAATGAGTGACCAGGCCACAGTGTCTAGAGCCTAGGCACAAATCTGGTATAGTTGGGTTTGTGTGTATTACTCCAGTCCTTTAGTTGGTCAGCTAAAGGAGGTGGCTGTGTAATATACTGCAAAGATTGTGGGCTTTAGAGTCAGGAAGCCCTGTGTTCAAATCCTGACTATGCCACTTACTATCTTTGTGACTGTAGTGAAGTTATCAACTTCTCCCCCACTCAATTTTCTTTATCTGCGAGATAGGGGTAAAAATGCCTCTCTTGCAGGGAAGCTGGGGTAATACCTGTAAAACATTTTGCATAGTGACCAAAATTTAATACTCAAAATATGTCATCCTCTTCCCCCCCTTTTTTTTTTAAACCAGAAAGGATAACAGAGATATATAAATTAATTTGCAATTTAATTAATACACTTATTTCTTTGAATTGAGGAGTCTTTGTAAGATTTATTAAATGGTATAGTGATGATAATATTACATTTTCCCAGATTTCATAAAGAGTCTTAAAACAATTTTTTTTTAGAGCAACCCTGTCAAATAGAACAGGTGAGAAAGCTTAGATCCACAGAAATTGTCACCTTTTATCAACATTGCTAATGCCGGAGAGAGGGCTCCTTCCTCCTAACTCAGTGTTTTCATCACGACATGCTGCCTCCAAAAAAATGTCCACAAAATTTAGTGAAAAAAGTAAATTCTAGCTCCATGGTCTTTTAAGCCCTTCAGTCACTTGGTTTTACATTTCGCCATAGTCAATTACTCAAAAAAGCATGCTGTCGGGGCCAGGCGTGGTAGCTCACACCTGTAATCCCAGCACTTTGGGAGGCTGAGGCTGGCAGATCACTTGTGGTCAGGAGTTCAAGACCAGCCTGGCCAACATGGCGAAACCCTGTCTCTACCAAAAAATACAAAAATTAGCCGGGTGTGGTGGCAAGTGCCTGTAATTCCAGCTACTCAGGAGTCTAAGGCATGAGAATTGCTTGAACCCAGGAGGCGGAGGTTGCAGTAAGCCAAGATCATGCCACTGCATTCCAGCCTGGGGGACAGAGTGAGTCTCCATCTAAAAAAAAAAATAGCATGTTATGGAATACTTGGTTCAACAAAGTTAAACAAGTTTCTTTCCCCCTGGCCTTCTCAGGGCCTCTGCTGTGCTGATGTACACCGTGATGCTCCAAAAAAGATCTAAAGCGAATCATATTTCTCAAACCCTCTCACCAGCAGTGGTTCTTTGGGAGCTAGGGGTATAGTCCACAGCAGTGGAAGAATGGGGCCCCAGGTTTCCCATGGTAGTCTTCCATCAGCTACAACTACAGACCCCTCAGTTCGTCTCTCACACACAAGTGGGTCCTTTGCTTAATAGTAGGACCATTATGCTCCCATCCCCCTCCACAGCTGCGAGATACTTAGTATAGCAGAATCAGGAGCCTGCAGATCTCCATAGGGGTGAATATGCTGAGGGTCTTGCTCATCTATGTGCCTGTGGTTGGGGATGAAGGGAGGGGGAATTCGTAATGCCCCCCAAAGAGGGCTGTGGCAAAAATGTGGCCCGAGACATTCCTTCTCACAGAGACAAATGTCCATATCCCCTTTACGGACCTCTTGAGAGTTAGAATCCTGTCTGCTAATGTGAGACCCACAAAGGTTGCCTTGTGCTTTTATTCAGCACAGAACTGACTTTCTGTAGTTTTCCAGATGTGCCCTCATTGTTCGGCCAGCACCCCTCACATACCGTGGGACTTCCTGGCATCCTGCAAAGTGAGCACACCCCTTCCAAGTTACAATTGGAGACCTTTCCATCCTATTGGTTTGACTCAAATGAAAAAGATCTAGGTCATTTTTTTTTTAATTCAAGAAAATGTTACAATTTTAAAATTATTTAATTCAAGAAAAAGTTATAAGGGCCAGGCGCGGTGGCTCACACCTATAATCCCAGCACTTTGGGAGTCCGAGGCGGGCGGATCACCTCAGGTCGGGAGTTTGAGACCATCCTGACCAACTTGGAGAAACACCGTCTCTACTAAAAATACAAAATTAGCCGGGCCTGGTGGCGCATGTCTGTAATCCCAGCTACTGGGGAGGCTGAGGCAGGAAAATCGCCTGAACCCGGGAGGCGGAGGTTGCGGTGAGCTGAGATCACACCATTGCACTCCAGCCTGGGCAACAGAAGCGAAACTCTGTCTCAAAAAAAAAAAAAGAAAAGAAAAAAAAGAAAAGGTTATAATTTTTATCCTTCTTTTTTCATTTTGTTTAAAATTTGCCTTTGTCTCATTTTTTTTTTTAAAGAGTCCTGGTTAAAAATTAACATAATCTGGGCCAGGCACGGTGGCTCACACCTGTAATCCCAGCACTTTGGGAGGTCAAGTGGATCTTGAGGTCAGGAGTTCGAGACCAGCCTGACCAACATGGTGAAACCCCGTCTCTACTAAAAAAAACACACACACAAAATTAGCCAGGCGTGGCGCCTGTACTCCCAGCTACTTGGGAAGCTGAGGCAGGAGAATTGCTTGAACCTGGGAGGTAGAGGTTGCAGTGAGCTGAGATTGTGCCACTGCACTCCAGCCTGGTGACAGAGTGAGACATCGTCTCAAAAAAAAAAAAAAAAATAATAATAATAATAATAACATCATCATTATTGAGGCAAGCAAAGGAATGGATATGGAAACGTTGCAAAGGGGTACAAAGAGCATTTGAAGGAAAATCTACTTTTCTTTCCAACATCACTTTTCCATGTTTAAAAGCAAAGGAATTAGGCCAGGCGTGGTGACTACATGCCTATAATCTCAGCATTTTGGGAGACTGAGGCAGGAGGATCACTTGAGCCCAGGAGTTCAAGACCAGCCTGGGCAACATAGCAAAACCCCATCTCTACAAAAAGATACATAACAATTGGCCAGGCATGGTGGTGCATGCCTGTAGTCCCAGCTACTCAGGAGGCTGAGGTAGGAGGATCACTTGCACCCAGGCGGTTGAGGCTGCAATGAGCTGTGATCATGCCACTTGCATTCCAGCCTGGGCAGCAGAATGAGACCGTCTCATGAAAAAAAGTAATGGAATTAACATTTATTGAGTGTTACCTACCTGTACAACAGGCACCATCCTAGCTGTTTATTTTTAATTTGTTGAAGCATTCTCCAGCAACTCTGAGTTAGCTCCAAGTTCAGCTAAAGAAACAGTGTCTCAGATTAAGTATTGTGTCCAAGGTCCCAGAGCTACTAAATTTCAGAACTGGATTTTGGACCAGATCTGCCTAACTTCAGAACCTTTCTACTGCATGATGATACAAAGATAGATGGTAAAATGGATGGGTGGACAAATGGTGAAATTGATGGAATGATAGAAGGATATCAATATATCACAAATAATTTGAGGGCAATTTAAAGCAACGAAGGCATGCCCTGCTAGGGCGTAGAAGAGGATAGTGAAGGTATCCAGGAGACGTTTTGTTTAACAAACATCAGTTAAGGCAGCTGAGTGCATTGCTCTGTGTTGCATAAATTTTCTGAGCATAAGACAACATTCACAAAAAATGCATTTAGAAAACCACAACAAATTAATAAGGCCTCTGAGCACTTTCAAGGGCTAGTCAATTTGAATGTTAACATCCATCCTGCAAAAGAGTGGAAAAATGCCAAATGTGATGTAATTTCCTGAATAGTGGGGTTCTTACTTCCAAATATGGAGGCCCCTCTCTGGAATTTGTACCCTTTGACCCCACTTAAAAGTCTCCTTTTGCTACAAAACTGAAGTGTCTTAATCTTACACATATTGAAACATCTGCTAAAATGCCGTTGACCTTCTGTCAACAGGGAGCTTCCTCTGCAGAAGGGAGATATTGTTTACATTTATAAGCAAATTGATCAGAACTGGTATGAAGGAGAACACCACGGCCGGGTGGGAATCTTCCCACGCACCTACATCGAGGTACCGCAGCCTCTTTTCTTTCTAAGGAAAAGCCTGACAGTGCCCAAAGCACCATTTATTTACCAAATGCTTATGTTTTGTTTCCTCCTTTTCCTCTTGTTTCCCTGCTTTCTTCTCTTCCCTTGTTCTCTTTTACCTCTTTCCCTTTCTCAGCTTCTTCCTCCTGCTGAGAAGGCACAGCCCAAAAAGTTGACACCAGTGCAGGTTTTGGAATATGGAGAAGCTATTGCTAAGTTTAACTTTAATGGTGATACACAAGTAGAAATGTCCTTCAGAAAGGTAAGCTGCACTTCTCATGCCTTGCTTTGGGGCTCTCTTGGATGGCGCAGCTATGTGGGGAAGCGTGGTGTTGCTATCACACCCCAGTCTGGGGGTGCTGTCTGTACCCTTAAGAGAAGTATGCCAATCAATAATTGCATTAAGGGCTGGGCACGGTGGCTCATGCCTGTAATCCCAGCACTTTGGGAGGCCGAGGTGGGTAGATCACTTGAGGTCAGGCGTTTGAGACTAGCCTGGCCAACATGGTGAAACCCCGTCTCTACTAAAAATACAAAAATTAGCTGGGCATGGTAGTGGGTTCCTGTAATCCCAGCTATTCAGGAGGCTGAGGCAGGAGAATCATTTGAACCTGGGAGACAGAGGTTGCAGTGAGCTGAGATCGCTCCACTGCACTCCAGCCTGGGCAATAGGTCTCCAAAAAAAAAAAAAAGAATTGCATTAAGGCCTGTAATCCCAGCACTTTGGGAAACCAAGGCAGGAGGCTCGCTTAAGGCCAGGGGTTCAAGACCAGCCTGAGCAACGTAGCAAGGCCCCATCTCTACTGAAGAAAAAAAAAAAAAGAATTGCATTAAGGGCAATTGGAGAATTTTCTGAGGTAAGGTATTTTTAAAATAAACCCTAGGCTAATATCAGGGTTTAACTATATTGAGCTCACTGATTAAACATAGTATTTCTGGAGTCTTAGACATCTTTTATAAGCTGTTTTCAACCAACACTTACCAACTAATGATGTCATAATGCATTGTGTTGGGGACTGGGTTTTACAATATATTGGTGTGACCTAGTGGAAAAAACAGGTCCATTGATACCAGGAGAAGTTTGAAAAGCTTTGAACCCAAAAGGCACAAACCAACTACGCAGAATGTGGGAGTTAAATACTTTTTCCAAGCCACCATTTTCTTATAGAAAAAAAATGAAGATAGATGGCTCTCTCCTAGGTGGTTGTAAGAGGCTTCGGTGAAACAACTTATGTGAAGCCCCCAGCATGACACATGGTATCTTGTTGGTGCTTAGTAAACAGGAGATGCCAGTATTATTATTATCACCATCATGCTTATTCAGAACATAATTACATTGTGCAGAGAAGTTGTTCTTTCCAGAATCCAAACACTCTACATGGCAAAATTCTCTGGCTTGCTAAAGTTACTAAGTTACTGATTTTATTGAGGCTTGAGGGAAGTGAGCACATTGTTAGAAAAAGCACTGGAAGCAACCCAGTTGCCCAACAGCAGGGGATCAGTAATTAAATCATTATATGTGTGTGCGACAGAATACCCTGCAGTGGTCCATTAAGCTATGCAATGCCATTAAAAATCTAGAATTCTATTTCTTGATAAAGAAGGAGGTTTACTATGTGCTATTAAGTATTTTTTAAAAAGCAAGTTGGAAAAGGGAAACACAGTTCATACTCAATTTTTATAAGAAAAAATATGTGCAGGTTTAATTCACATGCATAGAAGTAAATCTGGGGAGTCCATATGCCAAATATTAAGTGTTTATCCCCAAATGACTATGTGATGGGTGATGATTGTTTTCTGCTTTACGTTTGTGTTCTGATTTTTCTATAATGATACATTATAAGTATCTATAATGCTACAAAAGAAAGAAAAAGTGAAACCCCCCAAAATCTTTGCCTTAGAAATGAAGATTGGGTATCTGTTTCACATTAAATGAGTCAAAAACACTACATTTGTTCCCTGGCTTAGGGACACAAATCTGATGTTCTCCTTTACTAAAATACTTAAAGAACCAAGCTGAACTTCCCAGCATCAAGATAGCTCCTCTGCCATTAGCATCCTCATCCCAGTGGTGTTAATTCCCTCCAGGTTCAGCAGGGAAGGTTTTTCCTGAGCTAAGGATGTGATAAACAATGCAGGACATTGAAGCATGCAGGCAGAGGCCCCAGGCATGCAGAGGCATGCTAGGACAAGGACCCTCTCTTTGCTGTGTCTTCCAGGGTGAGAGGATCACACTGCTCCGGCAGGTAGATGAGAACTGGTACGAAGGGAGGATCCCGGGGACATCCCGACAAGGCATCTTCCCCATCACCTACGTGGATGTGATCAAGCGACCACTGGTGAAAAACCCTGTGGATTACATGGACCTGCCTTTCTCCTCCTCCCCAAGTCGCAGTGCCACTGCAAGCCCACAGGTATCTAAGCTTCTCGTCACTGGTTTTCATACTCAGCATGTGAATTTTTGTAGTCAACAGTGCTGATGGCACACAGCCTCTCTGGGGAGGTTTTTGAGCACTGCAATTAAAAACTGTCTGCAGGAGGCCGGGTGTGGTGGCTCATGCCTGTAATCCCAGCACTTTGGGAGGCCGAGGCGGGTGAATCACCTGAGGTCAGGAGTTCAAGATCAGCCTGGCAACATGGTGAAACCCCATCTCTACCAAAAATTCAAAAATTAGCCAGGCGTGGTGGCGGGCGCCTGTAGTCCCAGCTACTCGGGAGGTTGAGGCAGGAGAATCGCTTAAACCTGGGAGGCAGAGGTTGCAGTGAGCCGAGATCATGCCACTGCACTCCAGCCTGGACGACAGAGCGAGACTCCATCTCAAAAAAAAAAAAACTGCAGGAAAGCAGACTGTACACTGGACTTTGTCTTTATGCATACAAATGGCCTTTTCCAGTGCTTGGTTGCAGATATATCTCAAGGGAAAAGGAATAGTCAAGTAATTGCTCTGGGAATAAGGTGACTAGGGAAAGAGAAACAGAGAAACAAGAGCCTTTATCAGTTGGCCCCTCTTGGGTGAAGCTGTTGGTGTGGGTACCACCACTGTGTCATAAATCCCATGGTCCAAATGCGGTCCTCAGTCATCTTGGCCAAAGTTGACCTGCAGAAGACAAAGGCTGAAAGAGAGACTTACACCTTCTCATCAGCCATATAGACCAGATCCAAAGTATTATTTGCATTCACTGGAACCAGGTGATTGGAACAAGTAACTTACAGCATCTCAGTCTCTGTGGGCTGAAAGGATATAGGTTTATAGGCGTAATAAGATGTTGGCTTTCCCAAACATTAATTATGAACAAACTTGTTTAGAAATATAAACTATTCCTAACTGATCCCCACTTTCCCAAAGCCAAGAAAATGTCAGAACCTTGAGTTCAGGGTGACACGGTGGGGGTGACATCCCTGTGAAAGAGCCTGGACAAACCACCATGTATGTTGTAAGGAGGTTGGCAGAGGAACAAGAGTAGGACCTGGGGGCCCAGGTTGACCCTGAGATGGTGCCTCTTGTCTGGTCCTCTAATTGTTTCCTCCTCTGCCACCTGCTCATCACTGACCCCAGTAGAGGGTTCTTGGCAGAAAGCATTAAACGGGCTGACCCAGGGCTTCCTGGACAGTGATAGCCGCATCCTGTTGTCTTATAGGACAGAGTGTGTGACTGGAGTGGGACATTCTTCTTTGTAAGGATGCAGGGAACTCAACTACATTTTTCACTTGACTAGCCAAGAGTGATTGTAAAACAAAACTAGTACACTACTCATACTCCTCTCTGGAAGACTCTGCTGAGCTCCCAGAGAAAATAAAACCCCAGGGAAGGGCCATGGCAGTGTGGGGCCACCTTTCCCCGTATGGTTCCGGGTCAGGGATCTGGATGCACAGGGGCTGGGTTGGCTGGGATGGGGAGCTTCCAATGTGTCCCTTTGAAAATCTGATTCTGCAAAGCAGGGCGGCCTCATCCGTCACTACTCTGACGGGAACCTCTCCCCATCTCCACACCTCTCACTGCTTCCTCCACCCCCTGCCTGCACACATCAGGATCACGCTCGCACATGCTCAAACGCACACTCACCCATCCTGGTTTCTCCCCAGATGTAACCTGAGGATTTCCTTTTTGGACACCAGAGTGTCCTTGCTCATCCTCTCCATTTCATTCCTCTTTATATACCCCTTGTGATTATTTTCCTTCTTTTTCCTTTATGCTGACACTTGTACCTTTTGCTTCTTTCTTTTGTTTTCCTCTCTTTTCTTCTTTTTAAGTTTTCCAGTCACAGCAAGCTCATCACGCCAGCCCCCTCATCTCTGCCCCACTCCCGCCGAGCCCTGTCCCCCGAGATGCACGCTGTCACCTCTGAGTGGATCTCACTGACTGTGGGGGTCCCAGGCAGGCGTTCTCTGGCCCTGACCCCACCCTTGCCTCCTCTGCCAGAGGCTTCTATCTATAACACTGACCACCTCGCCTTGTCACCAAGGGCCAGTCCCTCCCTGTCTCTCAGCCTCCCCCATTTGAGTTGGTCAGATCGTCCCACCCCACGATCAGTAGCTTCTCCACTGGCCCTACCTTCCCCACACAAAACCTACTCCCTAGCACCTACTTCCCAGGCCTCCCTTCACATGAATGGAGACGGTGGTGTCCACACGCCATCTTCAGGCATCCACCAAGATAGCTTCTTGCAGCTGCCGCTGGGGAGCTCTGATAGTGTCATCTCCCAGCTTAGTGATGCCTTTAGCAGCCAGAGCAAGAGGCAGCCATGGCGCGAAGAGAGTGGACAATATGAGAGGAAAGCAGAGAGGGGGGCAGGCGAAAGAGGCCCTGGTGGACCCAAGATCTCTAAGAAGAGCTGCTTGAAGCCTTCAGACGTGGTCAGGTGCCTGAGTACTGAACAGAGACTCTCAGATCTCAACACCCCTGAGGAGAGCCGGCCCGGCAAGCCCCTGGGTAGCGCTTTTCCAGGAAGTGAGGCTGAGCAGACAGAGCGGCATAGAGGTGGCGAGCAGGCGGGGAGGAAAGCTGCTCGGAGAGGTGGGAGCCAGGTAGGACTGCAGCATGCCGCGTGTGCACTTGGCGTCTCACTTGGCAGGGTGGGCTGCACGTCTCGCCCCTGGTCCATCTACGGAGGCCAAGTGAATGCTGGTGAGACCATTTGCTTGCCTCAGGAGCAAAGAGATGGCCCCAGAGGGAATGGGAGGACATGAATTCAGGTGCCAGGACTGGATACAGTTGGAGGGAAAGGACAGGCTATATCTGGCCACTTGAGGTCATTTGGAAGTTATCTCTACTTTGAATGCCTCCTGGCCTGCTGCAAGGGCCTCTGAGAAGGCAGACCTTCCTCACATCCCATGTATGCCTTAGAGATGACCCTCAGTTTGCTTTGACTAACACAGCTGAGAACACCAGGCTTTGGTGTGGTGTGGTTTGCTTTTATGTAAGATGCACTTTGTTTCCATAACCCATGGTGCTCTGCTAGTGCTCGGCTCTGTCAGGTCTTTGTCCTGTCTCGTGTTTGTGTGGGAGCGCGGGGCCTTTGTTTGCTATGAAACAAAGGTGTTTTGGTTCTGGAGAGGAGAATGCAGGTCTCCTGGGGCCCTGACTGACATGGGGTATCCTCGAATAGCCATGCCAGGTTTTGGGGTGAGTGTACCATCTTCTCTCTGGGTCAGCTACAAAGACCCAGAGAGCATTTGGACAAAGGTAGCCTTAGGGTGTTTTGAGACCTGAAAATTTTTTTGGAGAAATGAACTTAGCAACTAAACAAATCACAATTCTGATTTTGGCTATGCTGTTGACTACTGCGAAAGTCAAAGACTTTCGGCAACTTCTCAGAAGCAACCAGGTTTGAATGCCAGCTCCACCTCTTACAGTCTAGTGACTTGGGAGTTGCTTCCCCTGTCTGAGACTCAGTTTCCTCATCTGTAAAATGGAGATGATAGCACCTACCTCAAAGAGTGGTTGATTACAAGGGCTTATGATCCTGGGAACATGGTCAGCACTTTATAAACGGAAGCTATAGAGCCACCATCTTGGGTGATCTAGAATTGCTTCTAGAACTGAGAATATTTTTAGAACTTCCTTAGACCCAGATTGAGTTCCTGAAGATGTCTCCAAGCCATTTATTAAGTATCTAGTATGTCTGATGTCCACAGTAAATAGTGCTTAACCCTTAGGCTTGCAACCTCAGTTTCCCTTTGAGGCTGTAGTTATTCAGTCTATGAATAAGGCCTGCAGGTACCAGCCTCTGGGCAGAATACAAAGGTCATTTGTCTCTCCTCTTGAGAACCCTAAGTTCAAGGCTCCTCAAAACAAGGAGGAGCCTAGCAATATCACCAGGGCAATAATAGAGGCATGCTTGGGGGACACAGGAGCACAGAGGCTTGAGACACACTAGGCCAGACTTCCAGCTCCAGCCAAGCACATGTGGGCCCATGGGTGGGCCAGCACATCAGGAGTGGGGATCACTGAGGGTGAGCCGGCATGGGGCAGTTTATAAGAAATCAGGCTTAGCCTTTTGCTAGAAAGCCACTTAACCTCTCACATGCTAAGCAGGAGTGGAAGCAGTCCATCCCTTGTAGGGCAGTCATAAGGATTCAGTGAGGTAATTCATGGAAGTCGGTGCTTGGCATGTGCCAAGGCTCCATATGTGGGGTCACCCGCTGCTGTGGAGGGCTGTAGGAAAGCAGTAATACCTGGCAAAGGCTTTGCCTGGCCCTGGAACAGGTTGAGGAAGGAATAGAAGAGATGGTGAAGTGGCTAGTTGAAAAGAATTAAACGTTTCTGACACAGGAACAATTCTATAAACATTCTAAGTCAACCCAAGGCACCCGGGGACATCCTTATCGTCAGTGTTGAGTCATCATCCCGGCCCAATTCCAGGATCCTGTGTGTATAGGAAGTGCGCACGGTGCCGGATCTCCGAGTAAGGTTAGGGGTATACGCTTCCTGCTTCCTAAGGCAGGATAGGAGGGGAGTAGCTGGCAACACTGAAGATTATGTTGATTGGAAAGCCAGGCTTGTTGAAACTTGGTGTTCCTTTCTTGGTGGGCCTCCAGACCCCAAGTGTACCACTTCCTGTCCCCTCCCTTCCTCCTGCCCTCCTGGCACAAGCCCCTTCTCCATGGGTGTGCACAGGCTGTGGCCTGGGGCTCGCTCCCCCTTGAGAGCTGGCATTTGTGTGAAAAGGGCTGCTGCCCACACCTCCCCTTCAGCCCCCTCACTTTCCCCTCCTGTGGCTGGAGCAGGAGCTGACAACTCTGGAAACGGGGTCCTTCAGAAGGGGCTCCTGTGTCTTGGGCCCCCTTTGGGTGACAGACATGCTAAAAATGGGAAGGACTTGTATGACAACTGTTCTCTGGCAGCCCCATCAGGATGACGTGACCACAGGCTGTGTTGCTTATTTGGAAAAATGCATTCCAGACCAGTTTGTGTATCAAGAAAATTGTCAGCCATTATTCTCCTTGCTGAACTAAAGAGCTGAAACAAAAGTTCACTTTTATTGTAGGTATTGGGGAGGTAGGTTGAGAATCTGACCAATAATGGGAGGGAATTTTACCTGAGAACCTTAAATGAAAAGATATTCTGAAATGTTATGATCATTTATTCTTTGAAGCATTTAGGATATTCCAGGTACTTAGCTGCAAGAGATAGAGAGGGGTGAACATCATCAGGGCTTCCATTTAGATGTAACTTCTAGGAAGCTGTTGGGGCCAAGGGAAAGTTTCCCTCTTATCCTTGAAGTTTCCCTAAAAATTACTGACAAGAAGCAAAAATTTTTTTCTTTCTTTTTTTTTTTTTGAGACAGGGTCTCACTCTGTCACCCAGGCTGGAGTGCAGTGGCACAATCTCATTGCAACCTCTGCCCCCAGGTTCAAGACTCCTTCAACCTCAGCCTCCTCAAGTAGCTGGGACTACAGGCACATGCCACCATGCCCAGGTAATTTTTGTATTGTTTGGTAGAGACGGGGTTTCACCATGTTGGCCAGGCTGGTCTCATACTCCTGACCTCAGGTGATCCTCCCGCCTCGGCCTCCTCGGATTACAGGCATGAGCCACCACGCCCGGCCAAGAAGCAAATTAATAGGAGAAAAGGCATACAGATTTATTCGATCATAGTTTTATGTGACACGGGAGCCTTCAGAATGAAGACCCAACCAATGGGGTGCAGAAGCTTATACCATCTTGAGGTTACAGAAGAGTGGGGGCTCAGAGGATGGCCAAAGACAGGTTATGGTGGTAAATCAGATTTTAAGCAGCAAGACACGTTATGGGAGGGAGAAAAGCAAGGCTTGGCTAGCAAAGGGGTCTTGTTATTTAGATGAAAGCTCACAGGTAGCAGCCTCGGAGAGAATAGATGGTAAATGTTCCTTTTAGGCCTTTAAAGGTGTCAGACTGCCAGTTAATCTTTTCTAGATCTAGACAAGGGAAAGCCTCAGAGAAAACCTGGCTGCATCAATGCAGATTTTTCTCTACAAATACAAATCTCCTGCACAAAAGACAGCTTTGCAGAGCTACCTCTTTTTGCTGGCTCTCTGACAGCCATGTCAAAATATGTCAAAAAAATATATTTTGGGGTAAAATATTCTGATTTCCTTTAACACCTTTCCTGACAGCCTCCCCCACCCCTGCATGAGTGGATTAGTGCTCTGACTTTGGGCTGCCATAGCCCCTGCAATGGTCTGTGTGAGCCTCTCTCAGCCCCCTTTGCTTCCCTGTGTTCCCATACAGTATCAGTGCTCCAAAGGCGGGACCGTGATACCTAATGTATGGAAGGCACTTCAGTGAATGTTTGTTGAATGAAAGAAAAGGCAAGCCAGACATGGTGGCTTACACCTGTAATCCCAGCACTTTGGGAGCCTGAGGCAGGCGGATCACTTGAGGTCAGGAGTTCAAGACCAGCCAGCATGACGAAACCCCATCTCTTCTAAAAATACAAAAATCTCTTCTAAAAAAATACAAAAATCAGCTGAGTGTGGTGGTGCATGCCTGTAATCCTAGCTACTTGGTAGGCTGAGGTGGGAGAATCACTTGAACCCAGGAAGCGGAGGTTGCAGTGAGCAGAGATAGGGCCACTGCACTCCAGCCTGGGTGACAGAGCAAGACCCCATCTCAAAAAAAAAAAAAAGACAAACAATGACTGACTCCAACTAAAGGAGTTTAGGATCTTCACCGGGGGAGTAAGACCTGTTCCCAAATAGTTACAATGCAAATAAGGAAAGAGAGTCACAAACAGTACATCCTGGAAGATCAAGATGGGGAGAAATAATAACCGGGAAGGAAGGTGGTTGTCTGGAGACTTCAGGAAAAAAAAATGCCAGGCAGGGTGTCAGAGCCCCAGTATGAGGAGGTGGTTGACTTGAGTGTTGGTAAGAAAAATTGACTGATAACAGTATAGATTTGAAGAAGGCAAGTTTATTAGAAAGAAAGAACGCTGCAAAAGGGTGCAGCAGGGCACTCAGTGAGAGAGGACTGAGCGCACTGAGGTGGATTTTCCTTAGGAGCATTTATGGACCTTAAGGCAGAAGCTTAAGGGCAATTTGGACCATACTGGCCACATAGGTCATGATACATGATTACATCTGTAGATGTTTTGGTGCCTTAACGTCAGCAAGGGTTGCACAGTGAGTTTCAGCATGCCATTCCAGAGATGTGTAGAAATTCTAGTTACTTATAAATTTGGAGGGAAAGAAATCTGGGACCAGATGCCTGCTTTAAATGATAGGGAAGTCTAATTACTTCTAATTTTCCCAGATAAGGAATTTGGCCTGTTTGATGGTCACCAGGTGGTCATTGCTCCCTTCTAAATTCCTCAGATAAGGAGTTTTTGCCTCTGGGGCTTGCTGGATGGTCACCAAGTGATTTTGCTCTCCTCAAAAAAGTAGCATTTAATCTGAGCCTTAAAGAATAAGAGGTTTTCTCACAGATGTACAGCAGGAGGGTGGGACTCGAGGCAAATAGCTCAAGCAAAGGCCCAGAGGTAGGACCATGAAAGGTGTGCATAGAGAATGATGCATTCCTTGTTTGGGTGAGGCTTCTGGTGTCCACAGGTGAATAGAAAAGGGGGTTTCTGGAGAAGGGGCTGGGACCAGAAGTTATGTCAGGAGTCACGGTGACCCTTTGAATCAGTCACCTGCCCACCTCCCTCAACTCTGCAGATGTGTGGACACTTCCTGTGAAATGGTTTGACTTTTCACTCCTAAACTGTTTCACATTGGGTCAGTTGCCCATGTTTTTAGGTGTGTTTTTTCTCTGAACAGCAGAAGAGAGTGAATGAAATGAATGCAGGGGTCTTCAGGGAAATCAGGATGGGGTGGGGAAGAGCACTGGATTGAGAGTCAGGGTCCCAAGTTCTAGCTCTAGCTCTGCCATTGGCTTGCCAAGTATCTTTTGTTGAGTCACTTCTCTTTCCTGGCAGCTACTCTGTCCGTAAACAAAAGATTCAGACAAGAGAAATGCCATTCTTTTTAGCTTTGATATCCTTTGATTAGGTAAAAATCCTGCATGAATTTTAGTTTAAATGAGAAAGAAGAACACATACAAAAATTTAAGTCAGGGGTTTATTGTCAACTTACAGACCTTCACAATGGAAAAATAGAAGTTTTGCCTTTTAGTTTTTGTTCTGAGGGACAACTTAACTTATTGGATGAAAAATGTGCGTACAAAATGCCCAAGCAGTCAGAATTATCAACCAAGTTCTTGGATTTTCTTGGGCGCAATTTTGGCCAACAACATTTAGAACAATCAAGAAAGTAGGCTGGGGCGTGGTGGCTCACACCTGTAATCCCAGCACTTTGGGAGGCCGAGGCGGGCAGATCACTTGAAGCCAGGAGTTTAAGACCAGCCTGGCCAACATGGCGAAACCCTGTCTCTACTAAAAATAGAAAAATTAGCCGGGCGTGGTGGTAGACATCTGTAATCCCAGCTACTCGGGAGGCTGAGGCATGAGAATTGCTTGAACCCAGGAGGTGGAGGTTGCAGTGAGCTGAGATCATGCCACTGCACTCCAGCCTGGGTGACACAGCAAGACTCTATTTCAAAAAAATTTTAAAAAGTAAACAAAAAAAAAGGAAAGTAAGGGGGACAGGTCTGATGGTAGTGAGTTATCTCAATTCATTGTTCACAGTCAGTTACAGATCAAACTGGTTGTTCCACTAAAAAAAAGAAAAAGAAAGCAAAGGGAAGATCATCTTGAAAAATCCCATCGTTTGCATGATCAAATATTTACTGAGTTTCTCTGTGACAGAAGCACTATTTGTTGACTGGCATCTAGCCTTGGTTTTTAAGTGTTTTTACAAATTGTGAGAGTACTTCCTAGAATTTTTGAATTAAAGAGAATATTTAGAGACCATCTACTCCAGTAACTGACAACTTTTTCTGGATCACAGAACCTTTGAGAATCTGAGGTCAGCCAAGGACTCTAGGCCAGTAGTTTGGGGAGGAGAGTGACACACAGTTTTGCATCATTTCAAAAGGCCCACACCCAAGTCTACCTGTGACAGATCACCAGGTTAAGAGCCTCCAGTCTTTTACAATGAGATGAGGAAACCAAGGCCTGAGGAAAGTGACAGAAATTTTGTGATGTCAGTTTGGTTCCTAAAGGGAAGGAAGCTAATCAAATAAAATCTCAATATACTGGAAAGCTATGTGTCCTTAAAGCATCTGTCTGAGAAGCATAAGAACAAACTATAGGCTTAGAGAAAGGAGAAGGAGGGAAAGTGACTCAACTTGAGACAGAAAGATGTGACTTCAGAGGGAACACTTCTCAACACAAGGAAACTAAATTAGTTCCCAGAAAGATAAGAACAGAGGCATAGGCCTGCCTTGAGGATGGAAATCAGAAATAGAAAAGGAAGCTGTGATGGAACCTGCAAGAAAAAAAGAAATTTTAAATGTTAAGATACTCAAGTAAATATAGGAAACATTTTCCTTTGACTCACTCAGAAGGGAAATCTCTAAATAGAGGGCGTTTAACAGCTTACGGGATGGGGAGAGACGTTGGCTGCGGTACTTACAAAAATAAGCAGCAGGTATTCTCTCATCACTAACGGTAGGGAACTGGCCAGGCACGGTGACTCACACCTGTAATCCTAACACTTTCAGAGGCCAGCACAGGAGGATGTCTTGAGCTCAGGAGTTTGAGACCAGCCTGGGCAGCACAGGGAGACTACGTCTCTACAAAAAAACATTAGCCAAGTGTGGTGGCGAGTGCCTGTGGTTCCAGCTACTTGGGAAGCTGAGATGGGAAGAGCGCTTGGGTCTGGGAGGTCAAGGCTACAGTGAGCCATGATCACACCACTGCACTCTAGTCTGGACAATAGAAAAAAAAAAGGGTAAGGGACTAAGACCCAAAGCTAAAGTGTCTACCCTTATAAAGGTGTTAGGAGAATGGAGCATGTCAGTAGGAAGTGCCAGCCACAGGGTACTGGACAAATTAAGGTGACCTGTTGGTGAGCATCTCTCTCTAGCTCTTCTGATATCTTC
Organism: Homo sapiens; assembly: GCF_000001405.40. NCBI lineage: Eukaryota > Metazoa > Chordata > Mammalia > Primates > Hominidae > Homo > Homo sapiens. The sequence continues at coordinate 95,329,082 of NC_000010.11, read as the reverse complement.
CTCTGGCAGAGCACAAACCTAGAAGTTTGGGGTGTGGTGGAATGTGCAGAACTTGGAGTCTGAGAGACAGATGTTCCAATACTAACTGTTCACATTCCCAATTCACACACGGCAGGTCTTCGTTTTCTCATTTGTAAAATGAGGTCAATGTTGACCACCTTCTTGAGTTGCTATGAGAATTAAATGAAATATAATAGAGATGAAAGCAGCTAGCGCAGCCTGTAACGGGACCATAAATACCTGTTGTGTGATGTCGAGGTACCAGGGAAATGAAACAAAAGTAGTTTACTTTATCCACCTTACCCTGTTCCACCTAAGAGAGAAAAATGGTGGGTGGGGAGGATGGGAAGAGAAGAAAATAGAGAATGATGGGAAAATCATTTTACTTTGGGTTACACAAATCGAGAATTTAGAAAATCTGGAATTTGTGCTCCCCAAATTAGTTTATTCTACCTTCAGTATAAAGGCATAAGCTATTCTTGGAAAGCCTTTGGTTTCTTCACACTTGAATATGTATCTGCCATTACCCCCCAACTGTCTTATGAAAGGAAGAGAAGACTGTATGATAGTCTATGAAGAGAAGGCTGAGCATTGGTTGAGTATTTACTGAGCATTTAAGTTTAGTGTTGTAATCAGATTCAAATTACAACAAAGTTAATGTGTTGTCTAGTGAGTGACTTGCAAGGAGATAAAATCTAGATGGTAAGCAATTGAACTAGTTGTTTGTAATTAGTTTTATATTTAAGCTGTGATCTTTTTCTCAGTAAACTCAATAAGATAACTCAGTGGAGTCAGAGACTGTTTTGAGGGTGCTCTGGTGGTTTCCTGGAGCTCAAACCCAGGAGACTGACTCATTCGGGCCTTTCTACTCCTCTGGAAGAGTTTGCCCATGATGTTCCAGTAGGTGCAAATCTATCACTATTTTGGGGCAGTCGCTTGGGATACTTCCAGAAGTGAGCACTCCATCCATATCTGGAGGCTGCAGTCGAAAGCCTTCCTCCTCCCAGTCTTCAGTAAGCAATGAGTAGAGTGCTGCCTCCCTTAAGCCAAGTCAGCCCCTACCCAGTCCTACTTCTTAACCCATGGGACAGGCACATTGCAATCATAGAGCATTAAAGCCAAAAAGACATTTATGTAAATTATGTCCAATCCTCTTATGTATTTTAGAACTTGAAGTCCTAAGACGTTAAGCATTTTGTTCACAAGACAATCAGTTAGTACAGAGCATGGCCTGGAACCTGGATTTTCTCACTGTCCCGCTGGGAGGTCAGGGTAGGTCACCAGAAAGGTGGGGTGGGGTCTGAGAAGACTTGGGATGTGAGATGACTAGAGGAGTGCCATCTCTGTGAGACTCAGGCAGGTTAGGGGAGCAGCAGAGCCTCGTGCTGTTTCTAGAGGGGATTTGGGGCCAGGGAGAAGTAGAGTTTCTCTGTCCTGTCCACATCTTCAGGACTTCCTGCTGTTCTGTAGCCTGTGTGCAATCTATTTGGGCCCACAAGGCTTTGGCACACACCCAAAGCTGGAAGCGGATGCTTAGTAACTCCACAGTAGCGCCAGGTGTTCTGTGGATCCAGAGGGATTAACAGCTCCAGGGAGGCTAAGATCTGATTTCTGGGGGATTTCTGTGAACTGAAAGTAGAAGGGCAACAGCAAGGACGCATGCAGGGTCACCCACTTGAGGAGAATGAAGCAAGCTCCAGGCCAGGAGAGGCGACTTGTGTACAAATACAGAAGAAAGCACTTTCTGGATCAAGGACTGTCACCTGCTTCCTATTAATGGGGGAAAGGAGGGGAGTGCAGTGTGTGTGTGTGTGTGTATGTGTGTATGCATGCGCTGGGCTGGTTGTTTTTGTAAACACGTGAAAAACTGGAATGCCGTCACCAGAGTTGGAAATGTCCTTAGCATTTTTTTTTTAGTCTTAACTTTATTCTTTTTTATTCTTAACACTAGATGAAGTCCTTGTTAGAACTTGTATCTTCTCTTAGGCTTAAATAAGGGCAGATGCTGAGTACCTGGGGAGGGCTCAGAGAGGCATTGTCTAGTAGAAATATAATGTAAGCCACATGTGTGATTTTAAAATGTTCTAGTACACACAGTAAAATGGAACAACTGAAATTTTAATAATATATTGTAACCCAGTATATCTAAAAATTATTACTGAGATTTTACATTCTTTATTTTGTACTAAGTTTTTGAAATCCAGTGTATATTTTTACACATAACACATTTCACTTCATACTTGCCACATCTCAAGTGTCCAACAGCCACCTGTGGCTGCTGGCTACAATCTTGGACAGGATAGGTCCAGAAGAAGCACTGTACAAAGCTGTAAAGTGGTTAGAAAATGGGGACAGGAAAAGAAAACATAACTAGAGGGGAAAAAAAACCTGAGGATAAACAGCCTTCAAAATGAAGGGCTAATTCTTGTGATAGATAGTAATGGTTTCCATTTCCACTGAGGGTGTACCCCCATGCCATGTCTCCGTCCCCTGAAAAAAACTGGTTTACATTTCAGTTATATGAGCTATTTCACTTAAATCTAAACAGAGAGAAATTGAGTCTTAACTAATAGAATAAATGTTTATCTTGCCTTCTTCCTTCATTTATTCAACAAACGCTAAGTGAGGCACCCAGTCATCCCTACCTCTCAGGAATGGGGTTAAGTTTGTACTATACAGATGTTAAAGCTATGATGATGATTATCCTTAGCTTTGGGCATGGCCTGAGACCAAGGAAGGTACAAGGTGGACCATCAATGTCCCTTCCGGTACTATAGTTCACAATTAATGATTGGACGCTATTACCGTACACCGTATCTTTTACATAAGGAAATGTCTTTGAACACCTAGAGTAAAAAGTATTCAAGAAGAGAAATGATAGATAGTGCCTGTTTTCAGACAAGGCAGAAATTGGGTGTTGCTGTCATAGTTACACAAGCAATCTAATCATGATCCAAGAGGGAGGTGGCAGGTAGTATATGGAGATTAGATGTCAAAGGGCTCAGCTTTCACACTACCTTGTACAAACTTCACAAGGTCAGGTCCCAGCCACCTGGCAAAGGCCCAACATCCTGAGACATTGTAGAAGAAGCATGAAATGGCCTCTTTCGTTTTGTCTCTTCCTTTACCCCTGTCAGAGTCCGAGGTGACTGATTTGAGTGATTGCAGTTTAGAAGGGGTTTGGAGAACTTGAAGATGCTTCCCAAAAGGACAAGAGTATAGAAGTGGGGTCGGGCACAGTGGCTCACGCCTGTAATCCCAGCACTTTGGGAGGCCAAGGTGGGCAGATCATTTGAGGTCAGGAGTTTGAAACCAGCCTGACCAACATGGTGAAACCCCATCTCTACTAAAAGTACAAAAAAAAAAAGCTGGACATGGTGGCCCACGCCTGTAATCCCAGCTACTTGGGAGGCTGAGGCAGGAGAATTGCTTGAACCTGGGAAACAGAGGTTGCAGTGAGCCCAGATTGCGCCTGGGCAACAGAGCAAGACTCCGTCTCAAAAAAAAAAAAAAAAAAAGAAAAAAAAAGAAGTAGTGCCTGGGATGGAACTCCTCTGAGCCTTAAATTCCTTATTCTGCACTCCTCAAGTCAGAGGGTTAGTACAAAAGTCAGATATGTAATGGATCTATATATGCTTGTAAAATATCAGGTTCTTCTTACTATATTTGATTCACTGATCCTCTTTTCAGCACCAAATTGTTTGCTAGATAATTGATTCCAGTCACTCCTTTGGGATGAATGAAGTTGAGTGGAAGGAGGCTAGGTTTCTGTAAACTATGGAGATCTTGCCAAGAGATTGTCTACATCCTCTCTTTATACCGCATTTGACCTGAGGTCATGAGGCCACCAGCTGGAATTTGGAAATATTTTGTTTTTTATGAGAACTTTTGTTTTCATGAGGTGTGACCCAGACCACCGGTCTTGGCATACTATAGCCAAAGAATCTCAGTGTAGGGCAGTTGAGGTCCTCTGCACCCTTGCCGCCTACAGTTGGTCTGTGAACCAGCAGTGTCAGCACTACCAAGTAGAAATGCAGAATTTCACAATACAGCCCAGGTGTATCAAGTCAGAGTCCACATTTTAACAGGATCCCAAATAATAGCTATATACATTAAAGTCTAAGAAGGATGGCTCTACAATATCCCAGTTAGTCATAGTCCACAGCAGCCTCAGCTTAAACAGCTGCCAAGGCAGCCAACTCATTTCCACTTGAGGCAGCCCCTTGTATTGTTGGATTGTTTGGAAGTTCTCCCTTCTGTCATGTTAAAATCTGCATGTCATTGTCACCCACTCAAGGTGACATTTCAGACGTTTCATTCTTCTGAAAGCCCACATAGAAGGTACTTGGAAATGTCCATTTCTTTCCTTTGTGATACGGACACCTTAATCCAGAGGCAGTGAGTGGAGGGTGGGTGGTGTTGGAGCCATACAAGGTCGGCTCCCAGTCACCCGGCAAAGACCTAACGTCCAGAGTCATTGTAGAAGAAGCATGACGTGGCTCATTTAGTTCCGCCTCTTCTTTTACTCCTGTCAGAGTGCAAGGTGACTGGTTTGAGTGGTTGCAGTTTAGAAGGTTTTTGGAGAACTTGAGGAGGCTTCCCAAAAGGACAGGGGTATTGAAATGATGCCTGCAACGGAAGTTAGTCCTGCAGGGCTTGCTAACGGTTGAGGACATTTCCAGGGGAGGTGAACAGGAGAGGGTGGTCTGGTGGAGCGGAAAGAGCAGCTGAGCCACTTTACCTCTTACTGGCTGTGTGATGTTGAGGAATGCATGAAACCCCTCTGAGCATCAGCTTCCTGGGTTTTTTAAGAAAACAATGATAAACCCTGTCCTGCCTGACTCCAGGGTTTCTGAGGGAGTCACTGAAGATGAGGTCAGTGAGCACACTTGATAAGGCAGAAGATGGTCTGAGGATAAAAGACAAGGTCAGTTGGGACAATAGATGAAGCCAGGAGAAAAGCCTACCACTGACTTGATGTGTGACCTCAGGGGAGGCTCCCACTTTTTCTATGTCTCTCTGTGAAACAAGTGGGTCATGCACAAAAGATTTCTAAGCGCCCATCTAGAAGGCCCTGGAGTTGTGGCCTATTGCTTTATTTTTTTATTTTTGAGACAGGGTCTTGCTTTGTCACCCAGGCTGGAGTGCAGCGGTGCAATCATGCTCACTGTGGCCTGAATCTCCCGGGCTCAGTTGATCCCAAGTAGCTGGGACTGCAGGTGTATGCTGCCACATCCAGCTAATTTTTGTATTTTTTTGTAGAGATGGGGTTTTGCTTTGTTGCCCAGGCTGGTCTCCAACTCCCCGGCTCAAGCAGTCCTCCTGCCTTGGCCTCCCAAAGTGCTGGGATTACAGGCATGAGCCACCATGCCTGGCCAGCCTGCTGCTATTATTGCATGTTACCTGGAGGATTTTTTCAAGGATGGCTCTTCAGGGTATTTATTTAGAAAAACTTCCTAGAGCTTGGAATTGAGTCCTGTCTGGGGGACATGGTTCCAAACACTCTCCAAGTGAAGGCTGGCCTCTACAATGGAAGCCCCACTCAAAAGGCAGGTTTGCTTGGCCATGTTTGCACCTGTGTTTCTATGTTAGCATGTGGTACCTGGGTTGGTAAGTGAAGAGTGACAGTTTCGTCACACACAGTCCTATTTCTGGAAGCAAGCTCTGTCCTACAAGCTATCTGAATTCATCTCATACCTCACTGGAGTGTGTCATTTGCAGATTTTTCCAGGGGAATGGTCTTGGTTGGTACTTCATATATTACCAAGGAAGTTTTCAAAAATGTTATTCCCTTTTTCAGTTTTTATAAGTTTCTGAAATACAGCAGACTTGATGGTTCTATGGGCCTGCTCTGCTAGAGGGGGCTTCCAGTCAACAAAATAACCAAAACTGGCTTTGGGTTCAGCCACCTTCCCTAGATGCTTACTAGCTGAGCGTGAGGGGACCAATATGTGTGAAGGGACCTGGCTAAGATGGCCTTTCTGAGTCTCTCTCCTGCCAATCTGGGGACCCTGTGTTGTTCATCCTCACCTCACTGCAGCCATGTTTCCAATTTCCCATTTCATTTCCTGGATGCTTGCTTCTAACTCTACATTTGCATTTTCTTCTGTGCACCCACCCTGTTGTTGTGGAGACTTGGTGGCCATAGGCCGCCGGTATCTGGTGTCATCCAAGCGTGATGGTGTGGTACGTGGATTTGCTCATGCTTTTATTTTGAATCCTTTCCAATGTGACATCTGCTAAAATGTCTCCCTTATAATTTGCTTGGTGATCACAGCTTTCTCATCATTCATTGAGAGCAGGACCAGATCTCACAGAATCTGAAAAGAGCTATGTGGTAAGATGCCTGTTGAATAAGACTGCAGCTTTTCTAAAGAGAATTTTTACTGATCCTTACTTCTGGAATCTAGACTAGAGTGATGCCTGGTTAACCCACAGAAATATTATTTATAAGAATTCTGTGGCTATTGTAGTAGAGCGAGATGTTAGGCCACTGCATTACCCCCAGCCCCTGGAAAAAAGCAGAGGAATTTAGAGACGATATTTCTACTCTGCCTATATGTGGGATTAAATTAATGTATTAGTGCATGATTGGGGATACATACTTGCATTTCTACCCTAAAGTATTCCATTTGTGACAGTTACTCACTAATTTCAGGCTTTTATGCTGCTGCCTTTTTTTTTTTAATATTCTTACTAAATTCCAAATTCTTCTGTATCTTACCTGTTTTTCCATGCTTACGCCTGGATCCCTCCTGCACTCCACTACTGGAATATCTATTTTTTTAACCTGGATCTTCAACTCTGTTTTCTCCCTGGACTTATGTGCTTCGTCTGGAATGTTACATCTCTTCCTCTCTTTCTTTTTTTTTTGTCCCCATGTTGACTGTTTTATTGGGGTTTCTGGATATCTCGGGGCCACCTCACAGGAAGCGGTTTGCAATGAGATCATAAACATTGCCGAAAAATCTGTTCATTACTGCAGCACTGTTTCTCATCCCCTTGACTTTCATCACAAGGTATCCCCTTCTGACAATAAATCATCTTTAATCATTTCTCAGCAACCTCAAGCCCAGCAGCGAAGAGTCACCCCCGACAGGAGTCAAACCTCACAAGATTTGTAAGTACTCCTGGTGAACTTCGATTCTCATGTTCTCAGAGGACTGTTGGTCTTAGAAAGTGGGTCGCTGGCTGAATATGGGGCAGTCATTTGCAGGAATGAGTGAATTACACCCAGGTTCTCTCCTGAGGATTTCTAGTGAAGGCCATGTTCTGCATCAGCCAAGGTGAAAACAGGTGGCAGGTAAATAAAGGCCGTCATAGACTGCTGGGAGAGAGAGACAGGTAAAGATTAACTGCTGTAGAATGTCAAATGAGAGCTGTGCTGACTGGTTTCAGTGCTAGTATAGTGGGAATATAGAGGAAGGAATGGTTAATTCTGACCAGCCGTGAATGAAAGGGTTGCTTCATTCATTCATTCATAAAAAATTATTGGATATCTCCTATGTTTTAAGCACATAGGAGAAAACTCTGTGCACAGAGAAAGAGAGATTTGGACCAAACACTGAAAGACAAATTAGATTCTGAGAGCTAGAAAAGGGAGGAAAATATCTTCCCAGAGGTGAGGACCACATGTGCAAAGGCATAGAGTGGGTGGTATTTGGAGAACTTGAAAGGGCCCGTGTAGCTGCAGCATATGGTTCATGGAAGAGATAGAGATGAAGCTTAGAGGTGGGATGGGACCAGATGGTAGATTCCAGAATGCAGTTGAAGTAAGTTTGGATTTTATTCTGCAGGTACTAGGGAGCCATTGAAGGTTTTTGAAGTAAGGAACATATTGATCATATTTTGTTTTAGGGAGATAACTCTGGCAACAGAGTGGAGGGTAGATTTCATAGATCAGGGACAAAGATGTTTGTTAGAAGACTTCAATCCAGCTAAGAAGCCATGAGGGCCTGAGCCAGGACAAAGTGGGCATTTTGTAACCGTGGAAGTGAGTATAATTACCAACAGAGATACATGTAAAGAAGCCTAGCCAGCCACAGAGACAGAGAAGGGCAACAAGAGATGCCAGTGAGGGTCTAAGACGTTCACTTTCACAGAACAGCTACAGCATCTGGTCAGCAGTGTCACCTGCCCCAGAGAGGCCAAGAGTGGGAAATGAGAAATGTCCACCAGGCATTTTCCATGGCAACTGGAAAAATCCCTGGTGACCTCTGATACGGCAGTATTAGTGTTGGTAGGGGTGGTGGCAGGTGCTGTGTTAGGAAGGGTCAATGGTGAGTGGAAGGCGGGGGGCTATAGATCAAGGGAATAGCAGAGTCAGGGGAGGTGTTTTTAGGGTGCAGAGACAAGCAAATTTTACCAGAGTAAAATGCCAGTTAATGCAAATAAGATGTAAGTGAGGCCAGGTGCGGTGGCTCACACCTGTAATCCCAGCACTTTGGGAGGCCAAGGTGGGCGGATCACGAGGACAAGAGATCGAGACTGTCCTGGCCAACATGGTGAAACCCTGTCTCTACCAAAAATACAAAAATTAGCTGGGCGTGGTGGCATGCGCCTGTAGTCCCAGCTACTTGGGAGGCTGAGGCAGGAGAATCACCTGAACTCCCGAGACGGAGGTTGCAGTGAACCAAGACTGCGCCATTGCACTCCAGCCTAGAGACAGAGTGAGACTCTGTTAAAAAAAAAAAAAAAAAAAAGTAAGTGAAGGAAGAGCCCAGGAAGGGGGTTCAACGTGGCTTGGAGAAGGGACCTTTCTTTCCTCACATGTGTGAGCAGGGGCAGGAAGGTGAGTGGAGGCACAGAGACTTAAATCTGGAGGGGAGGAGGATTAAGGTGCTGTCCACAGCAAGCTTCCATCTCCAGAAGTGGGGGCAGAGTGAGAGCTCTTGGCTGAGCGTGGGGCACCAGGATTGGCAAGAGAGCTGGGGGAAGGACCCCATGGGACAATGTTCTGAGGAGTATGAGGTTCATCCCAAATTAGAGCTGACTGGGGTACCCAAGCAGCAAGAGTGTGGGACTTTGTCCAGCCAGTCTCCACTGTCTGGGAGTGAAAATAGAGAAGCAGATATTGGAGTTATTTCCCAGGGCTGAGGCTGGCAAAGCAGCCATGGTGGGAGTTAAAGGGCCCAGGCATTCTAAGAAGCTGGCAAGGGGCATGTGTTGGGAGGCCAGTAGGAGACTCCAAATTGAGTAGGAGACAGCAGGCAAATACAGAAACATGAAAAAAAAAAGTGTTTATTTACCAATTGGAAATTGATCTGCATCTCTTAATTCCTCATTTGAGACCTTCCTTCTGGCAACCAGATCCATCCTCCAAATTATCAATACATTTGGATAAATATGGAAAGTGAAGTTGTCCCTCTGGTTTTAGCAGAGCAGAATGAACCTCTTGTTTTTGAGAACTGACTCCACTTGCTTGTTTCTAGTCTTTCTTGCTTGCACACTGGAATTCATTGACATCTACTGGAAATGGTAGATGACTGGCTCATTTACAGTTTTGCCTGCTACTGTCTTGTCTCAAAATAGTAAACAGAGTTGTGAAGTTGGTACATAGTAGGTGCCTCTTATGTATTTGTTGAAGAAATAAATAAAAACAAAGCTTTTCCTTGATGCCAAAGCAAGGATCAGATTTCACCACAAGCAGTCCAGCTGTCTCCAGTGGCTGCTAGAACAGACAAAACAGCACAGACCCAATGCCTTAGGCCAACTAGCAAGTAAATAAAAATCTTGCCCTCAATGCTCACTGGGATAGAAAAAAGAAAAAAGCTTTCAAGGGTTTCAGAAAAATGACATCCACATTTAAAAGCAGTGAATGAAATGTGTTTAGGCATGTAAAGAAACTCAAGATAGTTTTGCTAAACAGTGAGGCAATTGGAATGTACTTTTAATAGCATATATATAGCTATTATATATGGCTATTATACACACACTTTTTTTAAAAAACAAATGTTTTATGTTCTCCATATATATGACCAGAATGTAATGTCTCTGGGCCCAAATAACTTCTGATTATGCTTGATAATCTACATATATTATCCTGTGTTAAGGAAAAGGCTTAGTTTACTTTAAAGCAGGGGTCCCCGATCCCCAGGCACTACCACCTGGGCTCTGCCTCCTGTCAGATCAGCAGTGCATTAGATTCTCACAGGAGCGTGAACCCTATTGTGAACTGCACATGTGAGGGATCTAGGTTACGCCTTCCTTATGAGAATCTAACTAATGTCCTGATGGTTTCATCCCAAAACCATCCCCCCCACCCCACCCCATCTGTGGAAAAATTGTCTCCCACAAAACCAGTCCCTGGTGCCTAAAAGGTTGGGGACCACTGCTTTAAAGGCAGAGGTCAGAGTAGAGTAGGAAGTGCTCTAGATAAAAAGGCTTGGCTGTGGTAACCAAATGAAGCGAAATAAGAGTGATCATGGCTTGCTTGTCAGAAGTTCTCCATCCCTCAGTCTTAATTATATGTTGAATGCATCTCCCCAAATGCTAAGTTATTAGGGAAATAGTCAATAAAATGCTTTTATCCCTACTGATAAGTAGGAAACACTGCTGAAAAGTTTATTGAACTTGAAATGGAGTTTAAAAATTCCTTATTTAATCCTGTCGACATTTGAGTCACTTACTATTCATTTTTTTCATGTATAGATTTAGCTATCAAGCATTATATAGCTATATACCACAGAATGATGATGAGTTGGAACTCCGCGATGGAGATATCGTTGATGTCATGGAAAAATGTGACGATGGATGGTTTGTTGGTAAGAATCTCATCATGCTTTTCTTACTAGTTGTGTATTGAGGGAATAACAGGGGGCGATGAGCCATGCAAAAAGCAAAGCAATCTCCTCTGCACAGAAAGAAGAGCCTTCTCAGATTTTTATGACCTTGGAAATTCTGGGCCACCAGTCTGTGTTGCTATTATGATGGTGTGGATGTTGCTAATGTTGAACCTGAAACCAAATCTGCTGCACAGAAGAGCAGTTGTCAGATTTATTAATTGGGTTTCCATTTATTTTTTATATTTATTTATTTATTTATTTATTTATTTATTTATTGAGACAGAATCTCACTCTGTTGCCCAGGCTAGAGTGCAGTGGTGTGATCTCGGCTCACTGCAACTTCTGCCTCCCGGGTTCAAGCAATTCTCCTGTCTCAGCCTCCCGAGTAGCTGGGACTACAGGCGCCTGCCACCACGCCCAGCTAATTTTTTTATTTTTGGTAGAGGTGGGGTTTCACCTTGTTGGTCAGGCTGGTCTTGAACTCCTGACCTCAGGTGATCCACCCACCTTGGCCTCCCAAAGTGTTGGGATTACAGGCATAAGCCACCGCACCCGGCCCTAGTCTCCACTTATATTTATATTGTGCATGTGTCTATTTTGCATTTGGAAATTTTATTTTTAAAACCCTTATGAAATAACACAAGAAAATGTTGACTGAGCCTATGTCTCTACCATGAAACTCAGGCATACGTGTAGACATTCTAAAGACCTTATTTACTCCAGGCTTTCAATAATATTAGTCAAAGCACCCTGCTTAATTAAAGGATTTGCCTTTACAAGGAGAGAGATCAACATTTATTGAGATTCTATTACAAAGCAGACACTGTGTTTGATATGCTTTTATTGACGTTCTCTCAACAAACAGCCCTGTAAGATAAGAATTATCCTCATTTATCAGATTCAAAAACTGAGGCCCAAAGAAGTTAATTAACTATGCCAAGATCACCAGGGTAGCAAATAGTGGGGCCAGGATTTGAACTCAGGCCACCCATCTCTCCTGAAATCTGTGTTCTTTCTGCTCAGGCATGAATATAATGTTGGGAGATATTGACCCACTCTGCCTCAGTTTCTCCCTGTACAAGTGGCTTTACCTTCACCTTCTTTCCAAAGACCAGCCCTTCCCTGATTTTTCTGGCAAAGCTTTGCTAAAGCAAAGTAATATCAGGGCTGGGGTGGTAAGGACAGCAAGACCTCAACATGAATGAGAAGTCAGTAAGATTTGCCTTGTCCTCACCAGCCTCTTAGAGAACTACCCCATCCTCCCGAGGTCCTCAGAAGCCCACGGCCCTCACTACTTTGAGTCGTCTGTTCAGTAGAAATCAGGTCTGAGAAGTCAGTGACCACTCTGGTGCAGTGCAATCCAATAGAAATGCAATGTAAGCCATGTGTGAAATTTAAAATTTTCTAGAAGCCACATTGAAAAGAAGTAAAAAGAAACCAGTGAAATTAATTCTAATGTATTTTGTAAACCCAGTGCATTCAAAATGCTACCATTTGAACATGTAATCAATATTAGAAATGGTTAATGATTTATTTTACAGACATCTTTTCATACTGTCTTTGAAACCCAATGTGTATTTTATAGTTACAGCACAGCTCATTTCAGACTAGCTACATTTCAAGTGCTCAGTAGTCACACGTGGCTATCATTTTAGAGAGTGCAGCACTAGTATGCAATAGCTGTTAAACTCGTTCAGGAATATATATATTTTTTATGAGAACTTAGGTGTGGGAAGGAGCACCAGTTCTCTAATGAAGGCCTGCCAGGCAGCTGGGTAAAGGAAATATTTTGGGATGAGTATCTTCCTTGCATCCCTGAACTCTTCACTTGCTTCTTTTTTTTTTTGAGATAGAGTCTTGGTTTGTCACCCAGGCTCGAGTACAGTGGCACAAACTTGGCTCACTGCAAGCTCCACCTCCCGGGTTCAAGTGCTTCTCCTGCGTCAGCCTCCCAAGTAGCTGGGACTACAGGCCCGCATCACCACGCCTAGCTAATTTTTATATTTTTAATGGAAATGGGGTTTTACTATCTTGGCCAGGCTGGTCTCGAACTCCTGACCTCAAGTGATCTGCCTGCCTCAGCCTCCCAAAGTGCTGAGATTGCAGGCGTGAGCCACCATGCCCAGCCTCCTCGGTCACTTTGAAAAGTAGCATTTTCAAACTACAAATAAAGTAGCCTTAGCAGAACTCATTTTTCTCATCCATAAGGAAAGATACTAACTAGCTATGTGGCCCTAGGCAAGGTTCTTATTATCTCTGGACCCTACCATCTCAGTTCTCTAACCTTCTTGGCCATTCTCCATAGGAGTTCAACTAGATGTTTTAGGTTTCCTAAGCTTTAACATATTTTTTTAGCTTAGAAGTTTCACTTTGGGTAGTAATTCCAACCCATTGGTAGTGGCTGCTTGAGATGTGTACAACAGGATTCCGAAGCCAAATCTAAGCCAATTGTGATAAGGGTGCAGTTATCAAATTGGGATGTCTGCTAAAGAAACGATAATGATGATACAACATATATTTGCCACTCCTGCTTTAGAGAGAGAATCCCAAGGGAAGGAACTAGATTAAGGATCAGCAGTGCTGCATCTGGAGCAGCCCAGGAAGGGCTTTGTTCCCAGATGGCTCAATGCTCCTGGCTTAGCAGGAGCCCTAACAAGGTTAGTACCAAAGATAGGGACTCAACTGGGGGCTTAGGCACAAGCTGGATAGGAATTTCCTTTTGATGGGTGGCCATAGTCAGTGGGCTTTTAGAAACTGCATGGTTTAGAAAATCTAAATCTCAGGTATCTTCTTGTGTCAGATAAATGTATGAACTCCTCCACAAAGCAGAAGTGTTGGAAAGAGCAATGGACTGGGAGTCAGAAGACCTCGGTTCAGATTCTGCCTCTGATAGTTACTAAGCAGTGGGACCTCAGACATGTTACTTCTACTCTCTGAACCTGGGTTCCTTCTGAAAAACAGGAGTACTAGAAATGCCTACATTGCTTACCGCCCAGCATTATTTGGCAGCCTAAGTGAGATAAGATAGGGGAAAGTACTTTGGAAACCATACGGTATTCTCTAAGCTGCAGGACTGTTACAAGGGGTTTTGGAGCAGAAATCTCTGCAGCGTGCTGTCTCAACTCAAGCGAGTGGGTCTTCTCATGTTTTGTATGTGTGTGTTTTTTCATAGGTACTTCAAGAAGGACAAAGCAGTTTGGTACTTTTCCAGGCAACTATGTAAAACCTTTGTATCTATAAGAAGACTGAAAACCATGGAGATTATTTTTATTGGAGGAGGAAGCATCATTCATGAACCGATCTTTTTAGTTGAGTCAGTAGGAAAATTAATACAGTGGATAAAGTAAGAAGCAAAAGACAGGGACAGAGAAGTGTTGTGTTTAAAACCCAAGCCTGTCTAAGGTTACTGTGTATTAGACAGGGCCGAACTAGTGTGCTGAGCAAAAAGAATTGAAGCAAATTGTATTTACTTAGCCGCTTCTGGGAGCCACTTCAGCCTTTCCCCTCCCCTCCACTTCTTGGGTAATCTGACCTGAAGCATAGTCCAGGAGCAGAGTTAGCCAGAAATGCCTCCTGCTGCCCCAGCCTTAGAGAGCTCCCATCTCAATCATTGAGCCTGAAGGCTTCAAGCCCAAGAATGCAACAAGACCCCCAGCCTACATTTCTCAGCTCCCCTGGAGCCAGCTGATCCTGTAACGCTGCTGGAGGTCAGTCTGAGCTACCAAGACTGTCCCTAGACAAAGGTGGAGTCCCCCACACTGCCCAAGACCAAATCCCTCACTCAACCTGCTGAGGTGTGGATGGGGAAACAGAGGCAAAACTGAGGCACCTGATGCATTCAGCCTGCTGTGCAGCAGTGCCATTGACTGCCCTGATGTTCAGAGAGAAACGCACACAAGGTTTGCCCATGAGAATTGGGGAGCAGATGGCCAAGCAGATAGGTTATGTCTGTTTTCTGAGTGATGAAGTCAGGAAGCCCTGTGGCTCTGGAGGCCACTTGTGGTTCATTCTTTTCCCATATCCTTGGCTTTTAGAAATGGTTACCTTCAGGACAGTGCAGCTGCATTTATCAGAGCACTATTGCTAAGTTTTCTTTTCTGGCTTGTGTTTTTCTGGGACAGTTTAGAATTGGGAGGCCTATTCTCATAGAACACCAAAAATGATGTTCAGTGATTCATTTAACATACACCAATGTACTCTGGCTGCTGGGGGGACAACCATAAGCAAGACATGCCCAGGGTTTGCCGTGGCTCCAGATCTACTCCCTGTAGGAGTTCAAGGATCACACAAACGGTAGTAACCAGGGTTGTGAATCTGAGTACACCCTGGCAAGGCTTCTCTTCAGACTGAAGCAGCAATTCTGCCACTACCAGCAGCAACCAGGACGTCTGTTCTTTGTGGGGGCCAGATCAGAAGAGAGAGGCCCCTGTGACGCCCGGGCTGCTTGGTCACAACTCTGTCCAATTCAAGGATGTTTATCGGCCTCTCTTAGATCCTGAGTGAGACAAATACAGAAATGACCCATTCCCTGCCCACCAGAAACTCAGAGGTGATTGGGGAGACTGACACAGGAAAATGAACTTAATCAAGAGAGACTGTGATATGTGCTAAGAAGGGTGTGAGGGAGGGAGAGATGAATTTTCCCTGGAGGGATCCTAGAAAGCATTGTCATATTGCCATCTCCATTAGCTCACTTTTAAACAACTAGGGTGCTGGAAGAACCTTTGTCTGAGGGTAGTTCATAGCTGGAAATACTTGGAATATTTTCCAGAGTCTCTAAACTCTCATCTTCCCCCACAGATACACATCCAAGCTCACAAATAGGAGTAGCAATTCTAGGTGGTAGGGTTGTGTACGGAACCCCTGGCTGTCTGCATATATCTCAGAATTACCCCAGGACCATTGTCCCAAAGTCTAGAGTCTTTACAGGTAGGCAAAATTTGTTTTCAATGCCTGTGCCTCAGCTGCTGTCACAAATACCCATCTTAGGATCCCATCAGCTTCCCATCCCCCACCAGACAGCCACAGTACCCTCACTTTCTCCCTATTGTTCTTTCAAATCCTGTTCTCAGGAAAGAAACTGCCACTAATTCATTCACACTAAGGTGTAAATGATTGATAATAGGAATGAGTTACCTCTTCCCACAGACATTTGTTTTTAAGTATGACAGAGCAGGGCCTTAATCCCAAGGGAAAAGGTTATGGAACTGGAGGGGGTGAGCTTTCTGGGTAGAAGGAGACTTCCTGAATTTCCTTAAAACCCAGTAAGAGTAAGACCTGTTGTTTTGGAAGGTCTGCTCCACCATCTAAGAGCACTGTTTTTTTTTTTTTGTTGTTGTTGTTGTTTTACGGTCTCTGAGGGAATATAGTAAAAATGCATATGCACGTGCAATTTGCACGGCAGCATTTCACCGATTGTGGACTGTATTGGCTAATGTGTTTCCTGGTCTTTAGATGCAAACCATTAATAACACTATCTTATCTCATAGTTTTTTCAGGGGTGCTTCTTGATTAGTAGGGAATTTTGAACACCTCTTTAAATACAGCTAGAAAATAAAACCAATTTGTAAAGCCACATTTGCATATGATGCCAGCCTCACGCATTTGTATATCTCCAGAAATTCAGGTATGCCTCACCAATTTGCCCGTCTTTAATAAAATCTTGTGTTAAAATTTGCATCACGTCGCCTTCCTATGTATGACGAAACAAGAAACAGAGATTTCCAATTGCTCTTTTGTCTTCAGACATTTAGTAATATAAAGTACCTATTTTTATGCTGAAATGTTTATACAGGTTTATTAATAGCAAGTGCAACTAACTGGCGGCATGCCTTGCAACACATTTTGATATATTAGCCATGCTTCCGGGTAAAGGCAAGCCCCAAACTCCTTATCTTTTGCAGTCTCTCTGGGATCAGTAAAAGAAAAAAAAAATAATGTGCTTAAGAAGTGGGACTGTAAATATGTATATTTAACTTTGTATAGCCCATGTACCTACCTTGTATAGAAAAATAATTTTAAAAATTTGAATGGAAGGGGGTAAAGGAAGTCATGAAGTTTTTTTGCATTTTTATTTAAATGAAGGAATTCCAAATAACTCACCTACAGATTTTTAGCACAAAAATAGCCATTGTAAAGTGTTAAAATTTACGATAAGTATTCTATTGGGGAGGAAAGGTAACTCTGATCTCAGTTACAGTTTTTTTTTCCTTTTTAATTTCATTATTTTGGGTTTTTGGTTTTTGCAGTCCTATTTATCTGCAGTCGTATTAAGTCCTATTGCTAGAATAGGTTACTACAAAAAAGGTTATATTCTGAAAGAAAAATAACTGACATTATATATAACCAATTAATTTAAAGTATTGCCATTTAAATTACACACTGAGAGCATGTCCTATGCAGACATAGATTTTTCTGTTCATTTATTTTTCTTCATTGCAGTGGATTGATTTGATAAATAGATGTGTTGAATTACTACATTTGCTGTACATATTATTTAATAAACTTTATTCAGAATTGCGTGGCATATGTTTGTTCTGGTCATTCATTGTTTCTTTCCTCCCTTTGCCAAGCTTCTCAAATGAAGCTTAAATTCACTGCTTCAATTTCTTATACCCTCCTTTCCATCCTTAATCATTTACCATCTGCCTTCTGCCGCCTCCTTGAAGACACCACTTCTTACCTTACTTTTTTCTCAATAACCTAACTCCTGACCCTCTGAATTAATTGATTACTGTTGACCATTTTGCCATTATTTCTAAAATATGTTCGTATTTGTTCTGATAACAAAAGTGATGCACAAATGTCTTTAAAAACAAAAGTAAAACATTATAAAATATGTATAATGGGTCTAGATTTGCTTTATAAAACATGGGTATGGGAAATGACATAGCACTTTGTTTTTCTAAATCAAATTAATCTGGCTATGAGTCCTCTCTTGGTATGGGTGGGCGAAAATGCAATCTGTCCTTTTTCTCCTCCAAACCAAATGTGTTAAGGCACTAGGCATGCAGTCTCCCCTGGCATCCCGTGGCTACAACTACTGCCATCTTAGTCTGGGATGGGGTCTGCTGCACACAAGGCATGGATCTGTCCCCTAATAGGAAAGCTCACGCCTCTACCCTCTCCCCCTGGGTTCTGTCCTCCACCTCCAACTCAAAGCACCAGTTTGCAGTGCTGCCTCTGGGGTAACTCAGTGTACTTGGGCCTCCCCTGGGAGAGGGGCCTAACAGTCTCTTGTTTCAAGGGTCTGACAGTCCTTAACACTAGGTCCTGAATCACAGGCCCTATGAACCCTTGTCTCCAACAAATCCATCAGCTTACCTCCTAACTACATTTAGAACCCAGCCATTTCTACCATCGTAGCCCAAGCCATTTTCTCTCACCTGGATCATCGCAATAACTGTCTAACTGGCCTCCCTGCTTCTGCTATTGCCCCTCTAGTCTAGACAGAGCAACCACAGTGATCATCTTAACGTTGGTCCAAAACCCTCTAGTGGCTTCTCATCTCGCTAATGTGGTACAATGGCAAGTCCATAGACATACTGCTCCTCCCCTCCCCCTAACCCCTGAATTCATCTCCTTCATTCCAGCCACACAGCCCTCTTTATGGCCTCAGACTCATTAAGCACATTTGAGGTTCAGGGTCTTCATGTTTGCAATCCCCTGTGCCTGGAAGGCCCTTTCCCCAAGAGCTGCATGGTTTTCTTCCTCCTTTAGGTCTTCCTGTTGTCTTCTCAATGAGGCTTTTCGTGACTACTTTACATACATCTAGGAACCTATTGTCCCCACCCCCTGCATTCCATCCCCCTCTTCCTCCTCTGTTTCTCCATAACACTTATCACCATCTGAAATTTGTCTCCACAAGCAATCCTGTAAAATCCATGGGGTTAGTGACTCTGTTTTGCTAATATATGCCTGGCACCAAGAAGAGAGTCTAATGTGGCACTCAATCCTTTGTTTATCAAATAAACAGATAAATAAGCCCTTGAGGCCAGAGATCCTAGAACTCAGAATATGTTCTACCAACAATGAAAGAAGGGAAACCATTTTCTTACAGTGGCAGAAACAATGAATTAATCTTTCAAATTATGCTGGTTTCATACAAACATAGAAAGTGAAAGTTCTCCATAATAACACTCCTCACAGAGATCACTCCTATATATGGTCCTCCCAGCTTGCTTTTCTACACATACTAAACACACACGTCTCTAAAATGCTTTATGTAGTCTCATACACTTTTACTTTCCTTTAGTAGAACTTGGACATGTTTCCATAACTTACTTAACCCATCCTCTATTGATGATGCAGGTATTTAAGGTTATTGCCAGCTTTTTACAACAACAATGCTGCTTTGAGTAAAATTATTGGCTTAAAGAGCAGGAACATTTCAAACCTTAAGAGATTTCCAAATTGACTTCCCAAAAATTCCAATTATACTCCCACCAAGTCCATGGAAGTGTGTTTCCCACCACCCAATTAAAACTACTACATTGTCCGCTTCCATGAATTGGGGCTCCTTGGTTCACCCGCTTTTGACTGGCCAACCCCTTCTTCATCCTCTTTCTAGATCTTCACTGCATCCTCAGCCCTCTGTTATTTTATCTCAATACATGCTCCTGCGGAGAGCAGATCTCTCCCAATATAATTACGGCCCAAAGAGTCAATTGTGGGAGGGCCCTTTCAATGATTAAATGGTAGAAGCTTAGGCCGGGCGCAGTGGCTCACGCCTGTAATCCCAACACTGTGGGAGGCCGAGGTGGACGGATCACCTGAGGAGAGGAGTTTGAGACCAGCCTGACCAATATGGTGAAACCCCATCTCTACTAAAAATACAAAAATTAGTCAGGCGTGGTGGCGTGTGCCTGTAATCTCAGCTACTCAGGAGGCTGAGGCAGGAAAATCGCTGGAACCCGGGAGGCAAAGATTGCAGTGAGCCGAGATCGTGCCACTGCACTCCATCTCACAAAAAAACAAAAACAAAACAAAACCTAACACTACTGCATTGGCTGAGACATACCAAAGGGCGTTAGAACTAGTCTCAGTCAGGAGTTAATCCAGAGACTCAAACTTTCTCATCAGTATTTGTCTTATTCTTGGCGTTTTGTTTGGCTACATTTTCACCTACTGAATGCAGCAGTGGGAAACATGGCTGCAAGCTGCTCCAGCCTCCTTCCAGCTCTCTGACTCCAAATTCTCAAGGCAAAAGGACCTTCCTATTTGGCTTTCCCTGAAAACAACTCCAGATGCTGGCAGGCCCAGCCTGGATATTTACTCTTCCCTAGACTAATCACTTTGACTAAAGAGGCAACTTTACTTGTAAAAACCTTTGTGGCTTTTGGCCAGGCATGGTGACTCACGCCTGTAATTCCAGCACTCTGGGAGGCCGAGGTGGGTGAATTGGCAGCTCAACCAAAACCTCAAAGAATGAGGGAGAGGAGTGGCTGGGCGAAGGGGTGTCTGCTCTAAGAAGGGGAAAAGGAAACTGGACAGATAACAGCTCAATGGTCCACTGGACTTGGAGAGTTATTGTAACACACTTTGAAAATGGAACACTATTGTCCTGTCCCAGTATAAACTTCAGTGTAGTTGAAAGCAGGCTATGTGCTGAAGTTTTGCTAGCCAAGGTCTTGACAAGAATACAGTGGGAGGAGAAGTCCCAGAGGAGGGGGCCAATGCGACCAGGGGGGCACAGCACAACCGTATCTCATGCTAAAAATATCAGACTCTAATGGAAGGGAACAAAGTTGATGTCTCAGAAGTCACAGAGGATGTTTGGATGAGTTGTACGTGGGAGTATTTTTCCAAGTCTTAGCACATAGAAACCACATCTGTCTCAGGAACACTTAACCAGGTCTTTTAGGACAAATCAAAGAACTTATCACTTGATACAGGTAATTTTTGGAACAAATTAGCCAACAAAGTGGTTCAGATTGAAAATATTATAGAACATTTAAGATAAATCCATAGATGCAAAAATCCATAATGAGAAGCTCTGAATGACCGTGTGACACTATGAAGTCTGTCCCGGAGGACAACTGCACTGGTCTTCCAGGACCCTCACTCTAGCCTTGTCAGGGGCAAAATATTGAGTAGATTAAGAGTCTCTCTACCTTTAGGGTTTACTTGTTTTTCAAGTAATATCTGACAAACAGACGAATCTGCAAAAGGGAGATCAAATCATCTTCAATAGTAGCATAATGTAAATCGATGATCTCAAAGCTTGGTTCATGGTCACTTTGGAATCTCCAAGCCCTTTCAGGAGATTCATAATGTCAGAACTATTTTCAAATGATGTGAAGCTGCTTGTGGTAGTCAGCGTCCAAAGATGCCTCCAGTCACCCTCACCTCTTGGTATTCAGGCTCTTGTGTGATCCCCTTCCCCATTCTATGAGGGTTGGTCTGTGTGATCAATAGAATGTTGCAGAAAAGTGACAGCATATCACTTCCAAGGTTAGGTTGTAAAATCCTTTATGGCTTTTGGCCAGACATGGTGACTCATGTCTGTAATCCCAGCACTCTGGGAGGCCGAGGTGGGTGGATCACCCGAGGTCAGGAGTTCGAGACCAGCCTGGCCAATGTGGTGAAACCCTGTCTCTACTAAAAATACAAAAATTAGCCGGGCATGGTGGTGGGTGCCTGTAATCCCAGCTACTCGGGAGGCTGAGGCACAAGAATCGCTTGAACCTGGAGGCAGAGGTTGCAGTGAGCCGAGATTGTGCCACTGTGTTCTAGCCTGGGTGACAGAGTGAGACTCCATCTCAGAAAAAAAGAAAAAAAGAAAAACCTTTGTGGCTTTTGTCTCATGCTTGGATCACTCACTTGAGGAGGAGTGGACTACAGTTTAGAACTTCTAAGTTCTGGTATTTTGTTGTGTTGGATACATGCACTAATTCCTGAAAAAAGGAGAAGTATTGGAAAGAACAATGGGCTGGCAGTCTGAAGACCTGAGTTCAAATGCCTCTTAGGCTTACATACATTGTGAGACCTCAGAAATGCCACATAGGCTGTCTTGAGTTTTTTCATCTAGGAGGGAAAGATGCCTGGACCAAAGTGAGATCCTTCTAGGAAGGAGGAAGAAAAAGGATGTTTGGAAGGCAATCTGCAATGTCCACATTGGAGCTCCCCAGTCATTCTATTGCCTACTGTATACCAGCACTTTCCATGTGTTATCTTTTAATAGCACCTCGGTGAGGAAGGTATTCTTATCTCCACTGACAGGTGAGGGAACTGAGACTCAAAGGAGTTCAGCCCCAGGGTATATGTGCAAGTACATGGCTTCAGTCTGACTCCAAAGCCAGGGTCCTTTCCATTGATCACACTCTACTGCCTGCAAGGCACAGAGCTGGGACAAGACTGTGGACCAGTATACCTCTGGATCACCTAAAGCTTACCAAAAGACTATAACATCTTCAAAAGCAACCTCATTGAATAATAGTGATAACCATTAGATGAGCACCTACTACGTGCTTGAACATTGAAAGTTGCATTAAAGGTCTATGTCCCTCCTTGGTCAGTCTTCTGCCAGAGCCGAGACAGCAGCAATGGCATAGAAGAAATCTGCCAATTTCATGTCATCTTATTCTCCAGCACTCACAAACCTCTCAGAAGTGTGGTCCGGCCTCGAACCTGTATTGCCTGACCACTAGTCTGAACCCTTTGTCACCTGCACTGTGGCTCCCATATGTGGTGTTATAGATCTGCAAAGCTAAAAGTGAACAAAAATTTGCACTCTTATTTTCTGTGTCAATTAAGAATAACTCCAGCTGCAGTAACATATGGCCGAATAAATGCCAGCTTATGTGACGCAGATGTGTCTCATTATCTCGTGGAAAAGAAGACAGGGCTCTGGGTTAGTATGTCCCCTGGCCTTTGTCTCATAATGGCAATCTGGCTACCATGGCAGTTCCAAGCACCACATCCTCATACAACTGCTTTTGAAGGTTGGAAGCAGGGAGCAACAACACAGGACAGAGGTTTTATCTTTGCAAGTTTTCCCTCATCAGGGAAGAAAAATCTTTTCCAAAAGCACCCCCCACCAACCCACCCCGCATCTCATTGGCTAGAGGTGACCATGGGGCTACTCCTAACTACTAAGAAATTGCTTCGAGGAAGTGGACCAGGCAGAGAGGACTGGGAGTGGCTTTGAAGTAGCCAACCAGGGGTGGGTTTTGTAAGCAAGTCCTTTCTGTATCTTTTTCTTAGGTTTCTGTGAGATCTTCCTGCCTCTTCCCTCAGTTTCTTTGAGTTCTTTCCTGGCTTCTCACCTTCTTCTCACTCCCTAAATAGGAACGTTTCCAAGTTTCTCTCTGTAATCTGTTAGCTGCGCAATCTTATCTATTCCCTTTGTTTCAAATATCACCTCTCTGCAAATTACTTGTTTCCACCTTTTAAATTAAACAAAACAAAGTTATTAGCTAAACTTTAAGAAGTAAAACAAACTGAAAACTTGTATAATCAGCCAGGCGCGGTGGCTCACGTCTGTAATCACAGCACTTTGGGAGGCCAAGGCGGGTGGATCACTTAAGGTCAGGAATTCCAGACCAGCCTGGCCAACATGGTGAAACCCTGTGTCTACTAAAAATACAAAAATTAGCTGGGAGTGGTGGCACGTGCCTGTAATCCCAGATATTCGGGAAGCTGAGGTAGGAGAATCACTTGAACCTGGGAGGCAGAGGCTGCTGTGAGCTGAGATGGTGCCACTGCACTCTAGCCTGGGTGGCAGTGAGACTCCATCTAAAAAATAAATAAATTGTATAATCACCACTGCTGAGACATAACCTTTTTAAAGTGCTCTGCCAAACATATATATAGGTGATATGTGTATAAACTGCTTTTTTTACTTACTAGATTAAAAAGTCCTTTCTTGACAACATATACTCATGTCTGCATCATCATTGTAATGATTACATGATATTCTGTAGTATGAACATGACATGGTATATTTAGCAACCCTCTATTATTGATACTTGGGATGTTTTCAATATTTTGCCATTATGGAGAATTCTATAATGAACATCCTTTTCCATACTCTTGACACTTTGAATGGCTACTTTTTTTCCAGATAAATTCCTAGAGTGGAATTGCTAGATCAAAGAGTATGCTGTATTTAAGAATTTCGACACCTACATTTTTGTCATCTGACTGTTGACAAGACCTGTCGGTTCTTCCTTGAAAATTATCTTGGGTTTGTCCTTCCTCTCTGTCTCTGAGAATCATCACCTTACACCCTCCCTCAACTGATACCATTGCCTGAAATCTCTTCTTCTATGATAAAATTCTTCCTACTCACAAAATGGTTGTGGATTTAGAGGTGCCCTTGTCACCTTCAGTTTGGGAGTCCAATTACAGGTGAACAAGACTTTAGTATTTTTGCAAAGTTTCCAGAGAATTGAAGAGCGGGTCCTTAACACAGGGCATTGGGAGTCAAGGAAGGCGGCTGTGGTAAAGGGGGCATGCTTAGCAAATTATGGGAGAAAAAGCCCAGATGGGACCAAGGAAAGAGGGGGAATCAAGGAAGAGAGAGAAGCTTTCCAGAAGAGCTGCAAAAAGAAACGTGACAGGTAGGAAGTTAAGCTTTAATCCTCTGGGCATTGTAAGGTCAACCCAGGGCAGGGTCAGGCCATAAAGGAGAGTAACAATAGTGCCCCATTTACCTAAGAACAATGAAGGGCCCTGTATACAATTACAGCGGCCTTTCTATGACCCTGCTGAGAAGGTCTACACCCCTCTTTTTCAGTTAAGGAAAAACCTCTCTCGTTCCTTCTCCTCCTCCAGCTCCTGCCTCATTTCTCTCATTCCCTTTAAGGTAAAACACCTCAGAAAAGCTGTCGATGCTGGCTATCTCCAGTTCTGGTCCTCTCATCCTCTCTTGAACCACTCTGTTTAGGATTTTGACCCCTTGCCTTAACAAAACCATTCTCTTAGGACACTCAATGACCTTCCCAGTATTAAACCCCATGCTTGACTTTCAGTTCTCAACTTCCTTGACTTTTCAGCAGCATTTAGGACACTTGACTTTTCCTGCCTCCTGCAGAGGCTTTCTTCACCTGCTTGCAGATGCACCCTCTCTAGGTTCTCCCTGCTCCTTCTCAGTGTCCTTTGTTAGTTCCTCCTCATTTCCCAGGCTCCACCCTTGGCCTCCACCTTTTTTCCTACTTCCTGGTGCCCTCATCCACTCTTGTGTCTGAATGTCCTCTATATGCTGATCTCTTGCCTGGACTCTCCCCTGGAATCCAGACTCCTATATACAACCGCCTGCTCTACATCTCCACTGAAATATCTCATGGGTGCCTGAAACTTAAATATATCCAAAACTAAATTCCTAAACTCAGCAGTATCCCCAAAAGCTGCTGCTTTCCCTTTTCAGTTAATGGCGATTCCATCCTGTAGCTGCTGTTCAGGCCAAAAAACATGACTCATCCTCAAACATCCCTCCTATACCTTACTTCCTATCCCTCAGCAGATGCTTTAAAATATAGCCAGGATCCAAGCACTGCTGCAAACTCCTCGACTCCCACCCTGGGCCCAAGCCAGTCATCAGCTCTTGCCTGGATGATAACAACAGCCGGTTACTGCTCCCCTGCTTCTGCGGCTTGCCTCCTCCATCTGTTTTCAACACAGCAATCAGAGTGCTGAAAACGTAAGTCAGGCCATGTTCATCTTCCGCACAAAGCCCTCATGACCTTCCCTCCTACTCCTGGTGCTTCTCAAATGCCCACGAGGCGCTGCCCATTCAGACTCTCTGTTATTTCTCTGACTTCATCTTCCCCACTTTCCCTCACTCCCTCAGCTCCTGCCCCACTGGCCATCTTGCTGGTGAATGCTCCAGGCTTGTTCCTGTCTTTGAGCTTATTATTTCCTGCACATGGACTGCTCGTCTTCCAGATATCTCCATGGATTGCTCATTCACCTTATTCAGTCTTTCCTTAAATCACTTTCCCGGAGAAGTCTTCTTTCATTACTCTTATTGTTGGCATTTGCTTTATTTTTGACCCTGCTTCCATAGAACATAACAGCATCTGTTGTACCATATATATATGTATATAGTTTTATACACACACACACATATATACACACACACATATATATATAGAGAGAGTTTTTTCTTTTCTTTTTTTTTTTAGAAAACATTTTATTTGAGCCAGGCATGGTGGCATGCACCTGCAGTCCTACCTGAGGCAGGAGGATCACTTGAGCCTAGGAGGTTGAGGCTGCAGATGCAGTGAGCCAAGATTGTGCCAATGCACTCCAGCCTGGGTGACACAGCTAGATTCTGTCTCTAATAATTATATATAATAACATTATATATGTTTTATATATAATATATATATATATATAATCGACCAAGTGTGGTGGCTCATGCCTGTAATCCCAGCACTTTGGGAGGCCGAGGCGGGTGGATCACCTGAGGTCAGGAGTTTGAGAGCAGCCTGACCAATATGGTGAAACCCTGTCTCTACTAAAATTACAAAAATTAGCCAGGCGTGGTGGTACGTGCCTGTAATCCCAGCTACTTGGGAGGCTGAGGCGGGAGAATTGCTTGAACCCGGGAGGCAGAGGTTGCAGTGAACCAAGATTGTACCACTGCACTCCAGCCTGGGCAACACAGAGAGACTCGGTATCAAAAAAAAAAAAATATATATATATATATATATATATTTATTTATATATACATAAAATATATATTTATATATTTTATATATATATATGCCCAGACTATTTATTTATTATCTGTATGGATTGTGGATTTTTATTTTCTCCAATGGGTTATAATTCCTTTCATAATTATATATAATTCCTTTCATAACTATATTATATAATGTATATAATATATTATATTGTATATATAACATATATTATATATAATGCATATATGAATATATAAAAATATATACTATATAATACATAAATATATATTATATACTTAATATATATTATATATATAAAATATATCATGGTTACAAAATGATATTTTTGAAACTCTTGCACTTCCCCTACATTTATCAGTTGGTATTTATAGTTCTACTGTAAGCAAGAATCCTTGCTTCCCATCCATCCAACCACGCACTCATGCATCCATCCATTTATTTATTTATTTATATTTTTTGAGACAGAGTCTTGCCCTGTCGCCCAGGCTGGAGTGCAGTGGCATGATCTTGGCTCACTACAACCTCTGCCTCAGAGGTTCAAGTGATTCTCCTGCCTCATCCTCCCAAGTAGCTGGGACTACAGGCTCATACCACCACGTCTGGCTAATCTTTTGTATTTTTAGTAGAGACGGGGTTTCATCATGTTAGCCAGGATGGTCTTGATCTCCTGACCTCGTGATTCACCTGCTTCAGCCTCCCAAAGTGCTGGGATTACAGTCGTAAGCCACTGTGCCCGGCCTATTTATTTATTATCTGTATGCATTACGGATTTTTATTTTCTCCAGTGGGTTATAATTCCTTTTATAATTATATATATGTATATAAATAATGGGCTGGGCGCAGTGTCTATGAGGCAGGTGGATCACTTGAGGTCAGGGGTACGATACCAGCCTGGCCAACATGGCAAAACCTTATCTCTACTAAAAATACAAAAATTAGCCAGGCATTGTGGTGTACACCTGTAGGTCCCAGCTACTTGGGAGGCTGAGGCACGAGAATTGCTTGAACCTGGGAGGTGGAGGTTGCAGTAAGCCAAGATTGTACCACTGTACTCCAGCATGGGAGAGAGGGAGACTCTGCCTCAAAAAAATAAAAAATAATAAAAAACATTTTGTTTGGGAATAAATTCAAGACTACAGAAAAGTTACAAGAATAAGGACGGTACAAAGAGCATCCATATGTCCTTTACCAAGATCCCCCTTTTGTTAACATTTTATCCCATTTGCTTCATTTACTCCCTATGCCCATCCTGACCTCAACACACACACTCACATACACAAACATTTTTCTGAACCATTTGAGAATAAATTATACATATTGTGGCACTTTATCTCTAAATACTTCAGTGTGAATTTCCTAAGGATAGAGATACTATCTTACATAACCACAGTCCAGTTATCAACCAGTAAATTTAACATTGATACAATACTTTTATCTAATCCTCCATCTGTTTCCAATTTCATCAATTGATCCAATAACGTCTGTTTTTTTTTGTTTTTTGAGATGGAGTCTTGCTCTGTCACCCAGGCTGGAGTGTAGTTGGGAGATCTCAGCTCACTGCAACCTCCATCTCCCAGGTTCAAGCAATTCTCCTGCCTCAGCCTCCTAAGTAGCCGGGACTACAGCCCCTGCTACCACTCCTGACTAATTTTCGTATTTTCAGTAGAGACAGGGTTTCACCATGCTGGCCAGGCTGGTCTCGAACTCCTGAACTTAAGCAATGCTTGGCACGATTTCTGCTCATTGCTGCCTCAACCTCCTAGGCTCAAGTGATCCTCCCACCTCAGCCTCCTGAGTAGCTGGGACTACAGGTATGTGCCACCACATCCAGCTCATTTTTGTATTTTTAGTGGAGACAGGGTTTTGCCAAGTTGGTCAGGCTGGCCTTGAACTCCTGGGCTCAAGTGATCTGCCTGCCTTGGCCTCCCAAAGTGCTGGGATCACAGGCCTAAGCCACTGTGCCCAGCCTATTCTCCTTTAATCTGAAACGTAGCTACAGCCTTTCTTTGTCTCAGGACATTGTCTTTTTGAAGACTATAGTTCCACCCACACTCAGTTTTATTAATAGGGGGTTGTCTGATATTTCCCTATGATTAGATTCAGGTTATGCATTCCTTCCTGGAAGGTAACGTATGAGGTGTGTCCTTATCAAAGTATCATATCTGAGTTACACGATGTTCTTCTGCCCCTCACTGGGGATGTTAATTTTGATCTCCTGGTAAGGTATTGTTGGAATTTGCCATGTATCATACTATAGTCCATGCTATGGTTTGAATGTGTCCCCTCCCAAACTCAGGTGTTGAAACTTAATGGCCAGTGTGATAGTATTAAGAGATGGGGCCTTTAATAAGTGATTAGGTTATGAGGCGCCTTCCCTCATGAATGAGATTAAGGCCCTTATAAAAGAGGCTTCACACAGAGTGTGGTTCTCTTGGCCTTCTGCCATGTAAGGACATAGTGTTTCTCCCCCTCAGCCTTCAGAACTGTGAGAAAATAAATTTCTGTTCTTTATAAATTACCTAGTCTCAGGTATTGTGCTATAGCAGTACAAACAGACTAAGACAGAAAGAATGTTGTGTCCCCCCTCAAAGTTCATATGTTGAAATCTAACCCCCCAAGTGGGGCCTTTGGGAGATGATTAGATCATAAAGGCTCCATCCTTTTTTTTTTTCTGTTTTCTTTTTTTTTTTTTTTGAGACGGAGTCTCGCTCTGTCGCCCAGGTTGGAGTGCAGTGACGTGATCTCGGCTCACTGCAACCTCCGTCTCCCGGGTTCAAGCGATTCTCCTGCCTCAGCCTCCTGAGCTGGGATTACAGGTGTGCACCACCATGCCTGGCAAATTTTTGGATTTTTAGTAGAGATGGGGTTTCAACATGTTGGTCAGGTTGGTCTCGAACTCCTGACCTCGTGATCCGCCTGCCTCAGCCTCCCAAAGTGGTGGAATTACAGGTGTGAGCCACCACGCCTGGCAGCTCCATCCTTATAATGGAATTAGTGCCCTTGTAAAAGAGGCCCAAGGGAGCTTGTTCGCCTCTTCCACCATTTGAGGACACGGCAAGAAGATGCTATGTATGAGAAAGTGGACCCTTACATGATAATCCCCTAGTGCCTTGATCTTGGACTTCTCAGCCTCCAGAACTGTGAAAAATAAATTTCCTTTGTTTATAAGCTAAACAGTCTATGGTATTTTTGTTAGAGCAGCCCCAACAGACTAAGACACATCATTGTTGTTTTTTCCTTTGCATCAAATAAGCAATCTGTAGGGAGACATTTAAGACCATACAAGAATCCAGCTCATCATCAAACTCTCACCCTAGATTTTGCATCCAGTGATGATTCCTGCCTAAATAATCTTTACTACTATGGTTGCAAAATGATGTTTTTGAAACTCCTGCACTCCCCCTACATTTATTAGTTGGCATATTGGTTCTACTGTAATCAAGAACCTTCGCTTTTCACTCATCCACCCATCCATTCATCAATTTATTATCTGTGTGGACTTGTGGATTCTTATTTTCTCTAATGGGTTATAATTTCTTCTTGTTCTTATTATTATTTGAGATGGAGTCTCGCTCTGTTGCCCAGGCTGGAGTGCAGTGGCATGATTTCGGCTCACTGCAACCTCTGCCGACCGGGGTTCAAGCAATTCTCCTGCCTCAGCTTCCCAAGTAGCTGGGATTACAGAAATGTGCTACCATACCCAGCTAATTTTTGAATTTTTGGTAGAGACAGGGTTTCACCATGTTGGCCAGGCTGGTCTCAAACTCCTGACCTCAGGTGATCTGCCTGCCTTGGCCTCCCAAAGTGCTGGGATTACAGGTGTGAGCCACCGCGCCTGGCCAATTCTTTATTATTTCAGTGCTCAAATTGCTGCGTGCGTCGCCAGTGGGAGCCCCCTGAAGCAGGCTTCTGTGTCCTTTAACATGCCCCCATCACTTTTTACTTTTCTAAGTTATTTTTTACTTTATGCATAATAAGCCATTTCAGGTGCATCTTATACCTATCCTGCCACAGCTACCTATTCTGGAATTTATCTGAGGGGTCATGGTTCCTTTTCATTTAGAAACCAAGGTATGGGTACTGGGTGTGTATATTGCTCTGGAGTATTTTTGCTTTTAGGCCTTTGGGGCAGAAAAACCTATGCATGCAAATACACATACCTATACATATGTATATTCATGTACATACTTATATAAATACATACGCGCCTACATAAACATACATATACAAAACATACCATATAGTTTACTTATTTATTTTATTGTTTGCCCTTTACACTAAAATGTAAGCTCTACAAGGGAGGACATTTTTGTCAGTTTTGTTTGCTGTTGATTTTCTAATACATAGAACAGTGTATAGCCAATGGAAAGCATTCAATAAAGAGTTGTTGACTAAAAGACAATCAATACCTCTAGTAGGCTAAAGGACTTGTCAAATCCTCATAGCTGACAAATGGAAGAACTCTTTTTTTTTTTTAACCATGCTTTGAAGACTCCAAATAGGAGCTAAGTTTGGCTAGGATAGTATTAATAGATATCTTCATTGTGATTTTCCCACCTTTATTGTTTTTTCTGTCCTCTTCTATCTCCAGACCTCTGTCATTTGTATCTCTTCTCTTTCTACCCTCTGGGATTCACAACTTCAGGCGGTCAGTAGGTAGGAGTTGAAGGCAGAGGCTAGGTGGGAGGGCCTGGGGGTAGAAGAAGAGGACCCCAGGCCTACATTACCCAGCAGTGATGGCTGAGCCCCAGCCTGGTATATGCCCTAATGTGAAGATGGGAGGACAG
This sequence comes from Homo sapiens, assembly GCF_000001405.40. Taxonomy (NCBI): domain Eukaryota; kingdom Metazoa; phylum Chordata; class Mammalia; order Primates; family Hominidae; genus Homo; species Homo sapiens. The sequence goes on along the minus strand of NC_000010.11, from coordinate 95,297,861 downwards.
GGGGAAATGGTGCTGGTACCTGGAGCCAGCATTGTCACTGCTAGCTGGTCTCCTGCTGTGTTCTCACCTAGCAGCAGCCCTGATGCTACCCAAGGAATAACACTGGAAGCAGTGTTGGAGATAACTGGAGAGAAGGTGGACCCAGAGGAGATGGGTGGGGACCCAGCAGAGAGGAAGTCACCCTCTAGGAGCCCTGCTGTCATGGAAACTGGCCCTGCCATTCTATCTGTCCTCAAATGCTATAAATAGTCAGCTTCAGTATCAGTTATGGCCAGACCAGGCCAGCAGCACAGGCAAACCCTGAGAGGAAATGGATTGGTGGGGGAGGATGGAGTTATAGAGACAGAGTGTATGGGTGGAATGAGAGGGGCTGGCGGGAAGCCTTTGCCTGTCCCTACCGCATCCACATCAGACCACTGACATTCAAAGCCCTCCCGAGCAAAATTTCCAGCCTGCATATCATCAATAATGTTATTCCACCAGGCCATCCCGCTTCCCTCCCACTACCTTGTTCATTCTGTCCCTGCTGCCTGTATGGCCTTTCTGCCTCCACAGTTGCTTGTACTTTTAAAGTATGTTTCAAATTCCACTTCTTCCATGGAGGAAACTGAAAAAGCCATTCCTGAAAGGATCTAGTCTAGTTCCTAGATGGTGACACTTGGGCTGTGGGCATCCCTGTTAGTATAGGAGGAAGATTTAGCCCTTTGGATCTCCATGAATTGTGGACCTAAATGGTCTCCTGGGGTCCTAGGAACCTCTGAATAACCTTCTGCTCTGTTACAAGGCCCTTCACATCCAAGAGCTCTTCCCTTGCCTCTCTAGCCCTTTTCCTGCCTCCTTTGCCCTGTTCCTTGGTTACTGAGTGATTTTAGGGAAGTCTCTTAGTCTCTCTGGACCTGTTGCAGGCTGAATTCCCTGGTCCCAGAGACAGTTTATCATGCAGGATGTTAATTAAAGAAGGTCCTCAGGCTCAACACCTGTGGAAGAAAGCAGGGCGGGGGATGGATTGGGCAGAGGAAGAAGAGCCGCCATGTCGGCCTGACGGCCTTCACTGATTCCATGGGGAGCTCTGGAGTCAAAATGTCCCATCAGAGTTGTCCCATGTTAGGCCCAAATGGCCAGTCTTTCACCCCCACCTAGATGATGTGTGACCCTGGGCAGGCAGCGTAGGGAAGGTGTGCTTTTGGGAAAAGCTGCTCTGTAGTAGAGATAGTCCCTAAAATAACTAAATGCTGAAGGGTGTCCACCTCCTGGCACCTGGGACAGGTCCTTTCATGAAGGGGTTCTGGATGGTGCCTCAGTGCCTCAGCCTTCTCCTTTGTGAAAAGTGCATGATGACACTTCACTGGACTCTTGTTCTGATATAGAACTATATGTATATACATACATATATGGTCTCGCTCTATAGTCCAAGCTGGAGTGCAGTGGCACAGGAACTGCTCACTGCAGCCTCAACTTCCTGGGCTCAAGCAATCCCCCTACCTCAGACTACTGAGTAGCCCTGACGACAGTCATGTGCCACCACACCCAGCTACTTTCGTATTTTTTGTAGGAACGGGGTCTTGCTATGTTGTGCAGGCTGGTCTCGAACTCTAGAACTCAAGCGATCCTCCTGCCTCGGCCTACCAAAGTGCTGGGATTACAGGTGTAAGCCACCGTGCCTGGCCTAATTCATTAATACTAATATAATACATTGTCTTTTTGTTTTAATTTTTCAATATAAGCATTTAATATGAACCACCCTATCTATTACCCTGTTTTGGAATTTCTTCTTCTCCTTTTGATACTCAAGGATGCTTGAGACATTATCGCCCAAGTTTCTCTCTGCTTTTGAGAACACCAGTGCCATCTGTCCAGGTGGAATGGGAACCAGGAGGCAGGTGGGTGACATAGCTGTGGTCCTTGGGCTCGCCCCTCAGTTCTTTGTCTACTAGGCACTCGGCAGGCCTCAGATCTGGCAGTTCATCTACTCACACCTCACCAGCCCTGAGGGAACGCCAGACAGTTCTGTGCCCAGGTAGGTAGGTGTCTTTATATCCAGACGCCCACGAAGCATGCTTTGTGCAACTGGAATCCGAGAGGCACCCAATCCCCAGTGGACACTTCAAGATTTCCCGAGCTGGAGCAGAAAGCAGGAGAAAAGGATTGGGAGCTCAATTCCCTGCCCAGTCGCTAGCGCGGCCGGGAGAACCTCTCCCCGCCGGGTCTCGCATGCAGCCAGCTGCCTGGAGCGGCGCCGCGACGAGTTGCGCGTGGGGCTCCATCAAAGACGCGCAGACCCTGGGAGGGGGGTGACACAGGATAGCACTGGGCGGGTAAAGATGTCTTTGTTTTGCGAGGCTCTGAGCCTGAGTTTCGGTTCTTTTCACAGCAAAGGGAAGCAAGTTGCTTGTTTGATCAGGGCGCCCGCGGCAGGCAGTTGCACGTTTGCAGACGTGAGAACCGGTGCGCGATCTGCGCTCGGCCGCGGTGAAACCAGAGCTTCCGGCGGTTCTTTGCTTGGCTGCGCAGAGCCTGGCCTCACTTAGATACCAGAGCGGACCTCCCAGTCAGGAGTCACACGCTTTCGCTTGGTCCCAGCTAGAAGCCTAGCCCCACAGAGGGCTCTTGAGTTACCTGGGCAAGTCCAGGACTTGTTCTGCAGAGTCAACGAGACTTATTGTAAAGCTGAGCACAATCCTAGACTTACTGTCTTTAGGAAATGGGGCTGTTGTTCCAGGAAGTAGTCTCCACACAGTGGCTCTAAAAGGTCCTGGTAATTGCACCCTGGGTGTGGGAGTTGCCAGCTCTGCAGAGGCCAAGCTGGGGGAGCCAGGGCATCAACCACTTCCCACCCAGGTCACATTGTAAAACTGGACTGAGAGCTGGAGAGACCACTGTCCCACCCCTTGCACTTTCCACCCTCCTTGCTTCCCTCTTCTCATTCTCCCCGCTTGCCCTAGAACACCCAGATGTTGAATTTAGGCTGTTTAGGTTAACAAACTTTCATGGAATGTGTTATAATAATAAAAATAAGGCAAACTGAAGTTTGGAGAGGTTGCTTAAGGCCATTCAACTAGCACTGGGCAGGAGTCGAGGGTCTGAGGGAACTGGAAAGCATGAATAAATTGTGTTTAAGTAATGGTGTTTAAGGTAAGAGAAGATTGTTTATGTTTTGGGGTGAGGGTCGTCAATCTTTTTCTGGGTATTTTCTGAGTATATATGCTGTGTGCCCAGTTCAGAGCTAGCTGGTTGGGGGAGAGAAGAGGAGATAAAAAAGATAAATGGAGGCCGGGCGCGGTGGCTCACGCTGTAATTCCAGCACTTTGGGAGGCCGAGGTGGGTGTATCACTTGAGGTCAGGAGTTCGAGACCAGCCTGGCCAACATGGTGAAACCCCATCTCTACTAAAAAGACAAAAATTAGCCAGGCGTGGTGGCAGGTGCCTGTAATCCCAGCTACTTGGAAGGCTGAGGCAGGAGAATCACTTGAACCTGGGAGGCAGAGGTTGCGGTGAGCGGAGATCGTGCCACTACACTCCAGCCTGGGAAACAGAGTGAGACTCTGTCTCAAAAAAAAAAAAAAAAAAAAGGATAAATGATCAGGTCTCTATCCTGAGAAAGACTAGCATTTAGTCTCCATCCAAGGAGCTGGGACCATTTTGATGTTTATTATGAAAATTTTACATCATCATTAGAGGCAATTATTAAAAAAAATTCTCATTCTGTCTGCCACTACTTTTCCTACTTTCTCTTAATTTCAATAGGTAGATAAGCTTTTATTTTTTAACACGGTATACGAATAATTTTGTTGCACTCTTTTTACATATTTTGAAAACACATTTCCCTGTCTCTTCACAGTCTTCCTGGTTATTTTCATGCTGCATACTCTTCCCTCTTACGGCCATACCATATTTAGCCACTTTTCTGTTACTGGTTGATTCCAGTTTTTTGTCATTATAAATAATGCAGCTATAAATATCTGTATACATACAGCATTTTTCTTTTTAAAAATTATGTCCTTGGAATTGTTGCCCAGAAAGTGGATGACTGGGTCAAAGGGCTGACTGTTTTATAGCTCTTGTTATGTAGAGCCAGACTACAACCGAGGACATTTAAAAACAAAGCAACTGAGGACTCAAGTCTCACAGACATTTTGCTAACACATTAGTGCACTATGTCTGTATAGACTATTGTACGGAATAAACACTTATTGACACCTACTGTGATTGAGGTCCATGCTAGCAGGGCACTTGGAATGAATGAAAGGCAGTCTCTGCCTTCAGAAGCACAGAAGCTGTGACTTTTCAACCCTTTTCTCCTTCTAGGACAGAAAATATTCAAGATGGTTACACATCTAGGGACAGATTCAGAATTCGGTGATTCCTGCAAATTCTGCAGGGACTTGAAACACAGTCATGCTTTCTAATCAACAGAATCTTAAACAAAGAGAATGTATTTTTGGTGTTCATAAAGCAGGTGGCTGGTTACTGGCTATAACACCATTCTTTTTCTCAGGTTCAGGAAAGAATATCAGGTTGCAAGAGGTTGAGAGGGATGTATAATCATACAACTCCACTTTCATTTCCTTTTTTTTTTTTTTTTTTAGACCGAGTTTCGCGCTTGTTGCCCAGGCTGGGGTGCAATGGCGTGATCTCGGCTCACCACAACCTCCACCTCCCGGGTTCAAGTGATTCTCCTGCCTCAGACTCCCGAGCAGCTGGGATTACAGGCATGCGCCACCACGCCCGGCTAATTTTTGGTATTTTCAGTAGAGATGGGTTTCTCTATGTTGGTCAGGCTGGTCTCGAACTCCAGACCTCAGGTGATCCGCCCACCTTGGCCTCCCAAAGTGTTGGGATTACAGGTGTGAGCCACCGTGCCCGGCCCTCCACTTGGATTTCTAAAAGCAAACAAACTATTCCCAAACATAGGCATTTGTGCTGTCACACAATTGGACAAGCAAGATAATCTTTTTATGTGTAAATCTGTGCACAGGGCTCTTCAGTAGGTAGGCCAGGATCACAGGGAGACAGAGCTGCACAGGGAACAAACTCATTGAGCATGGGCTCTATGCCAAGCACTGTGCTGGGGCCTGGGTACCAGGATGAATGGGTGCCAAGAAAACTGCGAAGAAACTGGGCCCAGAGAGGGTAAGTGGTCCTGAGGATGGCCAATGTGTTATATACATTAAGTACTATGTGCCAGGCACTATTCTAGGCACTGGGGCACAGCAGTGATCTAAACAGATAAAAACCCCTGTCCTTATGGAATTAATGCTTAAGAGTGGGGGTGGAACAAATAAATATACAAAATATAGAGAATGCCAGATGGTGATACATACAAAAGAAAAAAATAAGGCAGGGGAAGGTAATAGAGCATTCTAGAGAGGATATCTTAAATGATGCTCAGAGATGACCTCAGAAAATGACATTTGCATTTTTTTTATTTTTTAGTTTTTGAGATAGGGTCTCACTCTGTCACCCAGGCTGGAGTACAGTTGCACGACCACAGCTCACTGCAGCCTTGACCTCTCCGGCTCAAGCCATCCTCCCACCTCAGTCTCCCTAGAAGCTGGGACAGGTGTGCCCCACCAAACCTGGTTAATTTTTATTTTTTTAAATTTTTTTGTAGAGACAGGGTCTTGCCGTGTTGCTGGGGCTGGTCTAGAATTCCTGGGCTCAACTGATCCTCCTGACTCAGCCTCCCAAAGTGCCGGGATTCCAGGCGTGAGCCACGTGTCCGGCCCCTAGAAAATGACAGAGAGTGGTGGGGATGTCTGGGAGAACAGCATTGCAGACAGGGCCCTGAGGCAAGGCCCTGAGTTAGGAGCAAGGAGCACAGCCTGGCAGACTGGGGGGCAGGTGAGGAAAGGGCAGGAGGAGTTGGGGTCAGAGAGGGAGTTGGGGCCATTCTAGGGGTGGCCTTGTAGGCATTGTAAGGATCTGGGTTTTCACTGGTGGTGAGGTGGGGACGCCATGGACAGCATGAGAAATGGTCTGGTCCGGCGTGGAGAATGCACTCCACCGGGAGGGCGTCAGGGGGAGCCTGGCTAGGAAGCTGGTGGGAGGCTGGGAATCCAGGTCCCGGACTCAGCTCTTCTTTTGCATTGACTTGGCCCTTGGCCCGCCCCAAACTTGAGGTTTGAACTGTTGAGGTCAGAACCTACCATGAACTCCAGCCTGGAGGAAAGATTTCTAGGAAGGCCTTGAAGTTCAGTTATAACCTGAGTGATGGTCTCATTAGCATTATAAAAGTTCCAGGATGGGGTTCTGCAGCACTGGGCCCGGGCAGTGGTCCAGATGCTGACGAGTGGTGTAGCGTCGGGCAAGTCTTCTCACCTACTGAGCAGACTCAGTTACTTCATCTGTAAAATGGGACTAAACGTCCCGGTTGCCTCAGCATCAAATGAGATCGTTCGAAAGCACCTTTTAAACATCATTACCGATTACAAAAAGCAAATGGGAAGTCGGAGCCGACCTCAGAGGGCTGACTTGGCACAGCACTTCAAATTTCTCGTTTTACAAAGCACGAGGCGCGAGTTTGTCTCGCTGTCAGGACCTGCTTCCCTCTCACCTAGCACCCGCCCCGGGCCCGAGAGCCGCGGTGCGGCCGTGCGTACAGGAGGGAGGGAGGCGGTGTGGGGTCCCGGGCAGAGCTGCTGAGAGCCCCGGCCCCGCATCTGACTCGCGCTCTCTCGGCGGGACTCCGGGCCAGGGCCCCCAGGCCGGCGCGCAGGGCGGGGAGCGGCTGCGGGCGGGAGGACGGGCGGGGCGGCGGGCGGCTACGCGGCCTGGGCGGAGCCGCCCCCGCCCTGGCCCTCGCGGTTGCCCTGCCCCCGCCAGCCCCAGGCTCCCCGGGCCCGCGCCGCGCCGCTCTTTCTCCGACAGCCGCCGGGGGTGCCCTGCAAGCTGTTCCGCGCGTCCTGCCCGTCTGTCCCCGCGGGTCGTCGCCCGCCACAGCCGCGCCATGACCACCCAGCAGATAGACCTCCAGGGCCCGGGGCCGTGGGGCTTCCGCCTCGTGGGCGGCAAGGACTTCGAGCAGCCTCTCGCCATTTCCCGGGTAAGAGCAGCTGGGACGTGCGTGGAAGCGGGGCGCTATGGGAGGTGATATGCGGAGACTGGGGCCCCGCGGGCGCGGTCGGGGACGGAGTCGGAACCGCAGCCGGGCGCGTCCAGGTGCGCTGTTAGTTGAGCGCTCTCCGCGCGCCCGGGCCCCGCCGCTCCCCGCCGCCCCTTCGCGGAGGCTGCGCTCCCGGGCTGGTCGGCCCGCCGCGGGCGCGCTCCGTGTCCGCCAGAAAAAAAGAAGGCAGTTTTCGTTCTTTGGCCCCGGAAGCGCGGCGGGGCGGGTGTTAGTTCTTTGTCAACCAGCGAGGGGACGAGGGTCCCCGCAGATCCCGCGCGCTGGGAGATGGCACTTCTCCCTTCTTCCCAGATCGCAGTGCAGCCGAACGCAACAGGAAAGACCTGGAAAGTGAGGTGGGGTGGGTGGGAAGTTTACTGGGGTGGGGGGCAAGTGGGATTAACCTAAAAAAACAACCGAAACACGCTCTTTGGACTTGACCCACGGCCGAGGCTCGCCCCTCGAATGGCTTTTGGAGAATGTGCTGGATTCGGGAAATAAACACAACAAACAAACTCAAGTAAACCCTCTTGGTCATTCTCCCCTCTGCAGAACGTGGCCCCGCCGTCATTCTTCCTAGCATTCCCAGATTATCTCTTTCCCCTCCCCGCACCAGCCCTTTTTTCTCAGGGCATGAGTAGATACTGCGATGGGGTGTCCACCTGGGGTGGGGTTGAGGTGCTTGAAATCTAAGAGGGGCTTCGGATCTTTAGAAGGACTCACGTTGAATCAGGGGCCACCAGAACCATTGCCCCCCTAATAAAGTGAAACCCCCAGGGAGACCCAGACTCAGTGTTCAGAGGTCTGGGCTTTGGCCATTTAATCTGGCCAAACACAGGTTGATGTCCCACTAAGAGATGTCACGTTCAGTGCTTGGGCACCAAGAAGAGACTCAGTAAGTACCTCGAATGAGGAAAGGGAGAAAAAGAAGTCCCCTTTCTCCCCACCCATGGCCACTCCTTGCCTGTAGGCGGCACATTCCATTCTTGGGCTCATCTGCCTGCTGAAGCTGCCCTTCAGCTTGTCTCCCAGACTTTCTAAACATCCTTCTTTTTCACTTGGGGTTGGGGGAAGGGTGGAGAAGAAAGGGAAATATCCTTATGGATCCTTTTGACTCAAGCTCCTGCGTCCAGCAGCTGAAGGAGTTTGGTGGGAGGTGCAGGAGAAGAATTGGTGGCCTCCTCTTGACTTGTCTGCCAGCCACAGTCCTACCCATGCTTCTTTCCCGGTTGGCCTGGCCCAGTGAGGAGGTCTTCTCTATCTCACCCCCCTAAAAGAGTAGGCGGGCCAGTTTTTGGGCCTTATCTTCCACCTGTTTGCCTCGTCCCACAGAGACCTCTGATTATTCTCAAAGGTACACACTGCCTTTCCAGCCACCAGCCTAATTCCTCAAGCGCAGGAACTGTGCCTTCCCCAGAATCGTCCCCGAGCCTGGTAGCAGACCTGTACCTGGCCGGGCTGGGTAAATCCTTGCAGGCTTATTAATAAATGCTTGTCCAGGGAGGACATTGTGTCTGCACATTTCAACTCGCTTACCTCATAGTCCATTTGTCCCTGTTCTTTGTGTCTATAATTAACCTGTCAGCCCTCTCCACTTCTGAGATTTATATATGACATGAAACCCTTTTTTAAGTAGTGGAGGATGTATTGGCAATCTGTTAAAAGGGCAGTTACTGCCTTTCACTTTAGCTGCTTTTAAAAGTCTTAATGCATGAGTGAATGATGGAATGGGGTGGAAAACACCACACTGTGAATTCATTGGTTTTTACCTTCATATATTCACTCATTTATTATTTATATTATTTATTTATGGCGTGTGCACGTGTTTAATGAGCACGTATCATATTCCAGAAACTGTGCAAACGCCTCAGAAATGAGAGGGCACAGCTCCATTCTCAAGGTGTTCATGGTCTAGTGATGGAAACTAATCTTTATAATGCCCTTGGCAGGTGCTTTAATTGAAAAGTGGAAGTGACTCAGAAGAGGTAACATTTTCATGCTGACAGTAATTTATTTGTTTCTCTTCAGCTCCTTATTAATACATGGAAAAATTGTGAGCCTGTTCACCTCATGGGAATGGGAAAGTCATTGTCATAAAGGGACCCTGGTGTGGCCATCTGAGATCTGGTGCTGGTCCAGTGTCTTCTTGCTTGAGCTGTACCTGGGGTGAATCTTCCACTGTCTGAGGCTACTTAAAAAAAAAAACCTCTGCAGTGGGGATAGCACCAGCCCTTGGCTGTGAGTTAAGGTATGTGAGAGTGCTCCGTAAATAGTGATAGTGAGGAAATGTGAGCACTGACAAAGAGCTGTACACACTTTCTGATTGGTAGGTATGCTACATTATTTATCATCCTGGGCAATTTGCTGGTATAGTTTTGTATATGATAGACTTTGAGTCTCCACACCAAAGCAAACCATAAAATTAGGCTGGGAGAGGAGTGCCTTTTATTTAAATAACCATGTTTGCTTTCTCTTGCATGAATTATTGTGGTATTGGCTCCAGTCTTTTGCTAAACTGCTAAAGCTTCTTAATATAATGCTAATCTTATGTACTTGCAATTTTTTTATTTTTTAACTTATTTTTTATTGTGGAATAAAAAATCATAAAATACAAATGCACAGCAAATGATTATAAAGCAAGCATCTGTATAATCACTACCCAAGTCAAGAAATAGAATATTGCAGCACCCAAAAGTTCCCTAAATGTAACGCTATCCTGACCTATGGTAATCCCTTCCTTGCTTTTCTTCATAGTTTTACCACCTAAATTAGGTATCCCAAATACCATAGCTTAATTTTGCCTGTTTCTGAACAGACTCATACAGAACACGTGTGTGTGTGTGTGAACAGCTTCTTTAGCTCCTTAATGTTTTCATCTAGTATCGTTATCAACTTAAAATTTCAACCCAGGTTTCCAACTTTAAGTGGACATAGGCTAGCTTCTTTTACCCACATTCTCGTTTAGTGCTCTTGCCTTGTGTTCCCTGATGATCCAGCCACACATTTGCCACTGTTCTCTGATATTTTTTTCTGTCAGTTCCTGCTTCAAATCAACACTTGCCCATTTCCTTGAGGTATTTTTTTAATTAAAAAAATTTTCCATGTTAATTTCTCCTTCCCTCTAGTTACTTTCAAGGGAAGCCTTCAGAGAAATACCCAGGCCAACATTGCAACTCAGTTTATGTTGACTGTTTTTCTCTCCCAGCAACTGATAAAAGACAGGAAAGGGTGAGGCCAAGATCAAGGGATGCCCTTAGTTGGAGGAGTTGCTCATTTGTCTCTGGAGTCCTGGGGAACCCTTTGCTAAGAGCTGAGCGGTTCTGTGGCAAATGCTTATGCTTTTTCTCAAGTATCCCAAGGGATGCTTAATAATGGTTACTGTGGCCAGAGGGTCATTTCTGATTTTTAAGAGTGGTATTTCCGGATTCAGATAGATTTTACATCATGTCGTAAAGATTGAAAGAGAAGGGTTTGTCTGTCAGATTATGAAAAGCAGGAAATGTCCAAAAAGGGTCATTATGTTTTAATGGCCATTGTGCTGCATGCCCTTGGTCTGTGAAATTGATACCTGGGAAATATTAGCGACTTCAGCTGCTCACAGCTGACTTAAGGAGAGAGGGGGAAGAGGACAAACCAAAGAGAATGACATGTAAGTGAATGCCTGAGCCCATACTACATTATCACCCTCTGACCAGATAGTCTCCCCTCCCTAAACTCCTGATGCCAACCTTGCTGGTTTGTTTGAGGAGGCAAGAGGGAAGAACAGTGGCTTTAGGGTATTGCAGCCAGGTAGATGACTGAGAGGAGAGTGTCATCTAAGCGTCTGGGTCATATTCTCCTAGGCTGACCAGGACTGGGAAAAGCACCAAGGAATTGCTGTGTACTGGGATCAGGATAGGACTGGCACATTCTTAGGCCATGCCTTAACTCTTGCTCCACAGAGGAGAGGAAAGCTAGCATTCTTTGCCTTTTGCAAACAGAAAAGCTCAGGTGCTCACAGGTTAGGTAATTTGGTTGAATTTACATAATTTCTCACTGGCTGACTTACTACTCAACTTCCTTGTAAAGGATAGGATAGAGACTGGAGCAAAAGTGGTTGTGTCAGAAAACTAACTTTTAAAGGATTATTTCGCTTCCAGTAGGTCTCAGAGGAAAGCCTGGGGGAAGCTTCCAGGACTTTAATTGAGGGCCTGGTACAATGTCCAGGGCAGGGACTCAAGCTGAGCTCTAGTCCGGAGCACCTTGGTGGGTGATCCTGGGAAAATCATATGTCTTCTCCTGGGTTCAGTTCCCTGTAAAGATAAAATAAAATAATATTCCCTGTAAAGATAAAATAAAATAATAAGCAAGCAAACCCAGAGGTTTTCATACCCTTTGAATATGAGAGCTACTTTTTTTTTTTTGAGACAGGGTGTCGCTCTGTTGCCCAGGCTAGAGTTCAGTGGCATGATCTCGGCTCACTGCAACCTCCACCCCCTGGGTTCAAGCGATTCTTGTGCCTCAGCCTCCTGAGTAGCTGGGATCACAGGCATGAGCCACCACATGTGGCTAATTTTTGTATTTTTAGTAGAGATGGGGTTTCGCCATGTTGGCCAGGCTTGTCTCAAACTCCTGGCCTCAAGTGACCTGCCCACCTTAGCCTCCCAAAGTGCTGGGATTACAGGCATGAGCCAAGAGCCCACTTTTTTATTGTTAGAGTGTCCTAGTCTCTCATGGCATTAGTTGTACCTTCAATCATAAGTTGATTTAGAAAACACTGTGATTTCAGGAATGTTTCAGATGTATTTGTCTTCTGTTAATCACAGCAGCATCCATTTACATTTGAAAGATTTGTGTGAGAAATATTTATTTGATCTGCTTGCAGTAATAACCATAGTTAAAACATATATAGGACTTTTAATATGCCAGGCACCATTCTAAGACCATAATATATTCAGTGATCTTCACACGTATTTTGTGAGGTAGGATTAAGATCCCCATTTTACAGATGAGGGAACTGAGGCTTGGAGACCTTAAGTACACTGCCTGCATCATATAGCAGTGAGTGGTAGAGCTGGAGTTTGGCTGGGGAGTCCGGCTTCCAAGCCTGTAGTCTTAATCTCTATGTCATAGTAATATATTAATAACAGCTAACATTTTTTGAGTGCCTGCTCTGTGCTAAGCATGCACTTACATTATCTTCTTCTGTATTCCCCACAACCCATGACAGAGGGACACAGAACACAAAGTCAGACAATTGCAGAGCTGGGAAGTGAAGCCAGGCAGACTCACTTCCAGGCCAGCTTTAACCACTATATTCTGCCTCCTAATAAGCCATAACTGTCAATATTTCATTGCTAACAGTGTTAACCCAGCACACAGCTCTGAAAAGTGCTAAGGGTGGTGCAGGCTTCAACATGAGGGATAAGACACTCCTGGGCTCCACACCCTGGAGCCTCTCATTCTCCTGAGGTTGGTTGGGGTGGCTCTCCAGTTGCCTTGTGGCCTCAGCTCAGAGCACCTCAGAAAGCAGCACCTCCCTTCCCTGTCCCTCCTGAAAAACTGAAAGTCATGGCCCCACCTGGGAGAATTTACAGTCCAGTTATGAGGTTCCATGCCCACTTGGACAGTGAAGAACAAGAGCAGAGGAGTGGAAGGACTGGCTAGAGAAAGACCTGCTTGTGGGGGATAGGAGGGCATTTGGGAATGGTTCTTGTGGTAGATGAAGATGACCAGGCAGTGAACAGTTCCACCTTGCGGTAGCCAAGCTAAGTCCAAAACCGAATATACCCATGAAACCTAAGACAAAAAAGGTAATTCCTGTATGGCTGTTAGCACCCTGTGTGATTATTGATACTCTTGTTAGCCACATCCTGGGCAAATTGGGCTGCTCATCCGTGGCTGAGTTCTGTGGTGCACTTTCCCATGTGTAATACACTGTCTCCTTGGTAAATGCCATAAATACTAAAAATGATTTTGTGAAGAACACAGCGGTCTTGTAGGAGGCCAGATTCCTTACTGAACACTCAGGGACTAATTTTTATAGACACGACCATTCGTATCAAGTAAGACAATAAGAACATAGATAGGACCTAGTTTAGATAAAGATATTGAAAATGCATACAGAGGCTGGGCTTGGTGGCTTATGTCTGTAATCCCAGCACTTTGGGAGGCCAAGGTGGGTGAATCACCTGAGGTCAGGAGTTTGAGGCCAGCCTGGCCAACATGGTGAAACCCTGTCTCTACTAAAAATTCAAAAATTAGCCAGGCGTAGTGGCAGGCACCTGTAGTTCCAGCTACTCAAGAGGCTGAGGCAGGAGAATTGCTCTAACTTGGGAGGCGGAGGTTGCAGTGAGTTGAAATCACGCCACTGCACTCCAGCCTGGGCAACAAGAGCGAAACTCCATCTAGAAAAAAAAAATGCATACAGATAGATTAAATATGGTTGATGCAGCAAATAGTTTGCACCCATTTCTTTAAAAAAATAATAAAAAATACTTATGCTTCTGAAGCTGAGCATACCCATACCATATAACCCAACAGTTCTCCTAGTTAAATAGTCAATAGAAACTGGGTCCACATGAGTGCTAAAGGACAAGTTTGAGAATTTTCCAAGCAACACTATTCATAATAGCCCCAAATTTGAAACGATTCACATGTCTAACAGCAATAGAATAGATAAGTAGTGGGTGTAATTATATGGTATAAAACATCACAGCAACAAGAGTGAAGAAATTACAACTATGCACAGTGACATGAAGGAGACACACACACACACACACACACACACACACACACAGAGAAAAAGGCCATACCTAAGAGTGAAGAGTAAATACTGTGTGATTCCAGTTACATAAAATTAGACAGAATTAATCTACAGTGTTAGCAGTCAGGATCATGGCAGACCTTTGCCGGAAGGTCAGTGACGGAAGGCGGGCACAGGGAGGTTTAGCAGTTCAGGTAATGTCCTCTTCTTTATCCCATGCTGTTTCCTTGGGTGTGCTCTGTATGTGAGAATTCAATCAGCTGTATCGTTACCATTTGTGCTGTATACATGTCATCCTTCAGTAAAGGTTACATAGAAGCCCGCGTAATTGTTTAAAAGATCGGACAATATAAACCTACAGAAAGCATAAGGTAAAAGGCTTCCCCAGTCTTACTTTACAGAGGTAAACACAGTGAACAGCTGGCTGCAAACCTTTCCAGACTTTTTCCGCACACGTAGCATTTCTAAAACCAAATTACTATATCTCAGTGAACTATTGGGACTTCATTGCTTTGTGCTTTCTGCCTTATTTTTACTGTAACAAATCAAGAATTAAAGACATCTTAATGTCAAGGGAAAAATACATTTTTGATATCTGCTAGATCTAGTTCAAACCTTATCTTGTCCATTTACTAGCTTGTATGTTCTTGGACAGGTTAACCCCTGAAAATTCAGTGTCCTCATTTGCAATGTGGGAATAATAGCGCTTGTCTTCAAAGGTTGTGGTGAGGATTAAGATGATATATAGAGAGAGCCTAGTGGTACTATTAAACTATTAAATATTAAAAATATTAATGGTAGCTACTATATATTGAGTGTTTATTACGTGCCAGGCATTGTTCTGAACTCTTTACAAATGCAGTCTCATTTAAGCCTTCCAGCAACCTGATGAGGTTGATGCATTATAAATTTCATTTGATAAATGAAGATACTGAGTCAGAGAGAGTAATTCCCTCAAGGTTTAGTGAGTGTTTAGGCTTTGGGTTATGGGTGGTAGCTGTTGGAGCTATTTAAAAGCACGTAGGGTTCATAGGAGCTTGTTTGGAAACTTTTGAGGAACTCGACGACTTCTTGACGGAGTCTCGCTCTGTCGCCTGGGCTGGAGTGCAGTGGCATGATCTCGGCTCATTGCAACCTCCATCTCCTGGGTTCAAGTGATCCTCCCACCTCAGCCTCCCAAGTAGCTGAGATTACAAGCGTGCGCCATCACACCTGGCTAATTTTTTGTATTTTTAGTAGAGATGGGGTTTCACCATGTTGGTGAACAGGCTGGCCTTGAACTCCTGACTTCAAGTGATCCGCCCATCTCGGCCTCCCAAAGTGCTGGGATTACCGGCATGAGCCACCACGCCTGGCCTCGATGACTTCTTAAGAATTTAGTCAGAGTATTCTATTTGGCTACCTGTTTTATTATATTCCTGTCTGAGAAATGGTGGTCGGTCTTTCAGACTGAGAGAGCAGCACGTCTCTTTGAACTGTCACCCCTTAGCACTAATAACTTCTTTTTGCACCATGCATAGTGTGAAGCTGGATTAAGGTGCAACTTATCTACAAGCATCTACCCTATTTTATTGCCTCATTTCCCTGAGAAAATGGTTATAGACTAACCAAGAACATTTTAAAACAGTGTTATGTTTTCAGGTCACCCTGTGTAAATGCATACAGCTTCTGCAGCCATAATATGGCTGTGAAGTCTGTGCCACAGCCTCGGCTCACAAACATACTGAGTCAGAAGATTCTGACTAAAGAGAGTTCAAATTCCACATGTAAATGGCATCCTACAGAGCTGGGTCCTGCTTTATCCCCAGTTTAGAATCTGTTAAATTTGTACCCAAATACCTTGACACAACTGTTAAATCAGCGGAGATTATGCTTAAAGGCATGTAGCATTGCGATTGAACTTGAATCTCACATTTCTTTATCCCAGTTGTATATAATTATTACTATCGTTATTTAGGCTGTCTCTTTCACTTACTTGCAGGCTTGTCTTAGGCTTGTCTTTCACTTAGTTACACATTTACAATATTTAAAACACAAGAACACATATAAGATTTAACAAAAAATTGGAACATGGAAGAGGAAAGAGAGAGAAGTGCCAGGAACTTTAAATCAGTTGGTTCTGTAATTGCACACTACATTTAGCTGTGAGTTTTCTGGCCAAGGGAAAATAGGACCCACGTCGAGTTATTTAGATATCTTGTTTGGAGTTATTATACTTCTACTGGTTGGACGCAGTGGCTCATGCCTGTGAAACTAGCACTTTGGAAGGCCGAGGTGTGAGGATTGCTTGAGGCCAGGAGTTCAAGACCACCTTGGCCAACACAGTGAGACCCCATCTCTATTTAAAAAAAACAACAAAATTACTTATGCAATGCTTCATTTGCATAGCATTTTCAGGGGTGTTAACCAACATTACAGGGGCTGTATTTTTTTGTTTGTGTTTTGTTTGAGACAGCATCCTGCTCTATTGCCCAAGCTGGAGTGTAGTGGTGCTATCATAGCTAACTGCAGCCTCCACTTCCTCCCAGTTTAAGCGATCCTTCCACCTCAGTCTCCTTGAGTAGCTGGGACTACATGCCTGGCTAATTTTTAATTTCTTGTTCAGACAGGGTCCCACTGTGTTGCCCGGACTAGTTTCAAGATCCTGGGCTTAAGCAGTCTTCCTGCTGTGGCCTCCCAAAGTACTGGGATTATAGGCATGAGCCATCCCTGCCTGGCCTATTTTTTTTTTTTTAAGTCTGTTTTGGTAAGAGATAGAGGAATACTATTCTAATGGATATTCCTTTCAAGGGCTTTGTATGTATTTTATAGGAGTATAAGTTCTGCCCTTGAAGGTGTTTCTGGAGGAGCTGAGATTTTAGGGTCTAATTACTTTTTGTCTACCTGATGACTTTAACTTCATTCAGGGAGAGAGTTTAAGGGGAAAAGATAGTCATAGTCATCATCTCTCTTGGTGTTTCCAAACCTGATGAGCATTAACATTTTCTGGGAAGCTTTAAAAAGGTATGGGTTCTTGGGTTTCACTGTATAGGCTGTCTTTGGTGGATCTGAGATGGGTTGTGGAGCTCTATCTATATTTTGAATCCCTGCCCCCATGGGATCTGATGACCAACCTGTTTGAAAACCATTGCCTCATCCTTGCAAATATCACAGTTGGCTGAGTATTGGTGAGTGGGGTTGATTTCTGGCCTGAGGTTTAGAGCCAACTCCAAGGGGCAAGGTTAACAACGTTCCATAAAGAGTCAGGAAATTGACCTGTAGTCCTGTCCACAAATAAGCCTTCTGAATAGACACGGTTTTTCCCTCAAGAAAAAGAAAAAAATAAAACAAAGCAAAAACCTCTGCCTGAGAACCATTTAAACCATTTGACAAATATTTGGTTAAAACCCCCACCTCTGTCAAAAAGGCAACAGTACTGTTTATTATCCAGGCTGGAGTACTTCTGCGAATGAAATGGGGTGGTCTTGATAGTTAAGCTGTTTTGGGCAAATCAGGGCATTTGGTAATCCTAGTCATAAAGTATTTCTACATATAATCATGCTTTCCATAACTTTTAAACTGAGCCAGTGGTCACAAACTCATTTGTATCAAGGGGCTAGGAGGCAACACAAGAGTTTTTAAATTTTTTTTTAATTTTTTGGAGATGGAATCTCGCTCTGTTGCCCAGGCTGGAGTGCAGTGGGGTGATCTTGGCTCATTGCAACCTCTGCCTCCCCGGTTCAAGTGATTCTCCTGCCTCAGCCTCCTGAGTAGCTGGGATTACAGGCACCTGCCACCACCTGGCTAATTTTTTGTATTTTTAGTAGAGACGGGGTTTTGCCATGTTGGCCAGGCTGGTCTTGAACTCCTGACCTCTAGTGATCCACCCACCCTGGCCTCCCAGAGAGCTGGGATTACAGGTGTGAGCCACCATGCCTGGCCTAAAATTTGTTTTTTTAAAAAGAAAATTTACTAAAAAGGACTAATATGCTCATACTTACTCATTTTTGTTAAATTCTGTATGTTATATATGTAAAAGAACATTTTAAAAAATGCAACTTTTAAGAACTTGGCATTGGGTTTATGTTGCCTAGAATTGAAGCATATGGCCTGTTTGCAGCAGGAAGTTGCCTGGTAAATAATATTTTTCCTCATCGCTGAATCCCAGTGGGTCCCCAGTGGGATCTCTGCTATCTTTTCTTTCTTTGCCCACCAAAACTGTTTCTTTGCCTATGAGAATTAAATAAGAATGTTGCTTGGCTTGTTTGAGAATCACATTTTCTTGCTGCATCCATTTCTGCTTTAGTAATTTTACAGAAGGCAAATTATAATCCCTAGTCCAAACCATTTCTAGCACAGGGACAACGTTTTGCTCCCCTGAGTAATCACAGTAAACTCTGACTCAGCCCAGTGTGTAGCATGCAGAGCTCAGCGTGTTGGTTGAATCAACAAATGATGTGGACCAGACCTCCAAAATGATTTCCCCTAAAAACTGGCACCCTTTAAGGCAGTAGAGAGGAAAAGCGTTAGAGTTGGGGTTTGAATTGCCTCACCCAGTAAGCTCTGCTCAATTATTTTTTCCCCATACTGTATTAGAAGAGTCAAGAAGGTAGTTATATTGTGGTATAAAGTATAATTATATGTGTGTATTAGAATGGGAAAAAATGGCTAGAAACTTATATACCATAATAAATGAGTTTTGAGTAGGTGAGATAGTCAGAAAATTAATAGCTGCAAGAATGATCATAAATGGTAACAGGTACTGGGTTTCTGTGGCTGGGGCAGTAGAGCATGGTAGAGCCTGTGGCTAAATGGAGAGCATGTGTCTCATATAGAGGATCAGAGGCTCCTCATTTGGTGCTGATTGTTGCCATATGGGAATCTAGGCCCAGAATTGCCAGATTTTCTGATTTTTCTAAAGAAGCTGCGAATCTAGGGGTTTGAGTGATTTTGTTGATATATAAATATTGGCATGTAATTTAAATGTAAGAAAAAAAACAAGACTGTTGGCTGGGTCCATTTCACAGGCCTCTAGCTTTCAATCTTGAGCCAGAGAGTTAAAGGAACCCCATCTAGCTGTCAGTAGAACATGTGATTTTTAAGTAGGACTGCCTTCTGAAAGACCTGCTAGGGAAAGCCAGCCACAGAATGGCTGACCTAGAGGCCCAAAACGGGTGACCCCTTGAATGGGTTTGCTTCTTTGAGCGTCGGTTAGAGTATCTGTCAAATGCAGTCACCTTAATCTCAGCAGAGCTAAGGCTCAGTGGTTGTTTCTTGGCAGTTGACTGGGCAGTCAATGTCAGATGCTATGTTTCAATTTCTTTGTTGGTCTCCTAGTCTGTGTTTACATCTACAGCCTCATCCTCTTCCTCTCCCTTCGCTTGCTAAATTTCTTTCTTTTCTTTTCTTTTTTTTTTTTGAGACTTGGCATGCTCTTTCCTTTTGCTTTTTTCCTTTTGTGGCTTTGCACAGTTTTAAGCAGCACCTCCTCCAGGGAGTGTTCCGTGATTCCACCTTTAGGCCCCTACTACCTTGTTGGTTCTAGCACAACACTCATCAGCTGTTGTACATGCTTGTCTCCCCCCAGGAGACTGTGAGCTTCTTGATGGCAGGCACCACCCTTTTCACAGCTGAGTTCCAGTGCCTTGTGTGGTTCCTGGAATCTACAAACAATAGCTCACATTTCTGGAGCCCTGACAGTGGGGGCTCTGCCTGAATTGCCTAATGTAATCCTCGCAACAGCCTTCTGATGTCAAAGCTGTTCTTTTCATCCTTGGTGCATCCTTGTTTACACAGAGGTGAAATACCCTGCCCAAGGACACTTAGCTCACAAGCCAGGCAGGACTTGAACCCTGGCCATCTGACTCCAGAAACCACATCTTAATGAACAAGTTACACTGTCTTTCAGAATGTACATAAGGATGTCTGATAAGTGAATGAACAGAGAGAGAAAGAAGGAACAGGGGAGGGATGAAGTAGAAACATGCCATTATCACTGAGGAGGAGGGTTATCTTTTTATTTGTCATGGGTATGCATCCAGTTCTGTATGATAGTAGTGTCATTTAGGTATGTAGTTATTTAAATGTAAGTTGAAGAAAGTGGGAGAGCTACATCATCATCCGATTTTATTTACACCAGTTAGAAGTGCAGTTAAACTTCAAACACCTTCTTATGTGCTCAGGACTGGCAGCAGTGGACAGGTCTTAAAGATGCATTATGAACTTGGAGTGGAGAACATGTTGGCCTCTAAGCAAGCAGTGTCTGCCTGGGGTGCTGGTGGGGACGAAGAGTGAGGGACACAAGAATGAATTGAGCAGAAAATGATAGATTGTTCATTAGTGGAAATTGTTGTGCCTAAACCCGTTTACTGTTTTATTTTATTTTATTTTATTTTTAGACATTCTTACTCTGTTGCCCAGGCTGGAGTGCAGTGGTGTGATCTCGGCTCACTGCAACCTCCACCTCCTGGGTTCAAGCAATTCTCCTGTCTCAGCCCCCTGAGTAATTGGGATTACAGGCAGTGTGCATCACCACAGCTGGCTAATTTTTGTATTTTTAGTAGAGATAGGGTTTCACCATGTTGGCCAGGCTGGTCTTGAACTCCTCAGCTCATGTGATCTGCCTGCCATCTGACCTCCCAAAAGTGCTTGGCCTCTCAAAGTGCTGGGATTACAGGCATGAGCTACTGTGCCTGTCCCCATTTATTCTTATGCAGCAAGAGTTGTGTGATCTAGTTGTATGGTCTCTGGGGAAAAAGGCTGGCAATGGCACGTTCATTGAACTAATGGGAGTGAGTATATAATTTTTTTTTTTCTTGTTCTGAGACAAGTCTCACTCTATCACCCAGGCTGGAGTTCAGTGGCACAGTCTCAGCTCACTGCAGCCTCTACCTCCTGGGTACAAGCTATCCTCCCACCTCAGCCTCCTGAGTAGCTGGGACTACAGGCGTGTGCCACCACACCTGGCAAATTTTTTTTGTATTTTGTAGAGACAGGGTTACGCCATGTTGCCCAGGTTGGTCTCGAACTCCTGAGCTCAAGGCGAGCCACTTACCTTGGTCTCCCACAGTGCTGGGATTACAGGCGTAAGCCACCATGCCTGGCCCAGAAGTTTTTTTTTTTTTTTTTTTTTTTTTTTTAGGAAACTGAAGCTGACTCTATTATGAGCTGGTTCTGATGGAACTTGATGGTCAGGAGGAAATTAGAGCAGATAGTGTGGCCTAGTTGGTTAAGTGGGTGGACTCTGGAGCCTGCTGTGGCCTGCCGCTCACCAGCTGTGCAACCTCAGGCAAACTGCTTAACCCCTGTTCCTCCATTTCCTCATCTGTAATGATGCAGATAACATTGCCTGTCTGGTAGCATCACGTGAATATTGGTGAGTTAACCCTTGCTAAAGACTTTGTCATGCTTGGTACCTAAACGCTCATTAACTGATGGCTGTCATTTTGATTATGATTGTGATAAATAGTGTTTGGCAAGGATTGGAATCCACCATTCAAGACAGGAACTATCCAGTGTTGGAGGCACAGGCCTTCTCTCCTGTAACCCTTGTCACTTCTGTGTTATGGTTTGTAAATTTTATAATGGGTGGGGT
Source organism: Homo sapiens (assembly GCF_000001405.40). Taxonomy (NCBI): domain Eukaryota; kingdom Metazoa; phylum Chordata; class Mammalia; order Primates; family Hominidae; genus Homo; species Homo sapiens. The sequence goes on along the minus strand of NC_000010.11, from coordinate 95,276,441 downwards.
TACTGGGCCCCAGATCAGTACAGGGCAGGGGAGTGACTGTCCTGTGGTAGGGAGGCACTCAGCCAGCATCAGGACTTTGTGACACTCCAGGTCCTATGTAGAAGGCCACTGCAGATGAGTCTCCTGGATTTTTTTTTTTTGGCTTTGACAGTTGAGTTTGGAGCCTCTGCTTGTGGCATTGTGCTAAAGCAAAAAGGAATGGAATTTGCAATGAGAGAGCCTTTCAAGTTCAGGCTCAGCCTTTAGCTGTGTGAACTTGAACCACTCACAATTTTTCTGAATCTCAATTTCCTCATCTGTAAAGTTTATCTAATATGTTGGTGGTGAGGTAATCATATTATTATCTCAAATAGGAGATTGTATATGAAAGGGCTTTGGAAAGGCAAATCCCATTATTTGTTTAAATCAATTTTTTCCCCTAAAAAAGATAGCTCATAAAAGAATGTGAACTTAATCTGTATGTGTAATTTCTTTCAAGTCCTATCTGATGTTGCTTGTGACTTTCTGAGATTTCCTTTGGCTTCTTACCAGTTTGGCTTTAAAAAAAAAACAAAGAAATTATACTGAAAGATAGGATGACCAGACCTCAATTACTCAGGCTTGGGGCGCCTAAGACTGGTTCTAGCTTGTCCAGGACCTGTTGGGATATACTTAGCAGAAATGTCTCTCCCACAAAACAGTTGGAACCAAATGCTGGACATTCTGGACTTCTCAGCAGTTCACCGTAAAAAAGTGAAAGGAAACTTCTTTTTCATCTTCTCAACCTCTCCAGTTCCAATCTCATTTGAGTTTTGTGAGTGGTCATGCTTCAGGATAGCAGTGTAGAGGGAAATGATTATTTCATTTTTGAAATAAAAATATTTTTGATGTTTTTGAAATAATTCATTTTAAAGGATAAAATGAAGCAGGCTGATTACATATTTAACAACACTAGGTGTTTTAGAGCCAATCATTTATTATACAGATATTTATTGAGCACCTACTATGTTCCAGTTATTGGGTGTTGAGGATACTGTAACTGCCCAGTGGATTCTTGCCCATTGCCCAGATAGAGCTGATTTATCAAGACAGGGGATTTGCAATACAGAAAGTTTAATACACGTAGAGCTGGCTAAATGGAAGACTAGAGTTTTATTATTACTCAAATCAGCCTCCATGAAAGTTGAAGGCTAGGGGTTTTCAAAGATAGTTCGGCAGGCAGGGGGCTAGGGAAGGTGAATGCTGATTGGTTGGGCATGCCATCACAGGGGTGTGGAAAACAGTGTGTTGAGTTCGCATCTTGGTCGGGGGGCATCCAGTAGGTAGTCAGAAATGCAAAAGCCTGAAAGGACATCGCAAAAGGCCAATCTTAGGTTCTACAATAGGGGTGTTATTTACAGGAGTAACTGGGGAAGTTGCAAATATTGTGAGCTCTGGAATAATGGCTGGTAATCATTTAACTATGCCTACATCTTAGCAGAATTCAGGCCCCTCTCATCCTCCTAACCTGGTGGTCTTTCGTTAGTTTTTCAGACAGTTTAGTTTTGGAAAGTGCTACCATCATTTAAACTATACACTAAAATTTCTCCGGAAGTTAGCTTTGCTGATGCCCAGGAATGACCAAAGACAGTTTGGAGGTTAAAGGCAAGATGAAATTGGTTAGGCCAGATCTTTAACTGTCATAATTTTCTCACTGTTAAAATTTTTGCAATATCACAGCACAGAAGGCAGACAAAATCCTGCCCTCATGCACCTTACTGCTGAGTAGGCCTTTCAACATTAAACAAACTAACCCACCAAGGAGGTTTGCAAACATAAAGTGACCAGTGCCGTGAAGAAGAACCAAGTGTATTAAAAGGATGACTGAGCTGGGCATGGTGGCTCACGCCTGTAATCCCAGCACTTTGGGAGGCCGAGGTGGGTGGATCACCTGAGGTCAGGAGTTCGAGACCAGCCTGGCCAACATGGTGAAAAAACCCCATCTCTTCTAAAAATACAAAAAATTAGCTGGGCATGGTGGTGCAGCCTGTAATCCCAGCTACTCAGGAGGCTGAGACAGGAGAATCGCTTGAACCCGGGAGGTGGAGGTTGCAGTGAGCCGAGACTGCGCCACTGTACACCAACCTGGTCAACAAGAGCGAAACTCCGTCTCAAAAAAAAAAAAAAAAAGGATGACTGTGGGGGTATAGCTTAGATTGGAGGTGAAGGAAGGCCTCTTTGAGAAGAAGGGTTGTTTACACAGACACTTGGAAGATGAGAAGTTAATCAGGCAGAGGTAAAGGCAGGTGTGAAAGTCCTGAGGCCCTGTAGCTGGAGCCCAGTGGGGAAGAGGCATGATGTGGGTGGGGAGGGAGGCACTGGCTTTAGCGGCCTTGTTAAAGATTTTGGATTTCATCCTAAGGGGACTGCTCTTTGAAACTGCTAGATTTAGCTATGATAAATGAGTTCCATAAGGCATTATTCTCCTTGATTCAGGCTGCTCTCCTTGGAGTTAGAGTTTGTCAGTCAAGAACGCTTGCCAATCCCAAATAAAATGATGCTTAGAGCCGTTTAAAAACTGAGCCTGCGTTGTCCTTTAGTAACAGTGAAGTGTGTATGAAGATGCACCAGATCAGTCTTCTCAGGACAACAGGTCAGAAAACGGAGGAATTTTTTTTTATTGCATGCACTGGATGACTCAGAAGCTAACTCTCATTGTTGACTGAAATGAGAGCGGCCTGTGCTTGCCTGGATAAAAAGTCCTGTCCCAGTGGCTGGATGAGGGGACGATCTGAACCTTGAATCAGGAGGCTGCTTTCGTTTCCTAAAACCCAGATCTCTGGTAAACAAATGATGGGAGAGCCAGAAAGGAAGGTTAGGAGGTCAGGATCTCGGTACTGGTTTCCACATCCTGCCACATTCCAGGAGAGTTTTGCCTGATAAAGTCATAGCATGTGCGGGCCAGAAGGGACCTCAAGGATCAACTTGTCCTCATTTTTTGGGGTCAGGGTGCTGATGGGGAATGCACCATAATAGCGGCACCACACTAGCTGCGCTGAGGGCTAATCGGAAACTGTAGCTGCTGAAAACTGCATCAGATACTGAGGTTTAGGACCCAACTTGTGTGTCCTGGTTTGGTGCCTTGAAGAACCTGTTACCTGTGGTTCAGCCATAAGGAGACACCCAGGTGTTCATAAGATCTTCCTCAACTGGATCCCGAGAGTCAAGGGCCTTCTCCAAAGGGTGGCCAGAGCCCTGTGGGCACTGGGAGCCTGGGGGTGTTACTGCCACCTTGATCCTGCGGACTTGGAATTCCCATCCAGGAAGGTCTTGTAATGTGGAAAAAAAAAGTTGTGAACTTACCCTGGGATGATGACAGTAATATTTTTAGTATACCTTAGTTTAGAAAATCTAACCAGATACCTTGGTTAGAGATAGTACTCTGAGGTGAGTACTATTTCAAAATGAGTTTGGATCTTGTTCATTCTAATAGCATCTGTATTCACTTGAAAAATGGTTGTACATCAGTGTAGGAGATGTGATATGTATTGAGTCCGCATGTATTGCTCTGTAGGCAGGTGAATTTAAGGACCTATTGCAGTAATTGATTGGCTTCCCCCAAGCATCAATGATCTGTCAATTTGGAACCACTGGTTTTAGAAGCATCAGTCTGCAGAAAACCAGCCGTCTATAGGGAATGACCCTAGTCATTTTGGGAGATTAAACCAGTATAAACCTATACTACCATACTTTAGGATATCCTTGATTGCTTTTAACAATTTTTTTTTAAATTTTTATTTTATTATTATTATTATTTTTTGAGACGAAATCTCACTCTGTTGCCCAGGCTGGAGTACAGAGGCATGATCTTGGCTCACTGCAACCTCCACCTTCTGGGTTCAAGTGATCCTCCTGCCTCAGCCTCCTGAATAGCTGAGATCACACCCGGCTAATTTTTTTGTATTTTTGTTAGAGACAGGGTTTCACCATGCTGGCCAGGCTGGTCTCAAACTCGTGGCCTCAGGTGATCCGCCTGCCTTGGCCTCCCAAAGTGCTGGGATTACAGGCATGAGCCACCATGCCTGGTCAACAATTTTTTAAATTAAAAAGTAATTCAATATTATTGTAAAAAACATTGCAAAACTGTATAACTGTGAACAATTTAGTGTGCAGTGTTTCCACTTTCTTTTGTATATATAACATTATTAAGATTTTTAAAGAAATAGGGTATTATAGTATATAATGTTCTCTAAATGTGTGTGTGTGTGTTTTTTTAAATGTAATTGTTAACTAATTTTAAGGAAGCAAACGTGGTTCAGTGGGAAGGACATCAGATCTGTTCGGGGTTTGTTTCCTGGCTCAGTAATACACTAGTTGGAGGACCAGTAATATAATAATATACTAGTTGGGTGATCCTGGGTAAGTCATAGGTCTTTCTAAGCCTCAGATCCTGGTCTTGGAAATGGGGACTGCTATTTGTCCTCCTTTCTCATAAGGTTGCTATAGGGATACAATGAGATCATATTAGAAAAGCCCTCTTTGTCAATGATAATATAAATGATTGTTATTATTTAAGCTATGATTTCAGCCCTCTTTTCTTTTTCAGGGCTTTGCTCCATATCAGTGAATACTTAACTTGGTGGTAACTTAGTGGTTTGGAGACAAATAGTAACTAGCCTGCTTTCCCCTTTTTTTCTAGGTCACTCCTGGAAGCAAGGCGGCTCTAGCTAATTTATGTATTGGAGATGTAATCACAGCCATTGATGGGGAAAATACTAGCAATATGACACACTTGGAAGCTCAGAACAGAATCAAAGGCTGCACAGACAACTTGACTCTCACTGTAGCCAGGTGAAGCCTATGGAAACGTTTTGTTCATTTCTGATTGACTAGAAGCTGTTTGTGGGCAGGGACTGCCTTCCCTATCTCAGAATCCCCCAGACCTCCTAGCTCAGTGCCATGTATATACTATAGGCATGCCAAAAGGTCTGTGGAATTTGAACTTCAGATTGCTTATTTCCCCTCTATTTTTTTTTTTTTTTTTTTTGAGACGGAGTCTCACTCTGTTGCCCAGGCTGGAGTGCAGTGGTGCAATCTCAGCTCACTGCAACCTCTGCCTCCCGGGTTCAAGTGACTCTCCTGCCTTAGCCTCCTGAGTAGCTGGGATTACAGATGTGCACCACCACACCCAGCAAATTTTTGTATTTTTAGTAGAGATGGGGTTTCACCATGTTGGCCAGGCTGGCCTCGAACTCCTGACCTCAGGTGATCCACCTGCCTTGGCCTCCCAAAGTGCTAGGATTACAGGTGTGAGCCACCGTGCCCAGCCCCCCTCTGATTTTCACGGTGCTTATGATGTGGGCTTCTTTCAGTAAGATACTTGCATTTTCACTTGATCCAACTCAACCAAAATTTTGAGTAAGTAAAATGTCCTGGCCAGGTGCGGTGGCTCTCTTTGTAATCCCAGCACTTTGGGAGGCCGAGGCAGACAAATCACTTGAGGTCTGGAGTTTGAGACCAGCCTGGCCAACATGGTGAAACCCTATCTCCACTAAAAATTAAAAAATTAGCCAGGTGTGGTAGCGTGCACCTGTAGTTCCAGCTACTCGGGAGGCCGAGGCAGGAGAATCACTTGAACCCAGGAGGCAGAGTTTGCAGTGAGCTGAGATGGCGTCACTGCACTCCAGCCTGGGCGACAGAGCGAAACTCCATCTCAAAAAAAAAAATGTCCTTAGGATGCTGCTGCTACTGCATTGTGCTGAGCAGTGGGTACCATGCCAGGAGATTGCAATAACAGAGAAAAACTTGAACACATTAGCAGCAGAGTACTGAGTGTAACTTTAGGTACATGACAAGCAAGGAGCGCTGGGGATAAAAGAATGAATGAGGGTAGCACCTTGGGAGCTGTAATTAGGGTAGAATTTCCATTCTTCTTTCATTTAGCCTTGGAAGGGGTCCCGCAAAGGCAGGATTTCGGAAGTGATTTGGTTCAACCCTCAGTTGGCTCCCTGTTTCCTACTGCATCAAATTCAGATGTTTCATTCTGATCACCTGTTATCTCACTAACCTTAGCTGCCACAGCTCTTTGTCATGGAGCCTTTGGTTAGATTCTCATCTGTGAAGTATGTTTTTTGCTTTTTTTTTTTTGCTTTGTGGCACAGGACTGGCAGGTGGATCGAGTGTGGGGGAGTATATAAAAATATTTTGTACACTTCAGAGACCTACCCCATGAGAGGTACACTGTGTTATTACTACCCCCTCAAAAGCACATCTGCCCTTCATTCTCATCTCCATTTCTATCTTTGTCCAAATCCTCTCCTTCAAGCCCGAGTTCAGGACATTCATTCATTCATTGATTAATTGATTTTTTATTTGTTTACCGGCATGTTGAAAAGGGACATCTTGTATATCTGGCATAGACATTGTGACAAATATAAAGTTAAGTATGGCCAGGTATGGTGGCTCTAGTCTGTAATCCCAGCACTTTGGGAGGCCGAGGTGGGTAGATCACCTGAGGTTAGGAGTTCAAGACCAGCCTGGCCAACATGATGAAACCCTGTTTCTACAAAAACACAAAAAAATTAGCTAGGGATGATGGCAGGTGCCTGTAATCTCAGCTACTCGGGAGACTGGGCTGGGAGAATCGCTTGAGCCTGGGAAGCGGAGGTTGCAGTGAGCCAAGATCACGCCATTCATTGCACTCCAGCCTGGGCGACAGAGCGAGACTCTGTCTCAAAAAATAAATAAATAAAATAAATAAAGATAAGTATAAATATTTTCTACCTGCAAGAGAGGAAACAACGACACTAATGAAAACTGAGACTAAAGTAAAATCATTGCTCTGTGGTTGGTACAAAGAAAATAGTTTATAAGAGCAAAAGAGGGGCGTTCTTCTCTTTTTTTTTTTTTTTTGGGATGGAGTCTCACTCTGTCACCCAGGCTGAAGTGCAGTGGTGCTATCTCAGCTCACTGCAACCTCTGCCTCCTGGGTTTAAGCAAGTCTCCTGCCTCAGCCTCCCGAGTAGCTGGGATTATAGGCGTATGCCACCACACCCGGCTAATTTTTGTATTTTTAGTGGAGATGGGGTTTCACCATGTTGGCCAGGCTGATGTCAAACTCCAGACCTCAAGTGATTTCCCCACCTCAGCCTCCCAAAGTGCTGGGATTACAGGCGTGAGCCACCACGCCCGGCCAAGAGGCATTATTTTCATTTGGGTCAAACAGGCTTCACAAATAAGTTGGTTATTTGGTCTGGACCAAACACACTGGGTTGAGATAGAGGAGAAGCCCATTCTATCCTGAGCAGAGATAGGGCAGTGTGAGTCATGCTTAGGAACATGGAGGAGACCACACTGCTGGTGTCAGCTACCCAGAGTGTGGTGAGGGAGGATGAAGTGCTTGGGAAGCCCCTTGGGGCTATGCTGGGGAGCCATCAGCCATGGATGTTATCAGATTGGGGTGTTTAAAAGATCAACCTGGTGGCAAATGGAAGGTAGAGCTGATGGGAGGGTGCTAGTTCAGTGCCTAGTCCAGGAAAGAGGGGGCATTTTTCCAGTTTGTCTTTGGTATATATTATTTATTTTACATGAGTGAAACAGCAGCTTTGTTAATCTGTTGCAGATCTGAACATAAAGTCTGGTCTCCTCTGGTGACGGAGGAAGGGAAGCGTCATCCATACAAGATGAATTTAGCCTCTGAACCCCAGGTAAGTTCTTGCTCATCGTTGCCGCTGCTCTCACCACCCAGCACTTTGCCGTTTCTGACACTGCTCAGCACATTCCTGTTTTTCCTGCCCTGGAGGCCTGGGGATAAGACCCTTCACTGTCTCTGCTGGTATCTGGCTCTTGTTCAGTTCTTCCCGTAAGGGAACTGCAGGAGGATAGGGCTGGAAAACCCCAGGGCAGTGACGCTGTGTCCTGGGCTGGAAGCAGGGGGTCGGAAGGCGATAAGGGAAGCCGGTGGAAGCCTTCCTGCGTGGGAAGGGTTGGCAGGATCACAGTGAAGTCAAGGAGCTATTCAGCTCGTTATGGATTTCAGCAACAAATGAATCATGACAGGGATGAAAATAAGTTTAGGTCTGGAGGCCTAGAGCCTAGAAGAAATCGGGGAATATGTAATAGGAAGCCCTGCTTCTCCCCACTGTATGCCCCTGTCTGGTTTCCATGAGCCATGGAGTGGAAATCTCTATTTTTGTTACAGTGAAACTTCTAGTGAGACTTTAAAATTACTAAAATAAAGCAGCAATTAATATAAAAAAAAGCAGTACATAGTGTACAATTTGTCACCCAGATAGAATTTCTCAGGACAGTAGACTGCCCTAAGATCCCATATTTGTGAATAAATCTCTCAGTAGTTGGATTATTGGATTGTAGGTGATTTTATTTCTTTCTGCCTTATGTGCCTCTTCTAAATAATCTACAAGGCATGGGTATTGTTTTTGAAATAAGGGACAAACTTAGAGATGTTTAGAACATCTTTTGTAAAATTCCTCACACCCAACATGCTACTTGTCTCAAAGTATGTGTCTGTTGGATACATTAATGAATTAGTAATGATAAACTAGGTATGTTGATAATGCCTTTTGAAAATTTTACACTGGTTTGTGATGGTTATGCATTTGACCCAAGTTGAAGATTTGAAATTTAACTTATTTTTCTAAATTTGGGATACTATTTAGTTTTTATGGTGAATTAAGATGTAATTAAAATACAATATATAGCTAGCTATCTTTTATACATAAAACAGAAACTTGTATGAAGTTGAACTCACTTGGTATATTAGTGTGTGTTAATTGGGTGGTTGGATATAAGTCATATTTTCTCAAATAGAATCCATTAAAATTTCAAAAACGAAGTCACATAAAATTTTTGCCATTAAGATAGTAAAAATAATTATTAAAAATCCCAAGAGTCATTTTAAGGATCATTTTGCATCATTTCAAAACTGATGTGAACATATTCTTCTATACAACTCCTCTCAGGAAAGTTCGTAAAATGGCACTTGGTCTATACACTGGCAGTTGTGCAAACTAATTTAAAACATGCCACAGTTAGTTTCAGTTTCCTTGGGAGTTCTCAGCTACTTCATTAAATTTACCATAAATGTTAAATTTTAATTGTTAAATTTTAATTTTTACATATTTTATAACACACAAGGAATGATTTCGTTTTAACTTGGTCTATCTGAAATCCTCATTTTCATGTAAATAAGGTAATTATGTAAATTTCAGTTATAGTTTTCATTTGTAGTATATTTGAATTTTCATTTTAAATCTGTAGTTACCTGTATTAATCTTTTGAAGGTAGTTCTCTTCAGATTACAAAAATTCTCAAATACTTTAAACCCTTGTATTTTTCTTGTGATTCTAGTAATGCTTTATTACTGTAAGAAAAACTTCTCACCCATCATTTTTCCAGTCTTTTACTTCCAGCCATTCTAAAGTAGAGGATAAATGAGTAAGAGCAGAGTTCATCTATAATAAAAAGATCTGTTGGTTCATGTAATGCCAACCAACACCCCAGCTTATCTGAGGTCAGCATAGTTACACACCTAGTTTGTACTTCCTCATTATTGAGTTTCCTTGGAGACTGATAAATACAAAGCCCAAACAATTACATCATCCCTTCTAAAAGGCAAGCCCTGAATCTGCCTGCTTTCTGGAAAGACCAGTCAGTATTCAGATGAGGGTAGAGATATTCCTTTTATGTACAAACCAGATGCATTCTTGAAAGATTCTTTAGAAAGTGAAATCATCCGAATTTTCAACCTGAATTTTCCATTGACTTCCATTCTAATTGGAAATGTGTTTCGGTGGAGGGAGAAGGGAACAGACCCTGGTTGAATATGTGCCACGAGCCAGGCACTGTACTTGACACTCTAGTAACTCACACAAATCCTTGTAAAGAAGGCTTTATCTTCTTCATTTTAAAGATGAAAAATGGGCTTAGAGGGGTATTCCTTGCCAAACAGGAAATTGCAGGGAAAAATTGAGCCAAGGCGGAAAAATAAAGACCCTTCCTTGGGGCTCTGCATCCTCTGCTGCTCCTAGGAATTGCCATGGTGATGGAGAGAAGAAGAAAGAATGACCATCCTGGCTGCGGCACATGTAGGCAAGGGTACCAGGCCACCCATCTGTAAATCTCTGTCTTCATGACCATAGCCTTTAATTACTATATATTATTTATTTGGGTAGCTGTGCCATAAAATTTACTTAACTACTCTTTGATAACTGCTGAAGTTTTGTGTTGTTTTTTATTTTTTGTTATTTATTTTTATTTTTTATTTGTGAGATGGAGTCTTGCTCTGTCACCCAGGCTGGAGTGCAATGGTGCAGTCTTGGCTCACTGCAACCTCTGCCTCCTGAGTTCAAGTGATTTTCTTGCCTCAGCCTCTGAGTAGCTGGGATTACAGGCAGGTGCCACCACGCCTAGCTAATTTTTATATTTTAGTAGAAACGAGGTTTCACCATGTTGGCCAGGCTGGTCTTGAATTCCTGAACTCAGGTGATCCTCTTGCGTTGGCTTTCCAAAGTGCTGCGATTACAGGAATGAGCCACCGTGCCTGGCCTGTTTTGTTTTTTTAGGGATGAGAGTCTAGCTCTGTCACCCAGGCTGATGTGCAGTGGCACGATATGGCACACTGCATCCTCCATCTCATGGGCTTACATGATCCTCCTGCCTCAGCCCTCTCAAGTAGCTGGGACTACAGGCTACTTGACTGTCTAACTTTTTTTTACGGATGGGGTCTTACTATGTTGCCCAGGCTGGTTTCGAACTCCTAGGCTCAAGCAATCCTCCTGATTTGGACTCCCAAAGTGTTGGGATTACAGGCGTGAGCCACTGCACCCAGCCAAAAGAGAAATCTTTTTTTTTTTTTTTTTTTTTTTTTTTGACAGAGTTCCACTCTCGTTGCCCAGGCTGGGGTGCAATGGTACAATCTCGGCTCACCGCAACCTCTGCCTCCTGGGTTCAAGAGATTCTCCTGCCTCAGCCTCCCGAGTAGCTGGGATTACAGGCATGCGCCACCATGTCTGGCTAATTTTTGTATTTTTAGTAGAGATGAGGTTTCTCCATGTTGGTCAGGCTGGTCTTGAACTCCGGACCTCAGGTGATCCGCCCGCCTCGGCCTCCCAAAGTGCTGGGATTACAGGCGTGAGCCACCACGCTCGGCCCAAAAGAGAAGTCTTAAACATAAAAATATTTTCAGGTTGTTTTCTTTTATTTTAAATTAGGTACTCAATAAAGCTTTTAGTTTTCATGATTTTTTTTTTTTAAGAAAGCATAAAAGACTTGAATATTTAACAAAAAAGGAGAGAAAAAAGGAAGTGCAACAGATGACAGGAACTCTTTTGGAGGCAGCTGTTCTGGGCCTGGGTGTTTTAAGAAAGAGACTAGAGTTCAGGAAGATTTTTCTGGAAAACACAGACACTAAGACACATTTTGAGTTCAGCTGGCTGCACAGAGCATGCATCACCTAGAAGCCATGGGTTGTCCAGACACCCATATAGAAAGGACCTTGCTGATTGGGCTATCAGAAAAGCTGTGATGCTGGCAGGAGGGAAAGAAAAAGTAGAAAAGCTGTAGTTTTAGAAAACAGGAATGTTAATTTCCAAAGTGGCTTTGCGGGTTTGTAAAGGAGCTCTGAGATGTTGTAGCTGTAGTAATTATTCACCTGACTCTTAACAAGTCTAGGGTGGGGGTGGAGGGAACTTTCTCAAATTACAGAAAGAGGGGAATGAGAACACAAGGAACTCAAAAGTCCTTTTCTGCAGCTCTGCTGGGTACCGCCCCTGTAACAGGTATCCCCGACCTTCTATCTGATTAGCCTTGTCTTTCTCCCAGAAGAAACAATAGATCCTTAATTTCCTTTACCCTTGCTCTGCAGGAGACTGAGACCATCTCTGCCTAGTCAGCAGCTGCTTCCCCTGTGACACCACACCCTCTTACCTTGCTTGTCTAACTTGCTCACTTATGGAGAATTTATCTCCACCTTTTATCATCTCCTGCTTTTGCACTGACCAAAGTGACTGCATATTTCTCTTCACCTAGTGCTTTAATCTCTTTGGTATGTGCCCTGAAAGCGTGTTTTAGCTCTGACTTGAATCTTACAGCCCAAAGCATCAAGGGCTGTCCTGCCCGAGGGTGCCTTAGAGGGCAGGCTTTGCTGGGCCTCAAGGAAGAATCAGAAGGTAGAGATGATTCAGGGGGTGTGAACTCGCACAGGTGCCCATTGTGGGAAACTTCCCCAGTCATTGCCCGTGTGTCTCAGTGGGTGTGTCAGTGTCCCTCAGCTAAAGTTTGGGTTGAACTAGGGCCATCTTAGCAGCTGGAACACCTCTCCCTGGCGCTCAGCCTGCACTGCCCATCAAGGGGTTTGCATTGGATGCCCCCCTTGATTTCTCCTCTGATCCCTGCCTGCAGGAGGTCCTGCACATAGGAAGCGCCCACAACCGAAGTGCCATGCCCTTTACCGCCTCGCCTGCCTCCAGCACTACTGCCAGGGTCATCACAAACCAGTACAACAACCCAGCTGGCCTCTACTCTTCTGAAAATATCTCCAACTTCAACAATGCCCTGGAGTCAAAGACTGCTGCCAGCGGGGTGGAGGCGAACAGCAGACCGTAAGTAGCCCAGGAGTCCTCCTCTGAGCCGCTCCTGGGAGGGGCTTTTCACATCAGGACCAGGGCTGCCCAGGCAGGTGCAAGAGCCACTACTCCAGGGAGAAAAATGACTACATTAGCAGAACACTTCTGTGTTCATTTTCTTCATCTACACAAAGGGGACAATACCTCCTGCTTTATAGGGTGTCTGTAAAAGTAAGAATTAATACGTAAAATGCCCAGCATTGTGTTAAGCACAAACAAATCACTTAATCCTCCAGAACTGTTTTTATTTGTGTTTTGATTTCTGTGGTCATCATCTTCTAATTGAACATAGTCCTTCCTTGACAGGCCTGCTGCTTCCCGAGAAATTCTTCAGTATTATTAGTCGGGGAGTGTTTGAGGGAATCTAGAGTAGCCTGTGCTTATGTCCACCATCTGAACTAAGCAAGGGAGAAATACTTCATGCTGCATAGTTTTGGTGAAGCAGTGTTTGCTTTTTCCCTAGAGTGGACCAGAGGTCATGAAAGAAGAGAGGTCCCTGAGGATATAAATGCTTGTCCTAGGAATAGGTTCTGATCTGGGGACAGAGGCAGGCTTAACTGGGGGAGAGGTAGGGCTGCAGGTGGAAAGGGGAGAGGTGTCTGAGGAAGTGCCTTGCTGGGGACTGAGGAGGCATGTCCTCTTCTGTCACAGATCATCTGGCTGCAGCTGCCTTTGAGTCTTTTTTTTTTTTTTTTGAGACAAGCTTTCGCTCTGTCACCCAGGCTGGAGTACAGTGGTTTGATCACAGCTCACTGCAGCCTCGACCTCCTGGGTTCAAGTGATCCTCCCACCTCAGCCTCCTGAGTAGCTGGTACTACAGGTGTGTGCCACCACACTTGGCTAAGTTTTACTTTTTTTTGTAGAGATTGGGGTCTCACTGTGTTGCCCAGGCTGGTCTCGAACTCCTGGGCCCAAGTGATCCTCCCACCTCAGACTCCCAAATTTCCGGGATTACAGGCATGAGCCACCAAGCCCTTTGAGTCTTTATTGGAGTCTCCTGGATCTTGCCAGCAGAGGGGCCCAGTGTCTGCTCCATCTCAGGCTCTTTGAGGATGAATCCAGAAACACTGGGAATCCCAGCAAAGGAACTGGGTTTGAGGATGGGTTAAAGATGGGGCCAATTCTCTGTAGGTGTAAAGTGGGTGGACTAGGTTAGGAATTGCCCACTCAAATACCCAAAAGTGGCAGGCAGGATGAGGAACTGAGGCAGAGCTCTGAGTAAACAAGGGTGCTGGGTGGGGGTGGGGGTGGCAGCTGGAGCGTGCATTCCTGGTCCGGAGGGGACGCTGCTCCTTGGCTCCAGCCACGTGCCTCATGCAGGTCTCATTTCTGCTAATTATTTCCATTAAAACAGAAGTTGGAAAGCCTCTTTTTTTCGGAAATCTCCTGATTTTTAATTATTGGTGACATTTAAATTTTGTTGGAAAACACTGTGTGGTCCAAACTTGCCTTAGCTCTGAGAACCTTTCTCACTTGGAATCATCAATTTTTGTATTGCCTCTGAAGCCCGCTTTGCCATTCAGTTTCTCCCCAATTCACCTTTAACAAGAACCTGCTCAACTCTTAGGGTAATTAAATTGCAAACCAATGGCTTCAAATGCAGGTTGAGAGAGGTTAAGATACTAGAGGTTCCAAACTACTTAAATGTTTGGAAAGGGCTGTTGTAGCAACACCTCTCAAGGGCTCCTTGGGCATTCCTTGCATATAGTCACCCCTCCCCTCCCCAGAGAGAGACAGATGTCATTGGACACCCATGACATGTGCATCCCTGTTCCCTGTGCCTGACACTGAGAGGACACTAAGATTTCTTTCTTTCTTTTTTTTTTTTTTTGAGACGGAGTTTCACTCTTGTTGCCTAGGCTAGAGTGCAATGGAGTGATCTCTGCTCACCACAACCTCCGCCTCCCGGGTTCAAGCGATTCTTCTGCATCAGCCTCCCGAGTAGCTGGGATTACAGGCATGCGCCACCACGCCCGGATAATTTTGTGTTTTTAGTATAGATGGGGTTTCTCCATGTTGATCAGGCTGGTCTCAAACTCCCGACCTCAGGTGATCTGCCTGCCTCGGCCTCCCAAAGTGCTGGGCTTACAGACGTGAGCCACTGCGCCCAGCTGACACTAAGATTTCTTTTAACATTTCTTTGAGTCTGGTAGGGCAGACTTTTTTCTGTGTGACTTTGGCTTTAGAAGATGTTAAAGGTTACTGGCCATTTATCATAGTAACCAAGGCAGTCTCCACCAATGTTTCTTCTTCCCTCAAATTCTGGTTCTTGCAAGGGCTTACTGGCTTGAGATGATGATTCTCTTCCAGGCGACTGTGGGGACATTTGAGATACCTGAGAAACGGTGTCATACTGGTCCCCCTAGGCTTTCCACAGACACACCCTGAGAGGAAGCTTCCAAGCAGCTCAGGAGTGGTGGAAACACTGGGGGCCTGTGATCCCTGTTTTTAGCTGCTTTGGTGCTGGGGAGGCTGAGAACATGACCCTCTTTTACTGTCCCAGAGTGGAATATTCCATGATCTGGACTTAGTAACCCAGGAAATGACACATCCTTAATTGAAAGAGCTGCTATGCATTGGGAGAAATATGTGCCTGGGAAATATTTTTAGTATGGCCTTGGCTATTTTTCCTTCATTAATGTCTCTCTTCTCTCATGTTCCCTGCCTGCTCCCTCCTCTGAGTCTGAAACTACCAGGTGGCTGTTTAAGCCTTTCCTCTAGCCCCTGGCCCAGACTCTTTGGCTGCAGTAGTTGCCGAGTATCAAAATTTGTCTCTTTGCAGATTTTCTCAGCAGAGAGGGTCCTGTTTCTGTTCCACCCCGCACTCTTTGAGGCTGAACCCAGAAACAGTGGGAAAACCAACAGCCTAAGGCAGAGGAGCTGCCTAACTGGCCATGCTGCTTGTATGGGGGGATCTCAGCTTGCTGGTGTATTTCTAGTGCATTCCCACAAAGAAAGATTCTCCTGTGAGCCCAGCAGTCACCTGGTAACTTTGCTTGCTCAGTCAGCACAAGTCCCAAGTGCTCGCTCCCTCCCACTGTTTAGTCTGTGAAATTCGCTGAAGTTCCAGAATTGGCTCACTACATACTTTGCATCTGAGGTCATCACCCATTCTCTGGGGCTTGCCCTGGATTTCTTTGTCCTATGCACTTGAAAGTATTGTGGTGTGTCTGTTGCTATCTGTCTTGTAGGTCTTTACAGAGCTGTGTCCCAGTCAGATAAGAACAGAGATAGCCTTGCCAACTGGTAAGGCAGGTGAGGGGGTTTCTCTGCTGCCCTTCCTCCCAGTGCACACAGTGGAGGGGGAGGTCCTCAGTGGCCTTTTTCCTCTAGGTCAGTTCAGCATAATCATTTATTGAGTGCCTACTGTGTACCAGGTGGGCGAAGAAAATGTCAGTTCAGCAGAAAGCTAGCACCTTTCCTCTGTTCTCTTTTAATTGAGTTGAGGGGACCCTGGTCAAAATCAGAAAATTCAGAGCCCAGATTTCATTGTTTATATGATACTGCCTGATACTTCCTAAAGGCTTGGTAGATAGAGGGGCCTGAGCCTTGAATTCCAGCTCTGCCTCTTACTAGCTGTGTGACCTTGGGAAAACCATGTAACATCTCTGAAACTCAGTCTCCTGAGATCTAAGGTGGAAATAATACTAACTTCTTTACCACCAGGTTGTTGAGACAATGCAATGGGATGTGCACAGAGCACTCAGCACAGTGCCTGGCCCCTGGTAGGTGCTCACTAAATGCTAATTATTGCTAACTTTAGTTTCCATGAGGAACTCCATCCCCATCACTTCTGAGAACTGGGGGCTACAGAAGTGTGGAAGCACATAGACAAATGTAATGGAGAAGACTTTGCTGTGGCTTATGGTACACTTCTTTCTTGCCCATTAAATTCAGCCAGCCCACACAGCTAATCAGCTTACTGATGGGGTGGTGGTGTTCTCTTCAAGGAATGATTGGAGAGCTCCTGTAACCAACATACTAGGCCCTAGATAATAGCTCTTCCAAATTGTGTTGTAAGGTGTTGCCCCCAAACATTCATGAGGGAGATTTCTAAGCAGCTGCCCTGGAAATAAAGGGATGCATCATTTTCTATTCAAATATTATCACAAGGATGATGTTAACCCTGGCTTCTTCAGAGCTGAATCAGAAGTACACCTCTATCATGAAGGCTGCTTGCCCCTCTAGCTAAACCTGCCTGCCACCCACAGAAAACTGGCTCTGCTGTGCGGGCATTCCTCTCTCTTCTCCTGGTGCCCACAATTACCCCTCTGGTTTCTTATTGCAGGACCAATATGTGTGCCTTTGAAGACCAAAACTTAGGAAGCACACAGGCCAGGCTTCCCTTCTGAAAATGATTACATAGGGTTTCCCAGAATGGCGTTTTTGGGTGAACATTGGGGTAATCAGGCTGGGACATCTCATTTCTTGGGATATGAGATAGGAAAGATTTTTCTGGGTCCGCCTACCTCCTTTCCCCCACCTACATAAAAAACAAGTATTCCTCTACATTATTTCCAGCTAGCACTTAACTTCCACCATTTGGGGAAAATATTTCTTAAAATTAATTAAAATTTTTATTTTGAGATAATTGTAGATTCACTTGCAGTTATAGGAAATAATACAGAGATCCCCTATACCCTTTACCAATTTCCCTCAATGGTAACATCTTGAAAACACAATAGTAACAAAATTAGGATATTGACATCAATACACTCAAGATACTGAACATTTCCATCTCTGCAAGGGTTTCTCATGTCGCTCTTTTATAGCCACACTCGCTTCCCTCCTTTTCCCTCATCCTCCTTAACCCCTGGCAACTTACTTATCTACTCTTTATATTTTTATTATTTCAAAAATGTTATATTAATGGAATCATACAGTATGTAACCTGGGATTAGCTTTTCTACTCAGTATATTGTCTGGAGATTTATTTAGGTTTTTGTATCGATAGGTTTATGTATCAATAGTTTGTTCCTTTTTTTTCTGTTTTATGGGTTTGTCTTTTTTTATTGTGTTAAAAAACATGAAATTTATGATCTTAAACGTTTTTAAGTGTATTGTAATGTTTACTATGTGTACATTGTTGTGCAACACATCTCTAGAACTTTTTTATCCTGAAAAACTGAAATTCTGTACCCATTGAAAAACAACCTCACCTTAAAGTCCCCATCTCTCAAGCCCCTAGCAACCACTATAATACTTTCTAAGTTTGATTACTTTAGATATCTCATATAATTGGAGTCATGCATTTGTCTTTTTTCAATTACCATAATGTCCTCAAGGTTTTCCCATGTTGTAATATATGACAGAATTTCCTTCTTCTTTTCTTTTTTTTGAGACAGAGTCTCGCTCTGTCCCCCAGGCTGGAGTGCAGTGGCGCGATCTTGGCTTACTACAAACTCTGCCCCTCCAGGTTTAAGCAATTCTCTGCCTCAGCCTCCCGAGTAGCTGGGATTACAGGCGTGTGCCACCATGCCCGGCTAATTTTTTTGGTATTTTTTTAGTAGAGATGGGGCCTTCTTTTTTTAAGGCTGAATAATATCCCATTTTTTTTTCACATTTTCTTTATTCATGTTGATATGGTTTGTCTGTGTCCCCGCCGAGATCCCATCTTGAATTCCACGTGTTGTGGGAGGGACGAAGTGTGAGGTAATTGAATCATGGGGTCAAATCTTTCCCATGTTGTTCTCATGATAGTGATTAAGTCTCACAGGATCTGATGGTTTTAAAAAGAGGAGCTCCCTTCACCAGCTCTCTCTCTCTTTGCCTGCTCCATCCATGTAAGATGTGACTTGCTCCTCCTTCCACCATGATTGTGAGGCCACCCCAGCCATGTGGAACTGTAAGTCCAATTAAACCTCTTTCTCTGTAAATTGCCCAGTCTTGGCTATATCTTTATCTGCGGCATGAAAACACACGAATACACATGTTTTTATGGACGTTTAGGTTGCTTGCACCTCCTGGCTATTGTGAGTAATGCTGTAATGAACATGGGTGAGCAAATATCTCTTTGAGATCCTTCTTCATTTCTTTTGTATATAATCAAAAGTGGGATTGCTGGATCATATGGTAAATTTTTAATTTTTTGAGTAATCTCCATACTGTTTTCCACAGCAGCTGCACCATTTTACATTCCCATCATCAATACGCAAGGGCTCCATTTTCTCCACAACCTTACCAACATTTGTTTTATGTCTTTTTGATAGTGGCCATCTTAATAGATGTGAGGTGATATCTCATTTTGGTTTTGATTTGCATTTCTTTAATGATTAGTGATGTTGAGTATCTTTTCATATGCTTGTTAATCATTTTTGGCTAAATGTCTATTCAAATCCTTTGATCATTTTTTAATCGAGCTATTTGTTTTTTGTTGAGTTGTAGGAGTTTTTTTTTATATATTCTGGATATTAATTATACGTATGTTTTGCAAATATTTTTTCTATTTCATAAGTTGCCTTTTCACTCTGTTGTTTCCTTTGTGGTACAGAAATTTTAAAGTTTGATGTAGTTCTATTTGTTTATTTTTGCTTTTGTTGCTTGTGTTTTTGTGTCATATTCAAGAAATCATCACCAAATTCAATGTTAGGAAGCTTTTTTTATTTTTATTTTTATTTTTTAATAGAGACAGGGTCTCAGGCTGGTCTCGAACTTCTGGGCTCAAGTGATTCTCCTACCTTGGCCTCCCAAAGTGCTGAGATTACAGGTGTCAGCCACAGCACCTGACCCCCTATGTTTTCTTTTAGAAGTTTTATATTTATAGTTTCTGGTCTTATGTTGGTCTTTAATCTATTTTGAATTCTTTCTTTCTTTCTTTCTTTCTTTCTTTCTTTCTTTCTTTCTTTCTTTCTTTTTTTTTTTTTTTAAGATGAAGTCTCATTCTGTTGCCTGGGCTGGAGTGCAATGGCATGATCTTGGCTCACTGCAACTTCTACCTCCTGGGTTCAAGTGATTCTTTGGTCTTAGCCTCCTGAGTATCTAGAACTACAGGCTTGCGTTGCCACTCCTGGCTAATTTTTTTGTAGTTTTTGGTAGAGATGGAGTTTCACTGTGTTGGCCAGGCTGGTCTTGAACTCCTGACCTCAAGTGATCTGCCTGCCTCAGCCTCCCAAAGTGCTGGGATTACAGGCATGAGCCACTGTCTCCAGCCAAATTATTTTTTTATGTGGTGTTAGGTAAGGGTCCAACTTCATTCTTTTACATGTGAATATCCAGTTTTTCCAACACCATTGAAGAAATTATTCTTTAACCATTGTGTAGCTGTGGCACCCTTGTTGAAGATCATTTGACAGTGTATGCAAAGGTTTATTTGTGGGCTCTCTATTCTATTTCATTGGTCTCTATATCTGTCTTATGCTAGTACCATACTGTTTTGATTACTGTAGCTTTGTAAAATGTTTTGAAATAAGGACGTATGAGGCCTCCATTTTTGTTTTTCCTTCTCAAGGTTGTTTTGGCTATTTAGGATCCTTTGAGATTTTATATAATTTTACAATGATGTTTTTTTATCTGCAAAAAATGCCATTAGGGTTTTGATAGTGATTGCATTGAAGATGTAGATTGCTTTGGGTAGTACAGATATTTTAACAGTCTTAGGTCTTCCAGTCCATGAACATGAGATGTCTTTTTGTTTATTTGTGCATTCTTTGGTTTCTTTCAACAATGTTTTATATTTTTAAACATTTTAAAATGTTTTATAATTTTAAAATGTACTCTATTCAGTGTACAAGTCTTTCACCTCCTTGGTTAAGTTTATTAGGTATTTTGTTCTTTTTGATGATTACACAAGATTGTTTTCTTAGTTTTCTTTTTGGATTATTCATTGGTAGTGTATAGAAACAACTTTTTTGTTTGTTGATTTTGTATTTTGCAACTATGCTGAATTCATTTATTAGTTCCAATTGTGTGTGTGTGTGTGTGTGTGTGTGTGTGTGTGTGTAGTGGGGGGGGATCTTTAGGGTTTTCTGTGTATTCGATCATCGCATCTTTGAACAGATACAATTTTACTTCTTCCTTCCCAATTTGGATGCCTTTTATTTCTTTGACTTGCCTAAGGTCTCTGATTAGGACCTCCAATGCTATGTTGAAAAGAGGTGGTAAAAGTTGGCATTCTTGCCTTGCTGCTGATCTTAGAGGAACAGCTTTTGGTTTTTCATTTTGAGTGAGAGGTTAGCTGTGGGTTTTTCATACATGGACTTTATTATGTGGAGGTAATTTCCTTTCATTCCTGTTTTGTTGAGTATTTTTATCATGAAAGTTTGTTAAATTTTGTCAAATGCTTTTTCTGCATTCAGATGACTGTAGTTTTTGTCCTTCATTCTGTTAATGTGATGTGTTACACTGATTGATTGTTATATGTTAAAACATCCTTGCATTACAGGATTAAATTCCACTTGGTCATGGTGTTTAATCCTTTTAATATGCTGTTGAATTTGGTTTGCTAGTAGTTTGTTGAGTATTTTTGCATCAATATTCATTAGTAATATCAGTCTGTAGCTTTTTTTTTTTTTTTTTTAGTATCTTTGGTTTTGGTATCAGGGTAATAGTGGCCTCATAGAATGAGTTTGGAAGCATTCTCTCTTCAGTTTTTTGGAAGAGTTTGAGAAGGATTAGTTTTAATTCTTTTAAAATTGTTTGATAGAATTCACCAGTGAAGCCATCTGGTTCTGGGCTTTTCTTTGTTGGGATGTTTTTGATTACTGATTGAACCTCCTTACTAGTTATAGGTCTGTTTAGAGATTTTTAATTTTTGTATGACTCAGTCTTGGTAGGTTGTGTTTTTGGGAATTTATCTATTTCTTCTAGGTTTTCTAATTTGTTAATGTATAATTGTTCATAGTAGTCTGTTATTATCCTTATTTCTGTGGTATTAGTTGTAATGTCTCTTTCATTTCTGATTTATTTATTTATTTACTTACTTACTTACTTACTTAGAGGCAGTCTCTCTCTCTTGCCCAGGTTGGAGTGCAGTGGCTCACTGCAACCTCTGCCTCCTGGGCTCAAGTGATCTTCTTACCTCAGCTTCCTGAGTAGCTGAGACTACAAGTATGTGTCACTATGTCTGGTTAATTTTTTTTGTAATTTTTGTAGAGACAGGGTTTCACCATGTTTCCCAGGCTGGTCTCGAACTTCTGAGCTCAAGCAATCCTCCTGCATTGACCTCCCAAAGTACTGGGATTATAGTCGTGAGCCACCGTGCCTGGCATGATAGTATTGTTGAATTTTTCTGTATCCTCTCTGATTATCTGTCTAGTTGATCTATCAGTTGTTAAGAGAGGGGTATAGAAGTCTTCAACTAAAATTGTGAATGTGTCTCTTTTCCTTTCAGTTCTATCAGTTTTTGCTTTACATATTTTGAAGCTCTGTTGTTTGATGCACACACATTTAACATTGCTATAGCTGTTGGTGAGTTAACCCTTTTGTGGTTATATAATGTCCATTTCCATCTCTGGTAAATTTACTTGTTCAGAGGTATACTTATCAGATATTATTAATAATATAGCCACTCCTGTTTTCTTTTGATTAATATTGGCATGATATATTGTTCTCTACCATTATACTTTTAGCCTGCTTATACATTAATATTGGAAATGAGTTTTATGTTGATAGCATGTATTTGGGTCATGTTTTAAAATGTACTGTTTTGTATCTACCCTGTTCATTTCTGTCTTTCAGTTGGTTTATTTAGATGATGAACATTAATGCGATGATTGATATGTTAGGGCTTAAGTCTGGTATTTTATTTTGTTTTCTGTTTTCCATTTCTGTTTTCTTTTTCCTGCTTTCCTGTGGGTTATTTGACATCATTTTTTTTAGAATAACATTTTTATTTGTAGTGTTTTTTATTCTATGTCTTTGTATAACCTTTTCAGTAGTTATCTGGGTATTACATTGTGTATATATAACTTATCACAGTTTACTGGCGTCATCATTTCAGGAGTTCAAAGAAGTATAGAAACTTTGCTTCTCTTTGTGAACCTTTGCCCTCCCCTGCTTACAATATAGTTAAAATAGATCCTTTTATACACTTAGAACCACATCAGACAGTGTTATAATTTTTGCTTTACTTGTCAACAAGAGTTAGAATATATTGAGAGGGCAAGTATTTTTTAAACCCATATTTTTGCTTATGGGTTCTTTTTTCATTCTCGATATTCCAAGATTCCTTCTTTTTTTTTTTTTTAAGACAGAGTCTCGCTCTTGTCACCCAGGTTGGACTACTGTGGTGCGATCTCCGCTTACTGCCACCTCCACCTCCCGGGTTCAGGTGATTGTCATGCCTCAGCTTCTTGAGTAGCTGGAATTAACGGGCATCCGCCACCACGCCCAGCTAATTTTTGTATTTTTAGTAGAGACAGGTTTTTGCCATGTTGGCCAGGCTGGTCTTGAACTCCTCACCTCAGGTGAGCCACCATGCCTGGCTGGTTCCTTCTTTTATTTTTTTTCGTCTATTTAGAGAACTTCCTTTAAACATTGTTAGGGTAGCTTTGCTAGAGATAAATGCTCTCAGTTTCCCTGTATCTGAGAATGTCTTGATTTCTCCTTCATTCTTGAAGGATATTTCCACTGGATACAGAATGCTAGGCTGGCAGTTTTTTTTCTTTCAGCAGCTGAAAGCATTGTGCTACTTCCTTCTTTTCTTTATGGATTCTGATAAGAAATCTGCTGTCTTTTGAATTGGTTTTCCCCTCTAGATAAGGCGTCATTTTTCTCCTACTGCTTTGGAAATTCTTTCTTTGTTGTAGTTTTCAGAAATTTACTATGATATGTTTTGGTGTGGATTTTTTTAGGTTTATCCTGTTTCCTGTTCACTTCACTTCTTTATGTCTTTTGCCAAATTTAGGACACCTTCAGACATGATTTCTTCTAGTACTTTTCTAGTTCCACCTTTTTTCTCTTCTTCCAAGACTCCATTGACATGAATTTTTGATCTTTTATATATTCCCATAGGTTTGTGAGGCTCTTCATTTCTTTTTTTTCTCCCCATTCTATTTTTCTATGATCTTGAAATTGTATAATTTCTAATATTCACCTTCCAGTTCACTGATTCTTTCCTTTGTCTCCTTCATGCTGCTGCTGAGTGTATCCACTGTGGTTTTATTTCAGTTATTTTGTCAGTTCTAGAATTTCCATTTCATTCTTTATATCTTCTGTTTGTTGAGACTTTATTTGTTTTAAATGTGCTCATAATTGTTCATTGAAACATTTTTATGATGACTGTGTTACCATCTTTGTTAGATAATCCCAACATCTCTGTCATCTTGGTGTTGGCATCTCTTTATTGTCTTATTTACAGTTTGAGATCTTCCTGGTTCTTCTGAGAGATGTGATTTTTCAACTGAATCTTGAACATTCTTGTTACTATGTTATTAGATTCTGGATCGCATTAAAACCTTCTGTATTCACTGGCTTCCTCTCAGATATGGGATTGGGGATGCTGCCTCATTACTGACAGGTGGGGGTAGAAAGTCCACTTTCCCCACTCTGCCTATGTCACACCTGAGGTCATTGGGGCCACTCATTACTGCTGGATGGGGTGGGAGTTCTGGCTCCCCATATGGCTTCCACTGACACCTTATGGGTGAGTGGTGGCCTAGACACTGCTGAGCAGTGGTGAGAGTCCTGATTCTCTCCTAGGTTTTCTTCATTACAGCTGGGTAAGGATGAAATATGGACTCTCTATTGGGCTTTCTCTGAATCTACCCCAGTGAGATAGTTGGGGAACCACATCATAGCCTGGTGAGACTAGAAGTCTGGACCCCCCACTTGGCCTTTTCTGGCATTTGGCTGGAGAATAGTGTTGTTTCAATGTGTTGTGTTTTGCTGGGCTGCCCCTTTCTGGTTATTTGGTCAGATACAGCAGGCTCCTCTTGAGACTTCTTCTGTCTGTGCCCATTGCCCTTTCCAGGTTGCTGCCCTCCGCTCCATGTCTGGGATGTCCAAGGAAACAAGAACACCCTGGGAGCTCACCATCGTGGTCCTCAGGACGTGGGGTCCCTAGCCAGTGTGGCTTCCGTTGCCCTGTCAGAGTCTTCTCATGTTGTTTTATATGTAATGTCCAGGGTTTTTGGTTTTACTGGGTGAAACAGGGAAAAATATGTCTACCTCATCTTCTCAGACAGGAAAAATATTTTTATGAGGAGACCATCTTCTCCTGTCTGGATGCTTTCAATAATTCACGTAATCCCCGTTTCTATTCCAATTTTTATCTCACATACAGGTAGTTTTATTAAAGTATCAAAATGTTCTTACTGTGTGAGAAAATGACCCTACTAAGGTTGTATCAGCAATGAGGATTTTTTTCTTATGGCTGTCTTGTTTTAGCAACTTCTGCCTCCTAGGTTCAAGCGATTCTACTGCCTCAGCCTTCCAAGTAGCTGGGATTACAGGCACACGCTGCAGCACCTGGCTAATTTTTTTTGGATTTTAGTAGAGATAGGAGTTTCACCGTGTTGCCTAGGCTGGTCTCGAACTCCTGAGCTCAGGCAATTCACCTGCTTCGGCCTCCTAAAGGTGTGAGCCACCGCACCTGGCCTAGCTGAGATTTATATACAGATAATTAAGTTGCTGCCACAGATGATGGCCCAAGTTAAAAAAAAAAAAAAGCCCCTTATATCCTCACTCTGGGCACTTCATGGTTCTGATGGAGTAGACTTTCATCCCAGGGTTGCTGTGCTGACCCATGCTCCAGAGCCATGGGCGTACTGCTTTCCATCCTCCTCGTCCTTCTGACCCTCACCCCAGCTGCCCTTTTGGCTGGAGCAGGTGTGAGAAACACATAAGGTCTGCAGGCTCAGCCTCCAAAATCCTCCTCTGGGAGGTGGGCTCAAGGGGAGTTTCTGCTTATGTTCTAAAGACCACTAGGATCCTCCTACGCCTGGCTGTGTCAGCCATCTTATTTGGCAGGGATGGGAGTGGCTTGGCTAGAATAACCCTGGGGCCCTCAGGTCACGTCCTAAAATAGTGGGAGAAAATATTAAACATTTAGGAAACAGATACACATCAGCTCCCAGGGAGAAACAAGAACTAGGAAACTTTGTGTAACGTATTGTTACTCCAAAGTAGTTGAATTTGCTTAAACTCGTTATTAAAACTGTATAGAGTGGGTTCAGAAGAAAGTGTTCATTTTCACTGTTACGCCGTCAAAACTTTTTCTCCTGGAGACTGAGTGGTGTGTATTATATTTTCTGAAGCCATATCACTGTAATATTCTTTCATTGCTGTTTTTAATATAAAAACGAGAAATTTTTTGCTCCATTTCTCCTTCATATTTTTGTCATCATTTTTTAAGATATTGTGGTATCATGTCAATACCTTGTAATCTAGTGTCTAAGACTTAGACGTTGGATCTTAGGATGTTATTTTTGAGTCAGGTGTATCAATACCTTAAGTAAGGTAATAGATATTGAGAGTCCTTTATAAATTGTCCAGTGGTTTAAAGATACTATCATTATTTGAGAAAAATGGTAAGTTTTTTTTTTTTTTTAAATTATAGAAATCCCTCACAAGGTGATTTGCTGGAAGAATATGTGATGGCCTTGTGGTCTGGGTTCTGTCATTTTTTTGGTGTGTTCCATTGGTGGCTTCCAGACATAACATACACCAAAGAAGAAGAAAAATCTTTCCCAAGAACATTCCATAGTCTGATCTCAATTTTAAAATAGTCCTAAGTGTAATAGAAAAAAGATTTATCCAAAAATAATGTAATATGCTTATTATGGGGCAAGTTCCAAACTCAGGACTCAAAGAGTCAGGCATATAACTCAAAGAAAGGGCTGGAAAGTGAGACAAAGAAAGACCCTTGGTTAAAACAACTCCCCCAGGTGGCCCCATTGCCTGCCCTGAGAGGCACCCACAGTTCCCTGCAGGTGGGGGAAGAGGCCAAGCAGGAGTGGGCAGGACAGGCAGGGATAGCTGCTTTCCCTTCCCCAAATGCAGCCGGCCGGAGTGACCAACCCATGAATCTTGCTACTTAAACTCTGACCTTCTTTGGTAGCCATGAAGCATATGCCACTCTTTGGGTGCCTTTTCCTTTATTGTGAGAACATGGTTGGAGTGGAAGGGAAACACCTGGACCTTGATTGCTATGATTGACTCTGCCTTTAGCTGGGGACCTGAGTACTGAACGTGCCCCAGAGGTTGTCTCAGAAAAGAGAAAGGAAGAAAGGAGAGGAAGAGAGGGAGAGGAAAAGGGAACTTGCGGAGAATTACCCAGGGAAAACATATACCCTGGAAATGAGTAAGCGTAACTGATATAATTCATTTGCACCTGTGAAAGTGGCTCCAGCCCTAAAGAGAGTCTGTTTAGAGTTGCTGAATAAAACCACTCCTGGCCACTGCCTGCATCTGTAAAGCTGGGAGGCAGCCTGGTGGGCTGGAGACTTTATAGCTTTATTACTCAGGAAGCACAACTTGTTTATATACAAATCTATCCATCTGCATCAATAAATTGCCCCACCATCTGATATTTGCTCTTTGGTTCCACTGGGCACACTGGCCTTTCTCCTTAGCAGCTCAGCTGAGAGGAAGGTGGTGATCTGGGGCCAGGAGGTGGGGCTGCCCATGTCCCTGGCACAACCCTCAGAGGCTGGCTGCCCTGGAGGACCTCGTGAGCCTGCAGGAACAGGGGGAGCACAGCAAGGAGGAAGGAGGCCCTGGACCCATTCTGCAGTGTTCGTTCACTTGCCTGATGCCTGCTGCCTGCTGAACTGTGACCTGTGCCAGGCACTGAGCCGGGCCTGGGAATGTGATGGGGAGCAAGACAGGCCATGCTCCTGCCCTCCTGGGGCTTACTTTCCAGGGGGAGATAGACAACAAAGAAATAAGGGAATACACTGGAATCCATGGTGAGAGAGCAGGTAGGGAGTTAAGAGTGATAGTGGGGATGTGGCGGACTGTTTGGAGTCGGGGTCAGGAAGGCCTCTCTGAGGAGTGCACTTGAGCAGAGACCTGGATGAAGCATGGGAGCCATGACAACACCTGGGAAGGGCATTGCAGGCTGAGGGTGCAGTAAGTGCATAGGCTGTGAAGCTAGTGTTTCCCAGGCACAGCGGGAAGCCTGGTCTCAGTAGAGCAGAGTGGGCCAGGGCTGGCAGGGGATGTGTGTGGAGGGAGA
The DNA here is from genome assembly GCF_000001405.40 of Homo sapiens. Classification (NCBI taxonomy): domain Eukaryota; kingdom Metazoa; phylum Chordata; class Mammalia; order Primates; family Hominidae; genus Homo; species Homo sapiens. The sequence continues at coordinate 95,248,724 of NC_000010.11, read as the reverse complement.
AGTTTGGGTCACATATGTGAGGGACTTTCTCCTCTGTGATAACATTTACTCCAAAAAAGTTGAATTTGATTAAACATATATTTTAGTATTAAAACTAAATATTTTGTGCTAAGTCAAATGAGAATACATTGAGCCACAGCATGACACAGTCTGATTCATGTTTAAAATATCATTCTAGGCCAGGCACTCTGGCCCATGCCTATAATCCTAGCGCTTTGGGAGTCCGAGGCTGGAGGATCACTTGAGGCTGGGACTTTGAGACCAGCCTGGGCAACACAGCAAGACTCTGTCTCTACAAAATAATGACAAAATCAGCGGGGGATGGTGGCACACCTGTAGTCCTAGCCACTCAGGAGGCCGAGGCAGGAGGATTTATCTATTGAGGCCAGTAGTTCGAGGTTACAGTTACCTGTGATTGCACCACTGTACTCCAGCCTGGGTGACAGAGTGAGTCCCTGTCTCTAAAAAACAAAAAATATCACTCTGATATTTTGAATAGAGGCCATCACTTTGGCCTAAGCATGGCATGGCTTGGACCTGGGGGAGGTGGGGAGGTGAGAAGGGGTCAGATGGAGGATAGATTTACAGGTATAGCTGATGAGAGACTACCTCCCTGTCACCGTCCACTGCTTAGAAAGTGGAGCCCTCAGGGAAAGAGGCAGGCTCTGCCTGTCTTATCTTGTTCTGGGTCACCCAGCATGACAGGAGGAAGGTGGGGAAGACAAGGCCTGGCTTGCCCAGTCCCTGGGCCTGAACATCAACAGTTCACAAAGCACTTGCGTGTCCCATCCTTACCACCAAACTGTGAACCAGGCAAGGAAAGTACTGTTACCTCTGTGTTATAGGTGAGGAGACCCAAGTGCCTGGCCTTGAGAATCAGGAAGTATTTATAGACAGGGAAAGCACTGTGAGATCGTCGGGAATGAATAACACTATGATTCCTGCTTGTGCAAGCAATGTTTGTGGCCCATACAAGGGGGACCCGGCTGAGTTCTTCATGGTTGGCTTGTGGTTGACATTTTTTTTTCTCTAAATTTTCTCTGGACATAATGCTGCTGATGGAATTTATAAAGAGATAGAGCATTCTCATTCCACTGGATTAGGCCAAAAAGTAATTGAGCTACTGAAGCTATTTAGAAGAAGAGCCTCTGATTGCATTGAAGCAGCAGCCAGCTCTGACTACAAAGACATCTCAGTTTCACTGTGCTGGCAGCAGGTCTGTGGCTGATTTAGGAGAGGGCTTTGAGATCATTTCTATCCATCCTTCAAATCAGCAGTGTCTGCCTGGAGGAGGTTCCTGGTGAAGTTATTTTTAACTTCTGTCATGTCCTAATCAATTTTTCAAACATTCTTTACAGCTTAGACCATGCTCAGCCTCCAAGCAGCCTTGTCATCGACAAAGAATCTGAAGTTTACAAGATGCTTCAGGAGAAACAGGAGTTGAATGAGCCCCCGAAACAGTCCACGTCTTTCTTGGTTTTGCAGGAAATCCTGGAGTCTGAAGAAAAAGGTAATCAGCTCCATCTGCAGTCAGAGGCTCTTGTTCAAGGTCAGATGTGAGAGTCAGTCATTGTGGAAGCACAGGTGAACACACTCTGGAGCCTGCTTTGGAGGGCATGGGCTTTTAAAATGCTGAAATTCTTTAAAAAGAGATAGAGGGAGAGAGAGAGAGAGAGAGGAAGAGAGTGCTGACCACATTTTCCCATCTGGGTCTGTATTTAAGAAACTCCAGGCCTGGCCAACTGTGTCCTGTCACATGTGCAAGAGGATGCTAAGGTTGGGGTGAGCCTGACTGCTGTGGGAGCCTGTTGGTCTGTCCCTTGGCCATTTATTTGCTTTGAGCCCAGAAACAATACCTTGGTAGTGGCTGAGGAACTTCAGTGATGAAGGCCATGGGCAATGAGCAGCAGAATGAGAATGAATTAGTGCTCGGTGAAGCCAGGGGCTGGCTTTGCTTGGGGGCATGTGTTTGCATTTGCTCTAAGGTGGGTGGCCTCTTGAGGGCCCAAGAGCTCCCCCTTGTGGCCATGTTCTTATTCTGTGACCTTTGGCAAATCTCAACCTTCCCAGGTCTGTTTTCTCATCTGTCCATCAGGGATAAAACTCCTTTCCTCTAAGATTATCATGGTCATGAAATGGCATAAGTTGTGTAAAACATCCATCATCGTAACTGAGTACTCGCTTCATAGTTATTGTGGTGTTTGAAATGTCATGAAGAGGCTTTCTTGTCCTTGGGGTGAGCTTTGATGTTGAGGCACCCAGGGTCACCCCGTAGGGTTCTGCAGGTCTCAGGAGACATGCTTCTCACTGAAGACATTATGTAACGTACATTTATTATGATCATGTTTAAGTGGACAGTGGTAAAAGTATCTTCACTTAATAACAATGCTATACGTCGAGAAATTGTGACAGGTGGATGTATTGAAGAAGGGATGCTTTATTCCCCTCACAAAGATGATCAGCAGCCCTCACACCCGCTTCTTCCCTGGTAGTTCCTCATCAGCACCTCCTGTGATGCTCATGGGCAGTCTTTTCCAGAGAGCTGGGTTTTGTACCCTTTCCTGGTCCCTGTGATGCCCAGTCCTCCACACTCTCTCTTCCTTTCTTGAGGCTTGGGCACTTCAGTGGGGTCTTGTTTTCTATGCCCTCTATCTCTCTCATGGACCCATCTGCAAAGAGACAGTGGATGCTCCAGTGAGGGGACACCTTGTGATGGTGAGTGTGAGACCTGCCTCAGCCAGGCTGCAAAGGGATTGGCATGTTGGCTGAGAGGCTTGTGCCCTCTGGAAGATGAACCTCCCTCCTCAAAGTCCGCAGCCGAAGATTCAGCTTCCTGGGGAGCCCTTTCTGATAAGAAAGTTCTCTTCTGAACACACCCGACACCTGGGCTTCCTCCCCATTTGTGTGATTTCTTTAGAGAGAGTGGCAGTTTACAACCATAGGAAATTAGGAAACCATGGGCCATGTGTTTGCATGTGCTTCTTTTATGCTAAAATGATACTGTTCTACCACTGCTTTCCTCTTTTGCTTGGAGTAGCTGAGCAGCTGGGAAGTAATGAGCCATACTTCGTATCAAGTTCCAGTATTAGCTTTGCCTGACAAACAACTTGGGGGCCAACCCTTGAGGATGATAGCTTTGTAAAAACATGTGAGAAACCACAACTTATTTCACTCTTACGTGGATGTGAAACCCTTCAATGAGAGGCAAGGTCAAGTTCATCCGTGCCCAACTAGACATGCTGCAGAGCTCATCTCAGCTCACAGAGAAGGACCTGAGCATGGATTTGGAAGCTCCATGCTCTTCAAGATCTGGACTCCTATCCGGCACTCCAGCACCCAAATTTGTGGCTTCTATTCCCAAGGTTACTTCGTGGTCCTGGTTAGCAGCTGGTGTTCCAACCATCATGCTTACCCCCAGGTGACAGGGAGGAAGAAGGGAGATAATGCTAACCGGGGAGTTCCAATTTCAGATGAGCCAGCTTTCTCCTTCCCAGAAGTCCCACACTACTCTTCCATTTTATTGACCATGATTTAGTCACCTGGCTACACCTAGTTAAACGAGAGTCTGGGAATTAGGATTCTTTTTAAAAAAAATTTTAGCCCTTAGTCTGGATGGTTCTTGCCCCAAAGAGAATCAAGATTCTGCTGGAAGGGAAGAGGGAGATAGCAAATCTTGTAGTTTCTCCTGTATCTCTTACTGTGTACCCGCATTAAATCTTTACTGACAGTAACAGGATAAATTCCATTCTAAACATTCTTTACATGCAGAAGGCTCTTCGGGGAAGGAACCCAAATGCCTGTTTGTTTTTGTTTTTGTTTTTGTTTGAGACAGGGTCTTGCTCTGTTGCCCAGGCTGGAGTGCAGTGGCATGATCTCGGCTCACTGCTACCTCCGCTTCTCAGGTTGCAGCGATTCTCCTGCCTCAGCCTCCCAAGTATCTGAGATTACAGATGTGTACCACCATGCCCAGATAATTTTTGTATTTTTAATAGAGATGGGGTTTCTCCATGTTGGCCAGGGTGGTCTTGAACTTGTGACCTCAGGTGATCTGCCCACCTGGACCTCCCAAAGCGCTGGGATTACAGATGTGAGCCACTGCACCCGGCCCCAAATGCCTGTTTTTATTTGAGATAAAATGGTGAAAGGTTAAGGTAGTAAAAGCAGTTGATGAGAGGTCCTGTCATTCAGAAACGCCTCTGGTTCAGAAAGCAGTGCTGCAGGGCAGAAAGAGCACTGGCATCCAGGATCTGCCTCTGACCTGCTGTGACACCTCCAGCAAGTTGCTTGCCTTTCTAAGCTCTAGTTTCTGCACAGATCCATTGAAGCTAATAGCCAGGACCTCATGGGATTGTTTACAGGGTTAAGTAAAGCCACGTCTGTAAACTGCCAGGTGCACAGTGAGTAAGGCCCCTCCCTGAAGGAAGCTTGGCTACAGCAGTATTTGGTCATAAACCTTGAAGACCCAACACAAGCTGTCTCATTTTGGGTAAAATTCAGCTTCTAGACTAGGAGAAAGGGGCCCTTGGTTCCTCACCTTCATCTTGTTCTGGATCAAATTCCAAAACTTGCAGGCAGAAGAAGCCGTTATATTAAGAAAAATGGTGAAATATACTTAATATAAAATTTACCATCTTAACAAATTTTAAGTGTACAATTTAGTGGTATTAAGTACATTTATGTGATTGTGCTACTATCACCACCATCCATCCATAGAACTCTTTTATTTTGCAAAACTGAAACTATTCCCATTAAAGAGTATTTCACCATTCCTCTCTCCTTCCAGCTCCTGGTAACCACCCTCCTGCTTGTCTCTATGAATTTGACTACTCTAAATACCTTGTATAAGTGGTGTCATGCAGTAGTTGTCCTTTTGGTCCTGGCTTAGTTCACTTAGCTTAATATCCTCGGGGTTCATCCATGTAGCATGTGTCAGAAATTCTTTCCATTTTAAGGCAGAGTATTATTCCGTTGTTTGTGTATATTACATTTTATTTATCCATTCATCTGTCCATTGAAGGAGACTTTCAATGATTGGAGGTTTGGAAGGAGCAGTCATGGGCTGAGAAAACACAGTGGTGGCCAGAGGCTCTGAGATGAGAAAACTGGAGACTAGTTCAGCAAGTACCGAGGCTCGTTTTGGCTGGTTACCCAGGGTTCCAGGTGAATCCTTGGGTGATCTCGAGTTAGATATGGGGGACCACCAGGTGCAAGGTTAAGAATCATGAGCTTGATTCTAAAGGTAGTGTGAAGTCATGCAAGGTTGTTGAGCAGTGAAGTGGACAGAAAAACAGCTGTGGTTTATTTAGCTAATTTTCACTTTTTTTCCAGAAATATTTGGGATACAGGGTTCACTGTAAGAAGAGAAATTTGGAAATTTTTGTAGTTGCCTGGAGTTCAAAGGAAGCTAGTATTTTCACTATAAGCTAGTTGAGAAGAAAGGAAGAGAGATTTCTCTGGATTCGCAGTGTTGGCTGGATATGTGAGAGAAAAAACCTTGAAGCCAACAGGTGGCACTGTAGGGCTGAACAGGCCACAGTGAGTCTTCTGTTGGGCAGGCAGCCTTCTCCCCCAAGCTGTGCCCAGTTTTATCCAGGTCAGGTCTCTTCATTCTAGAAAAAGATGTGGATTCTCCTACCTAATGGAGATTTCATGTCCCTCCTGGCTTTTTCTCATTCTACCCTTTTGCAGCCTCTCTTCTTTCCTGGTGATTTTTCTATGGATTGAGTGGATTCCAGGTCTTTAAGTGTGAAATGTGAAAAGCCCATTGCATAAGAGAGCCCGACCTCATTGAGCTGGTTCTCAGCCCAATCAGTGCCTTTGCAAACTGCCCAGGTATGTAGAGATGCTGCCATTTCCTTCTTGTCATGGGCAGGCAGCCAGATGGCTTCATCAGCCAGAAAATGAGGGAATCCGTTTGGGATGCTTGAGGCATGATGCTTAGAGAAGATGCCCACCCAGGCCCTTCTGAGATCCCTCTAGGAAGGGCCAGGATCAGGGTGAGGTGAGGGAGGCACTGCTTTGAGGGCAGAATTTTTTTTTTTTTTTTGAGACCTCTGTCGCCTAGGTTTGGAGTGCAGTGGCGTGATCTCGTCTCACTGCAACCTCCGCCTCCCGGGTTCAAGCCATTCTCCTGCCTCAGCCTCCCAAGTAGCTGGGACTACAGGCACGTCCCACAATGCCCGGCTAGTTTCTGTATTGTTAGTAGAGATGGGGTTTCACCATGTTGGCCAGGCTGGTCTCGAACTCCTGACCTCAAGTGATCTGCCCGCCTTGGTCTTCCAAAGTGCTGGGGATTACAGGCATGAGCCACTGCGCCCGGCCTTGAGTGCAGAATTTAAGGGGGCACTGGAAAACTCAATAATCATGAAAAAAAATGACATTTAAATGCAATATTAAAAAAATTAATACAGGTAAAATATATGGTGAACAAAGTTGGAACTTTGGCCTCCTCCCAAAGGAAGGGAGGAAGGCTTGGGAAGGGCAAGAAGTTGCCCTAGGCTCGGGGAGAACAGAAGCACCAAGGTGGTTTCTCCTTATGCACCTGCTGGTGGGGCAGAACTGAGTCTTCCCCAAGCCCATCTGTAGAGCTCACCACTTAAAACCATGGAGCCTCCTAATCTCAGCCCCATCTCATGTGCTGCCAGGTGGACATCTGTGTGCATCGGTTCCCAGCGATGAATAGTCCCAGCTCTGAGGGGGGAAGCCTAAGTCTGAGCCATGGCAGCATGATAGGGCTATTGAGAGTTCAGGCTGCATTCACATATACCCTCTTGTTGTTCCCCATAAGCCAGCCAAGTACCCCAAACCATCTCTCATATTGTATTATTCAGCAGTGGGTAATCTGTATTTATGAGGGCTACCGGATAGCTGTGGCTCTGCTGGGCTTGGCAGGGCTGGACCAGGCCCCGAGTCCTCTCATTCAAGCCCAGGGAAGGGAGAGGCACTCTGGTGCTTGCTGTTTTCATGGCAGAGGCAATACCTCTGTGGGAACAGGGCCAAACCACACAAGTGCCCTTAGTGCTTTTGCCTGTATAAGGCTCACATCTGCTCACGTTGGCTAAAGTCAGGATGGGGAAGTCTACTCCATCGAGAGCAGGGTTTCTCAGCCTTGGTGCTATTGACATTTTGGGCCATATGAGTCCTTGTTGTGGGGCTGCCCTGTGTATTTTGGGATGTTCAGCAGCATCCCTGACCTCTGCCCACTAGACGCCAGTGGCATCCCCTTTCACTGTGACAATCGAAACTGCTCTCTAGGAGACAAAACTGCCCCCAGTAGGGAACCACTGACTGGAGGTAAGCATGGCAAGAGAGGGGCGGGGTAATTGTGGTCAAAATACAGTCAACCATGTATTCTAAATGCCCCTTGTTGCCAGGCACAGTGGCTACTGGAGAAGCTCTGGTGGGAGGATCGCTGGAGGGCAGGACTTTGAGACACAACATAGCGAGATGCTATCTCTAATCAGTAAAAATAAACAATTAATAAATGTCCATTGTGTGAACATGTGTCTCAATTTTTGGTTCGGAAGGATTGGTCAGCATACAGGGACTCACTTTCTGAAAGAACAAGAGAGCTAAGGCCCTTGTCTGTCAGCCCCGCGATTGCCCGACGTGACTGCAGTCATGGGGTGACCCTCTCTTCATCCCCTCACCTGGCACAGGAAGCTGTTTCTTTGCTCTTGTCCAGTGGTTCTTGGATCAGTGGCGCCTGGGAACTTGTTGGAAATGCAGTCTTAGGCCCCATCCTGGGCCTTCTGGCTCAGAAACTCTGGGGGTGGGGCCCAGCAATCTGTGTGTTAACAAGGCCTCCAGGTGATTTTTACCATTATTAATAGCTACCATGGTACAGGGCTTTGTTACCTAAGATGTGATGAGTGGGGCCTTAGGCAGCTCAGCATCTAGCTACTAGGGGCTTATTTTACACGCACCAGGCTGACTACAGAAAGGCTCCTTCCTCTGCTCTGTAGGAGATGATTGTTATCTGCCTGCTGTAGCATGCTGTATTCTGATGGTTTTGTTCTATCTGTGATGTGGATTTCTTTTCTAAGAACTTTATTTATTTTTAAATTTCCAACATTTAAGTTCAGGGGTACATGTGTAGGATGCACAGGTTTGTTACATAGGTAATGACGTGCCATGGTGGTTTGCTGCACAGATCATCCCATCACCTAGATATTAAGCCCAGCATCCATCAGCCATTCTTCCAGATGTTCTCCTTCCCCCACTCCCCACCATCTGACAGGCCCTAGTGTGTCTTGTCCCTCCACCATGTGTCCATCTGTTCTCATCATTCAGCTCCCACTTACAAGTGAGAATATGTGGTATTTGGTTTTGTGTTCCTGCATTAGTTTGCTGAGGGTAATGGCTTCCAGTTCCATCCATGTCCCTGCAAAGGACAAGATCTCGTTCCTTTTTATGGCTGCATAGTATTCCCTGGTGTATACGTACCACATTTTCTTTATCCAGTCTATCATTGATGGGAATTTAGGTTGATTCCATGTCTTTGCTATCATGAATAGTGAGTGCTGTGATGAACGTAAGAGTGCATGTATTTTCATGATAGAATGATTTATATTCCTTTGGGTATACATCCAGTAATGGGATTGCTGGGCTGAATGGTATTTGTGCTTCTAGGTCTTTGAGGACTCACCACACTGTCTTCCACAATGTTTGAACTAATTTACATCCCAACAGTGTGAAAGCGTTCTTTTTTCTCCACAACCTTGCCAGCATCTGTTGTTTTTTTACTTTTTAATAATAGCCATTCAGACTGGCGTGAGTCGGTATCTCATTGTGGTTTTGATTTGTATTTCTCTAATGATCAGTGATGTCGAGCTTTTTTTCATGTTTGTTGGCCGCATGTATGTCTTTTGAAAACTGTCTGTTCATGTTCTTTGCCCACTTTTTAATGGGGTTATTTTTTTCTTTTATTGAGATGGAGTCTCGCTCTGTTGCCCAGGCTGGAGTGCAGTGGCACAATCTCAGCCCATTGCAACCTCCGCCTCCTGGGTTCAAGTGATTCTCTTGCCTCAGCCTCCTGAGTAGCTGGAACTATAGGTGCATGCCACCACACCTGGCTAATTTTTGTAATTTTAGTAGAGAGGGGGTTTGGCTATGTTGGCCAGGCTATTCTCAAATTCCTGACCTCAGGTGATCCACCCACCTCGGCCTCCCAAAGTGTTGGGATTACAGAAGTGAGCTACTGTGCCCGGCTTATTTTTTTCTTGTAAATTTGTTTTAAGTTCCTTGCAGATGCTGGATATTAGACCTTTGTCAGATGGATAGATTGCAAAAATTTTCTCGCATTCTGTGGGTTGTCTCTTCATTTTGATGATAGTTTCTTTTGCTGTGCAGAAGCTCTTTAGTTTAATTAGATCCCATTTGTCAATTTTTGCTTTTGTTACAATTGCTTTTCGGGTTTTCATCATGAAATCTTTGCCCATGCCCATGTCCTGAATGGTATTGCCTAGATTTTCTTGTAGTGTTTTTATAGTTTTGGGCTTTACATTTAAGTCTTTAATCCATCTTGAGCTGATTTTTATATATGGTGTAAAGAAGGGATCCAGTTTCAATTTTCTGCATATGGCTAGCCAGGTCTCCCAGCACCATTTATTAAATAGGGAATCCTTTCTTCATTGCTTGTTTTTGTCAGGTTTGTCAAAGATCAGATGGTTGTGGGTGTGTGGTCTCGTTTCTGGGTTCTCTGTTCTCTGTTCTTCTACCAGTACCATGTCGTTTTGATTACTGTAGCCTTGTAATATAGTTTGAATTTGGGTGGCATGATGCTTCCAGCTTTATTGTTTTTGCTTAGGATTGTCTTGGCTTTTTGGGCTTTTCTTTGGCCAGGTGTTAATCTCCTATTTTATAGAAAAATAAACTGGGGACCAGAGAGGCTAAGTTACTTGCCCAGGATCACAGAGCAGAGTCACTCCAGTTCCCATGGCCTTGCTTGAACATATATTTATAAGTGGTTCTGAAGAGCTGAGTGATACTTATGCAATTCTGCCCTTCCTGGCCAATGACAGTGTTTTCCTCATTTCAGGGGATCCCAACAAGCCCTCAGGATTCAGAAGTGTTAAAGCTCCTGTCACTAAAGTGGCTGCGTCGATTGGAAATGCTCAGAAGTTGCCTATGTGTGACAAATGTGGCACTGGGATTGTGTGAGTATCTGCTTCCCACAGCCTTTGCAGACCCTGCAGGTTGGGTAAACCATGAAAATGTGGAAAGTGCTGGATGTTGCACATTTTGCTTGTGAGGGAGACAAATCCCTCCTGGAAAAATGCAACAGAGAGGCCAGAAAGGTCCTGTGTCCCAGAGCCAGGTTGTGAAGGTTTTCCTTCACTGCGGAGCCCTTAGGTTATGAACATGTAAAATGAGAAAAATCAGGGCTGCCCTGTTGAAGTAGGAGGGGTTTTTGGAAAAATGTCTCTGGACCCTGGGAAGGAGAAGCAAGTCCCTTATGATTGGAGGCCAGTTGGGAGGCCCTGGTTTCCCCTGTGATGGGTTCCTGGGGAGAAGCCCCAGGCCCCTGCTCAGGAAGGATGGTGCCACCTGCTCAGGTGCCACCTGCAGGTGCTTGTCACTGATGGAGTCCCTTCCCTCCCTTGCTTCTGTAGTGGTGTGTTTGTGAAGCTGCGGGACCGTCACCGCCACCCTGAGTGTTATGTGTGCACTGACTGTGGCACCAACCTGAAACAGAAGGGCCATTTCTTTGTGGAGGATCAAATCTACTGTGAGAAGCATGCCCGGGAGCGAGTCACACCACCTGAGGGTTATGAAGTGGTCACTGTGTTCCCCAAGTGAGCCAGCAGATCTGACCACTGTTCTCCAGCAGGCCTCTGCTGCAGCTTTTTCTCTCAGTGTTCTGGCCCTCTCCTCTCTTGAAAGTTCTCTGCTTACTTTGGTTTTCCCTCTGCTTGTAAAACATTGAGTCCCCTCCCTGCCTTGGTTAATTGACTCACACCAGCTGTGCGATGCCCGCTTTTACAATTAAAGGAAAACTGTTTTGTTCAGTGTCACCTTGTCAGCAACACTGTGTCCCTTCGCCCCACCGTTCTTCTCTGCTGCATTTGGACATCAGCCAAATTTGAACCCAATCAAATATAACGTGTCTGACACTGATTTTGTTTTTACTCAATAAATGTATAGACTACAAAGCAGTGTGGTGTCTGTTATCTGATTATGTGTCCCATTTCCTACTCAAGCCTGATGAGATTTCTGAGGCCTGTCTTCTTGTTTTGGGTTTCTTGTTTCTCTCAGATTTACTGGCCTTTCCCCCGCAACTTGCATCTTAACAAGCTCTGTTCTTACATTTCTTCGAAGCTTGCTTGAAATCCTCTTTCTGTAAAGCTAATATAAGATACCTAGCTCTGTTTTTTTTTTGTTTTTGGAGACGGAGTCTCGCTATGTCGCCCAGGCTGAAGTGCAGTGGCGCTATCTCGGCTCACTGCAAGCTCCACCTCCTGGGTTCACGCCATCCTCCTGCCTCAGCTTCCGGAGTAGCTGGGATTACAGGCACCTGCCACCACGCCCGGCTAATTTTTTTGTATTTTTAGTAGAGACGGGGTTTCACCACATTAGCCAGCATGGTCTTGATCTCCTGACCTCGTGATCCGCCCGCCTTGGCCTCCCAAAGTGCTGGGATTACAGTCGTGAGCCACCGCGCCCGGCCCCTAGCTCTGTTTTAATGAAATCAAGTTTTCTTTGCATTGGGCTGTTCTGAGGCTTATCTGAGGAAATGAATGCTTCCCAAATAATAGGTGGGAGCATTAGCAGTTGGCTTGGAAACATTCCCTAGTAAGTCCCTCTTCAGGCTGGTTGCTGACATCACAGCTGCTCCCCTTCATGAAGGGCAGCAACCTCAGGAAAGTGTCCAGCAGCAGCAGAGAGCCCAGGACATGGCCACTGTGTCCTCCTCACAGAGGAGACTGAGGACCCTGGCTGCTAAGAACGAGTCCTGAGTCAAGATCTGAGGTCACCACAGTTTATCTCCTGGTGACTAATCCCTCATGGGCTCAGTGGTGCCCCCATCCCTCCAGACACTGAGACTAAGTGATTGTTATGAGAGGCGGACAGGGTACTCCAAGCAACCCTCTTTCCTCCAAAGGAGCAACCATCTATTCTTGAGCAGTGCTCACCACCCTTGGTAATAGTTCATGACCTTTCATTATGAATGCACTAACATGGTACATACTCTAATAGTAAGAATTGTAATCAGTACCAGGATTTCATACCACAGACTCTGAAGCCAGAATGTACGATGGACAGTTCATGCACGTGAGCTGTTGTAGTGCCACAACAAGCAGAACTGAAACTGTTCAGGCAGAAAATCATGTCATGTTAAAGCTCTCGATTTCTTTTTTTTATTTTTTGGCAGTTAATGAGTTCTTACTTTAAACCCCATCTGTTTCTACGCTTATAAAAGTCAAGGTGGCTTAAACTATGCAATTCTTAGAAATCAACATAAAATGAAAAGTCTCTGAACCACAGCAGGTCTGACTCATTTACAAAGACATTAACAGTCATGATTTGGATTTTGATTGTAAGGAATAGATGAGTCATGGATACTTAGAACTTTCTCTAATCCCTCTCCTCAGATAATGTGCCAATCAAATGTCTGACATTTGTCAGTATTACTTCTTAGGTGTGGGTCTTTCATACAGATATCTTGCTTCCAGGGGAGGCCAAACACCAACAGCTTCAGGTGACCATTATTACTATTCAATATAGCCTGTATGAGGAGTTCATTTCCTGACTGAATGAAACAGAATGTCAGCATTACCACCCCTAAGTGCCAGTTGTGTTATGTGGCAAAGAAGCCCTTCCCTTTTGCCCCCAGTATTTGGCACATACAAATATTTACTGCTCTGCCGGGCGTGGTGGCCCATGCCTGTAATCCCAGCACTTTGGGAGGCTGAAGTGGGTGGATCACTTGAGGTAAGGAGTTTCAGACCAGCCTGGCCAACATGGTGAAACCCTGTCTCTACTAAAAATACAAAAGTTCGCTGGGCATAGTGGTGCATGCCTGCAGTTCCAGCTACTCTGGAGGCTGAGGCAGGAGAATCACTTGAACCTGGGAGGTAGAGGTTGCAGTGAGCTGAGATTGTGTCACTGCACTCCAGCCTGGGTGACAGAGTGAGACTACGTCTCAAAAAAAAAAAAAAAAAAAAAAAAAAAAATTACTGCTGAGAGCAATTTGAGATTTGGCCTATTTTTTGTGCTTCATGCCTACCATATTTATCTGATTGTTTCTCTTTCATGCTTCCTCTAAAATGAAAAGATTGGAAGGAACAGTCTAACTCTGTAGCCATCTTTAATTACTAAGCTTTCAGAAAATTTCTTGAAGAGGAAAAACTCAGCCAGAGTCATGCAGACTGTGATCAAGCTGTTTTCTCTGACTTGGTATGCTCTTCCTGCACCCCTTGATTACTTTTAACATTTAATAAATTTCTGTTGTCTTTCGAGATTGAGCCACCTCCTCCTCCAGACAGGCTTCCTGACTGCCCAGCATGACTTGGATGCCACTCTCCTATGCTTCCATACCCAGGGGACACCTTCTTGGCATGCATCACACAAGACACTAATCACTCATCTCGTGAAAGGAAAGAAGCCTTGCATGAGAGCTGATCCTTTGTCTTTTTCAGCCTTTTCTCCTCGGCACTCAGCTCAGTACCTTGCTAGTGGCAGATAGTCCACAAGCTTGGTAAATCTGTAAATGGGTGATTGCTGCTTCATCGCTGTCCAATAGAAGTATGATGCAACGCATGAATGTAATTTAAAATTCTCTAGTAGCAATGTGAAAAGACAAAAAAAGCAGGTAAAATTAATTGTAATAATACCTTTTTTTTTTTTTGAGACAGAGTCTAGCTCTGTCGTCCAGGCTGGAGTGCAGTGGCACAATCTTGGCTCACTGCAACCTCCACCTCCCAGGTTCAAGCCATTCGCCTGCCTCAGTCTCCCAAGTAGCTGGGATTACAGGCGCGCACCACCATGCCTAGCTAATTTTTGTATTTTTAGTAGAGAAGGGGTTTCACTGTGTTGGCCAGGCTGGTCTCGAACTCCTGACCTTGTGATCCACTCACCTCGGCCTCCCAAAGTGCTGGGATTACAAGTGTGAGCCACCACGCCCGGCCAGTAATACTTTCTTTTTTATATTTTTTGAGACAAGGTCTTGCTCTGTCACCCAGGCTGGAGTGCAGTGGCACAATCATGGCTTCCTCGACCTCCTGGTCTCAAGTGATCTTCCCACCTCAGTCCCCTGAGTAGTTGGGACTACAGGCACAAGTCGCCGTGCCTGGCTAATTTTTATATTTTTTAATAGAGGTGGGGTTTTGCTATGTTGTCCAGGGTGATCTTGAGCTCCTGGGCTCAAGCGATCAGCCCACCTCAGCCTCCCAGAGTGCTGACATTACAGGTGTGAGCCACCGTGCCCGGCCAATAATACATTTTATATAATACTATATATCCAAAGTATTATCATTTCAACATTTGTCACAAGCCACATTTCAAGTGCTCAGTAGACACATGGGGGTAGTGGCTACTGTATTGGACAACACAACTTTAAACACACCTTAAAACAAAGACATCTTGGATTTCTGTTTCCCTTCAAGGCTGCCAGCTTTGATCTGGCCCAGAGCAGAAAAGTGATCTGCAGCAGGTGCAGGCTATAGTGGAAGTGGCTCTGTGCTTGGTTCATGTGATCTAGGAGACCCTATGATGTCAGAGTTTTCAAGATGGTACACCAGTGGGAGAATAAAAACCCAAGCCCCTTGGGTTCTAGAACAAGACTGCCATCTGCAGTACAGAACTTTATGCTTTTCATAAAATAACTCCTGGCATTCTTCCACAGCTTGGATAGAGACAAAGCCCCTGACCATGGGACATCAGGTGGCAGAACTGCCCATCATGATTTGGGTTCTCTCATTCTCATTAGGTCAGAAGGTCAGGCATCTTCCAGAGCAATCCCTCATGAGATGAGAGGAAGGCTTGAGCAGGGCTGAAGGAAATATGTGAGCTGTAGGGGCATGGAAGCCTGGATACTCATTCTTTCTACTGCTGTGCCCCTCCCTTAGCAATTCCCCATGGCTGATGGGGGATCCCGTATGAGCAGCAGATGGTGGAAGAGGAAGCCCAGACTTGATTCATGGATGAGTTGGCTAGGTATGTAAGGGCATGCTGAAATGGTGGCTGCACTGCTGTACTTCTTGAGCTGGCTTTGTAAGGAGAAAAGAAGTCCTCCCACTGGGCAGAGCTTCCGGTAGTATTCCTAATGATCTACTTTGTGTGGCAAAAGAAGTGGCTTCAGTATAAATGTGCCTGGACTTATGGACAGTGGTGAATGATGTGGTTGGCTGATCAGAGGGTAAAGATGAGAAGATCAGGACAAGGAGGTCTGGAGTAGAGGAATGTGGATAGACCTCTGTTAACCCTCATTAGAATAAACCATGGAAGAGACAGTAAGTGACCAGGTTGACAAAATGAATTAACCAATGGACATGAGCCAGCCTGTTGTTGGGCACCCCTGTGTTGGCGTAATGGGTGCGTGGGTGGGGTATCCATGATTGTCAGAGGCTCTACGTGGTTGCAGTAAGATGGGCTTCTATTTCAAGGCCAATCTAGCTATTGGCTGCCAAATGTTCAACCTTCCAGCAAGAATGACCAACTGAACAGTGCTATCTTTTGAAGACACCAGCTAAGCCACTTGGTGGCAAGCTGACTAGCTTGGATCCCTTCCATTTTGGAAAGTGCAGTGATTTATTTATTCAGTCAGGAATAGACCCATATAGGTATATTGGGTTTGCCTTTGCTGTCCACAGGGCCTCAAACACAACACTTTCTGAGGACACAAAGATCTTTAGATCCACTAGCGCAGGATCCCTCATGGCCTTGTGGGACCAAGGACCCATTTTACTGCAAAGGAGGCACAGCAGTGGGCACATGACCATGGAGTCCAGTGGATCTATCACAATCTGCACCACCCAGAAATGGCCAGCATAAAAGGGTGATGGTATGGCCTGTTGAAGACATAGTTGAAATGCCAGCTTATATACGACCCCTTGTGAGTGTAGAGTGCCATTTTCTAGAACATAGGAACACTCAATCGGTGAAATTTACTTAGTGCTGTGTCCCCAAGAGGTAGACGGTATGAGTACAGGAGCAAGGGGGACAGTAAGAGCATTCCTGCTCAGGATAACTCCTTGTGACCCACTTGGGGAATTAGTGCTCCCCACACGATTATCAATTATGAAAACAAAAACAATTAAAAAATTCTTCCAGCTGATTTTTTTTTTTAAAGCAGGCAGGAAAGAAGGCACCTAGACATCTTATCTAAAAATTTTTTTCCGTGTAAACTTATACGAAGGAATCTGGAGTGGGACTTCATGGGTTCAAATCCTGGCTCCACTTCTTGATCACTGTATGACATGGATAAGTCATGTAATCTCTCTGAACCTCAGTTTACTCATCTGTAGACAAATTAGTAATAACAGGAGATTCACAGCTCAGGTAGAACTCAAAGCACAGGGGTTGTCCCTGATAAACACACACAACTTTTGGCCAGGTGCAGCGGCTCACGCCTGTAATCCCAGCACTTTGGGAGGCCGAGGCAGGCGGATCACCTGAGGTCAGGAGTTCGAGACCAGCCTGGCCAACATGGGCAAACCCTGTCTCTACTTAAAAAAAAAAAAAAAAAAAAAAAGCCGGGCGTGGTGGCGGGCGCTTGTAATCCCAGCCAAGGCAGGGGAATTACTTGAACCCAGGAGGTGGAGGTTGCAGTGAGCTGATATTGCGCCATTACACTCCAGCCTGGGCGACAAAAGCGAGACTCAGTCTCAAAAAGCAAAAACAAAAAAACCACGCAACTTTTATATTTAGCCTTGATGAGTCCTGGAGGTACAATTTCTACCTGGTTAACTGGATACATCTCAACTCTTCCCGTGGTTTCGCCTCTTCCCCAGGCTCGCAGAGAAGACGTTGTCCTCGCAATATTTTTAAAAATACTATGCACCAGTCTGCAGGAAAAGGCGCAGGGGGCGGCGAGGCAACCTAGGCCTGCGTGCCTCTGGCTTTCCTTTTGGAGGAAGCTTTCATGCGCGTCCATGTGAAGAGACCACCAAACAGGCTTTGTGTGAGCAACATGGCTGTTTATTTCACCTGGGTGCAGGCGGGCTGAGTCCGAAAAGAGAGTCAGCGAAGGGAGATAAGGGTGGGGCCATTTTACAGGATTTGGGTAGGTAAAGGAAAATTACAATCAAAGGGGGTTGGTTCTCTGGTGGGCAGGAGTGGGGATCGCAAGGTGCTCAGTAGGGGTGCTTTTTGAGCCAGGATGAGCCAGGAAAAGGACTTTCACAAGGTAATGTCATCAGTTAAGGCAAGGACCGGCCATTTACACTTCTTTTGTGGTGGAATGTCATCAGTTAAGGTGGGGCAGGGCATATTCACTTCTTTTGTGATTCTTCAGTTACTTCAGGCCATCTGGGCTTTTACGTGCAAGTCACAGGGGATGCGATGGCTTGGCTTGGGCTCAGAGGCCTGACAGAAGCGCCCCCTTGGCGAGCACATGCGCGCCTCAAAGGGGATGGAGCTGCGCGTGCGCGGCAGAGTCACAATGGCAGCCAGATTCAGGTGCGGCCATTTGTGTGTCCCCGAGGTTCCTCGCGGGCCGGCATCCCACGCCGAGGGTGGTGGTGGCAGGCTTTCCAGAAAGGCAGCACACCAGGCTCAGCTCTGCTGGCGAGCAGGAGGCGACGGCAGAGGAAACTTCAACCCGATGAACTTCCTGGTTGCGGGGACATTTGCCTCCTCCTGCCACTCACCACCTCTGCTCTGGTCCCTCCCTCCAAGAATCCTCATAGCGTCCTCTCTCCCCACTCTCTCCCATCCCGCGTCTCCCATATTTGCCCCAGCTTGGCTCAGGGCCACAGTTCTGCACTCTTCAGCCGGCGGCGCCACCAGCAGTTGTTTCTACGCGGGAAATAGGGCAACAGCATCCCAGCACAGCTGAGTGCCCAAGGATGGTCAGCCGGGTAGGGCAAGAAGCTTCTTTCAGGGATTCTGATCTCACGGTACGAAGTGGAAAGAACTTTGAGGGTCAAAGGCGTAAACTGAGGGGCTAGTTTGGTTACGGGAACTTAAGATAAATGAATTAACCAGGGGACCCCCGTCCCCATTTTCTCCTCCTACACAGTCTTTAAAATCCAGAGAAGGCGGGGGTCGGGTGGGGGGATGGCCCGTTTTGACTGTTTGGAGTGGTGCAAACTCTTTTGTGACACCTGCTGTGAGAGCTGCTAGGGGGGCTTGGAAATCGCTGCTGCTTGACCACCCGCACACTTAATCCCAAGGGTGAGAGAAAATGCCTAACTTCCCAGGTGCAGCGGTGTTGGGCAAAGGAGGCATTCTTAAATTGGAAACAACCTCAGTCACCATTAACATAAGAATGGATAAATTCTGGGTGTATTCATACAATGGAATTCTGCATAGCAATGAAAAAGAATGGACTGTTGATCCATACAACAACATAAATGAATTGTCCAGACATTATTTTGTGAGAAGACAGACACAAAAGGGTGCAAACTGTATGATTCCATTTATATGAAATTCAGGAACAGGCAGATTTGACCTGCACTTTAGAAGTCAGAATAATTGCTACTTGTGGAGGAGGGTCTCAAAGTACAAATTGAGAGCAGTTAGAGGCAGAGGCAAGCACTTCGTTTACTGCTACTGCAACAAGGAGTGCTCAAAGGAGAGAGACTTCCTGAGCAAAATATAGTTGGGATTGTTTAATTGGGTCAAGGATCAGAGTGGAATAGTGGAGAGAAAGCAAGTTTGCTGACTCACGTCCCAGAAGCAGTGGCATGTAATAGCAATGAGTCCATAAAACCTAGATCTTGATTTCTATTTCTCAACATTCCTGTGATTTTTGTGGTCAGCAAGCTCTGAATCAGGATGACCCATGGTATCTACTTGCCACCATCTGCCCTTGGAATTTGTTGCTCCTTAGAATTTAGTCTCCTTTTCTCAGTCTCTGAAACTGTTATTAGGCATAGAAATTCGTCCAAAATTCATGAAAGAAGTACAGCTTTCACAGAGGTATGAGGACATGAGAGAGCCCAGGAGGCTAAAAATATCCTATATCTTGATCTAGACGGTTACAGGGGTGTGTATGTGTGTAGACATCCATTGGGCTATTTTTCATTCGCATCCGTGTGAAGAGACCACAAAACAGGCTTAGTATGAGCAACAAGGCTGTTTATTTCACCTGGGTGCAGGCGGGCTGAGTCCGAAAAGAGAGTCAGCGAAGGGAGATAGGGGTGGGGCCGTTTTATAGGATTTGGGTAGGTAAAGGAAAAAGGGGGGTTCTCTGGCGGGCAGGAATGGGGGTCACGAGGTGCTCAGTAGGGGAGCTTTTGAGCCAGGATGAGCCAGGAGAAGGAATTTCACAAGATAATGTCATCAGTTAGGGCAGGAACAGGCCATTTTCACTTCTTTTGTGGTAGAATGTCATTAGTTAAGGCAGGAACCGGCCATCTGGATGTGTACGTGCAGGTCACAGGGGATATGATGGCTTAGCTTGGGCTCAGAGGCCTGACAGTATTCATGTAAGATCTGTGTACTTATTGGTCGTGATAAACTAATTTAAAAAATGAATTTTTATATTTAATTGCACAGAAAAATATTTCTGTTACATTGTTGAGTGAAAAAGGCAAGTTACGCTAGAGCATTTCTCCCTGAACTCAATTCTACCAAAAAAAAAAGTTTATGTATAAGAAGAAAGAAGATTAGAAGAATATACTCCACAATATGAGATTATGGATGAGTTTTATTTTTTTATTTTTGGTTGTTTGCATTTTCTAAACTTTAGAAATATAATTCCTACGTATTGGAAGCAGTCCAGAGTCTTCTTCAAACTCCCACAGCCCCAGGCTCAATAGCAATAACCAAAGCATTCACAATCTCTGACCCAATGCATTGGCAACATCATCAACTCTACCAGACCACCAGAAGTAGCCGTCTTCATCCATGATCCCTCTGTCACCTGTGAGGTAAAGCATGTGGCCTCTTGCTGAAGCATATTCCTCCCAGCTCACCTGATAGAATGATGAATCCAGAAACCTACATTTACTTCCCTCTCACAATCATTTAGTGATATGAATTGAGCACTCTGGCTAGCCCCAGGGGAGACTGAGAAAAATAAGTCAGGATCCCCACTCTCCAGGGGATCTCACATAGAAAACTCAACAAACACGGAGAACTTTCCTTGGTCATTTCTCTTAACTTCAGCTTTTTTTTTTTTGTCCCAGCTAGAAACAAGAGTAATGATGGCACTTCACTCAGAGGTTTGTCCTGAGGCTTAAATGAGGCAACATGGACACAGCATTTTAGCACAAGGCCAGGTACAGTATGTGTAAGGAGTGTTGGCTGCTATTTTCTCAGGCTCATCATCCATCAGATGCAATCACTGTTCCCTGTCTTTGAATTGTGCCTTTAATTTTCATACCGCCCCTGACCAAAATTCCATCAGAAAAAGGTGGCTTCAGCTAAAGGTTCTTACACCAGAAGCACAATTAGAGTGATTGGTGAAAATTTCCCTTTGCATGAGATTGGCCCATTTTGCAGGATCGTTCCATGGAGTGTTCACAGATTCTTTTTTTTTTTTTAATTGAAACAGTCTCACTCTGTCACGCAAGTTGGAATGCAGTGGTGTGATGTCGGCTCACTGCCAACATCTGCCACCCAGGTTCAAGTGATTCTCGTGTCTCAGCCTCCCCAGTAGCTGGGATTACAGGCGCCGATCACCAAGCCCGGCTAATTTTTTTTGTATTTTTAGTAGAGATGGGGTTTTGCCATGTTGGCCAGGCTGCTCTCAAACTCCTGACCTCAGGTGATCCGCCTGCCTTGGCCTCCCAAAGTGCTGGGATTACAGGCATGAGCCACCGCGCCCGGCCAGATTCTAACAGCATTTGACTCATTGCCATAGAGACCACGTCACCAATGTGTCCAGATTCTTAGATCTAATGGACAACCTGCTTGTTAGAGTTCTAATAAACTTTGGTGAAAAGCTGTGTAAGCAGCTCATTCTCAAACAGCACAATAATCCCAGTAGGTATGTGAGATATCTGGGTCTCTTCTTTGGAATCTGTCTTATGGGTGAGAACATGATTTTAAAGTCTCAGTGTATTGAAGTTGTGTTATCAGTCTGGAAATATTCAGCATTATTCTCTCACAGAAATTATTAAAATATTTAAAACGTTTTACCTAGGCTTTAACTCAAAAACTCCACGAGAGATACTCAAAGAGGCATTTAAAGAGTTAACAAGGATACTCATTGAAGAAATATTTACAATATAAAACATTGGAAGTAACCAAAATTTTCAACAATAGCAGGTATGTTAAATAGATCATGATAGTTCTCCTTGATAAGATTTTATAAAATTATTAAAAATGTTTTCATATAAGGGCTGGGTGCGGTGGCTGTTGGCATTTTGGGAGGCTGAGGCAGGTGGATCACTTGAAGTCAGGAGTTCCAGACCAACCTGGCCAACATGGTAAAACCCTGTTTCTACTAAAAATACAAAAATTAGCTAGGCGTGGTGGTGAGAGCTGGTAATCCCAGCTACTCATGAGGCTGAGGCAGTAGAATCGCTTGAACCCGGGAGGTGGAGGTTGCAGTGAGCCAAGATTGTGCCACTGCACTCCAGCCTGGGTGACTGAGTGAGACCCTGTTTCAAAAAAAAAAAAAAAAGTTGTCATATAAGATTTACTGATCCCTGAAAATCATAAGTAAAAAAACAGGCTTCACAAAAGCTGATAGAGTACAATCCCACTTTTATAAAACAAGACAAATAAATAGAAAAAGAATGAAGGATATATACACATCAAATGTTAATAGTGGCTAAGAATGGTGGCATTATGAGTTAATATGCTTTTCTTCTTTGGTCTTTTCTGTATTTCTGAAAGTTGTCTATATTGAACACAAGTGAGTTTTATTATCAGGAAAGGCTAAATAAATATTTTAAAAGTAGTTAAAAGAAAGCCTCTCTTTATAGATAAAATGGACTGCTCATCTTTATGGAATAATGCCACCTAATTAATGTATAAGAAATAGCAGTTTGAAAATCACCGTTCTGCACCCTCCATTTTATTTATTTGTTTTTGAGACAGGGTATTGCTCTGTTGCCCAGGCTGGAGCACAGTGGTGCCATCACACCCAGCTCACTACACTCTTGACGTCCTGCTCTCAGTTTATCCTCCCACCTCAGCCTCCTGAGTAGCTGGGACTACAGGTGCATGCCACCATGCCTGGCTAATTTTTGTATTTTTTTTTTGTAGAGATGGAGTTTTGCCATGTTGCCCAGGCTAGTCTTGAACCCCTGGGCTCAAGTGATCTGTCCATCTTAGCTTCCCAAAGTGTTGAGATTACAGGCATGAGCCACTGTGCCCAGCCACTCTTTATTTTAATAATTGTTTCCAAAAAGAAAAGAATCATCTATGGATGCTAAAATGATTGGGTGAAAGTTAATTGGAGAATAGGATATTTACAGAGTCTCAAATTGTTACACGGCAGATTATTACTAATTACAAAGAGGAAAATGTACCTTTACAATGGAAATGGCACTCACCTCCTTAATCAAAAGATCAAAATGATCAGCATCCAAAATGAGACAACCTAATGTTTCCCCCCATAAGCAAATAAGAAATATACATCATCTACATAATAGTCTTGAGAAAGATGTTTATCCTGGATCTCATTATAAAGAAACAATATGTAAGCCTAGAAAGTGAGGCATTTTTTAACACAACCGTCCTCTATTCTTCAAAATGTCCACGTCACGAAAAACATGGTGGTGGAACAGTTATAGATAAAAACAACTAAAGAGATATGAGAACCAAATAAATGCATGAACTTTGATTGAATTCTGGATTTACAAAAGGTATAAAACACATCTGAGTACAATTGAGAAAGTCTAAGTATTGGCTAGATATTAGATAGTATTAAATAATTATTTTTAATTTTCATAGATGTGATGGTGCTGATGTTTAAGAAGAAAGTCCTTATTAGGAGGATGCTGCTGAAATATTTAAGGACAAAGTGTCATAATGTCTGCATTTACTCCCAAATGTCTCATCAAAAATGTGCAAATATGAAGTAAATGGGGCAAAATCTTAATAAGAAGTGAATGTAGGTGAGTGCTACTATTTAACATTTTTGGAGACTCAAAAATTTGCAAAATTAAAAATTGGGACAAAAGTATTTGGCAAATCATAAAGTACTCAACAATAATGGCACTACGATTAGTAGCAACAATGAAAGTATTTAGGAAAGAAGAAAATTTTCTTACCATGTGTGGACAGTACAGAGAAGCAGGTTGGTTTAGTTTTATGCGGATTGCAATATTTCCTTCTTCCCCTGGAGGCAGGAGATTTGAGTTTTCATCCACAATCTGAAATTAGATAATCACTAAAGGAATTTTCCTTACAAACCACTTGTGCTCTTCCTAAAACACCACAAGATCTAAACTTAAGCCTTTCTACCCCCATTTAAGATGCCAGGAAAGTGCTTGGTTGGTGTACTTAGATACTGGGCAACCTAAGAGGCAGTGTGGTTCAGTCGTCAGTGTGAGGGTGCCAGAGCTGGAAATATTTGGGTTTGCATGTCCACTCTGACACCTTCTGACTCTGAGATTCTTGGATACTTCTCTGTACCTCAGTTTCCTCATCTAGAAAATCAGAGATTTAAAGTGCACCTATTATACAGCTTTATTGTGAGGATGAAATAAGACAATACAGGTAAGGGCTCCATTGCCTGGTTAGTACAAAGTTTTAAGAAAGCCAGCATCTCAGAAAGGCCTTTCAAACAAGGACACTTAATTAGCCATCTTATGTATAAGAAAAGAAATATAAAGAACATGAAAATTTAAAAACAGATTTGGCAGTTTTATAACAGTCTAGGAGGTGGTGTTATTTTTTCCTATTAAGAATTAGAGGGCAGGTTAGGAATAAATAAAATACAGTTTGAAAATAATGAGTTATTGGCTGGGCGTGGTGGCTCACGCCTGTAATCCCAGCACTTTGGGAGGCCGAGGTGGGCAGATCACCTGAGGTCGGGAGTTCGAGACCAGCCTGACCAACATGGAGAAACCCTGTCTCTACTAAAAATACAAAATTAGCTGGGCGTGGTGGCGCATGCCTATAATCCCAGCTACTTGGGAGGCTGAGGCAGGAGAATTGCTTGAACCCGGGAGGCCAAGATCATGCCATTGCACCCCAGCCTGGGCAACAAGAGCAAAACTCTGTCTCAAAAAAGAAAATAATGACTTATTTCAGCCGAGTGGCTTCTTTATTGACCTGAAATGGAAGGCATGACCATGAAGTAATGTGACAGGAGTTAAAAAGTACACTGAGATGCTAGCTCAATTTTGAGGGCTACAACCTTCCAAATTGTCACCTTGGAAAGCAATATGCGTACTCATTTTGAATTTATTATCCTTGCTGAATACTTGGAAACTTTTCTATGGAAACTACCAGCCCTAAGGATCAGAGGTCTTCAGGGATAATACATCTTTATACTTTGATGACGAACTTTAGACTTTGGGAAAAGAAGTGGCATTTAGTACTAAGTCTAGTAAATTAGATGAATTATCTAGAGAATACATTTTTAAATGAGATTTAAAAAATTTTATTTTCAATGAGATTGTTCTATTAATTTTATTTTTTGATTGTTTATTGATACTATGTAGAAATACTATTAATAATTTTTTGTATATTGATCTTATTTCCTGCAACTTTGATGACCTCAATTTTTAGCTCTAATAGTGTGTGTGTATTCCTTAGGATTTTCTATATACATGGTCATGTCATGTTGAATAGAGATAGTTTTATTTCTTCTTTTCCAATTGGGATGCTATTTCTTTTTCTTGCCTGATTGCTCTGGATAGAACCTCTATGAAGAGTGAATATTCTCATAAGTCCTGATCTCAGTGGGAGCACTTTCAGTTTTTTACTGTTGAGTCTGATGTGAGCTATGGGGTTTCTGTATGCTCTTTGTCAGGTTGAGAAAGCTCCCTTTCATTGCTAGTTTGTTGAGGGTTGTTACCATAAATAGGTGTTGGTGTTAGATTTTGTCAATGATTTTTCTGTGTCTGTTGAGATGATCATGTGATTTGTGTACTTTGTTTTATGGTGTATTAATTGGTTTTTATAGTTTGAACCAACTTTGTATTTCTGGAATAATTCCACTTGGTTATGGTATATAATCCATTTATATGTTCCTTGTTAGGTTGGCTGGTATTTTGTTGAGATTTTTTGGCACCTATAGTAATCAGAAATATTAATTTATGGTTTTCTTTTCTTGTGATGTCTTTGGTTTTGGTATCAGGATGATCCTGGCTCATACTATGACCCCATTTTGAGACACAGCCTCCAAAATCCTGGTGTTATATGTTTTTGGGGAGAGTTTGTGAAGGATTAATGTTAATGCTTCCTTAAATGTTAGATAGAATTCACCGCAAAGCCATTTGGGCCTGTTTTTCTTTGTGGGAAGTGTGTGTGTGTGTGTGTGTGTGTGTGTGTGTCTGTATGTGTGCGTGTTTTGGATAGGGAGTGTAAGGAATGAAGTTATACTTCATTTGACAAATTAAAAAATATCTCTTTCATCTTCCCCCTTTGTGTGGGTCCTCTTCTCCTTTCTCACCTGAATTAAAAAAATAAACCCTCTAATGAGGTATAGTTGACATGCAAAAAGCTATACATATTTAATGTATACAACTTGATGAGTTTGAAGATAAGTAAACACCCATGGAACTGTCACCACAATCTATGCCATAAACCTATTCATCACCTTCAAAAGTTTCCTCCCACCCTCTTATTATTATTATTATTTTGGTAATAAGAACACTTAATATATCTCCTTAGCAAGATTTTAAGTATGTAATACAGTGTTGTTAACTGTTGGCATTATGCTGTACAGTAGATCTCTAGTAGTTACTGTCTGTGTAGCTGAAATTTTGTACCCCTTGGTGGATACCTTCCTGTTTTCTCCTCTCCACCAGCTCCTGGCAACCACCAATTCACTTTCCAGATCTATGAGTTAGACTTTTTTTTTTTTTTTTTGAGACAGATCTTGCTGTGTCACCCAGGCTGGAGTGCAGTGGTGTGATCTCTGCTCACTACAACCTGCACCTCCCGCGTTCAAGTGATTCTCCTGCCTCAGCCTCCTGAGTAGCTGGGATTACAGTCATATGCCACCATGCCTGGCTAATTTTTTTATTTTTAGTAGAGATGGGGTTTTGCCATGTTGGCCAGGCTGGTCTCGAACTCCTGGCCTCAAGTGATCTGCCCACCTTGGCCTCCCAAAGTGCTGGGATTACGGGTGTAAGCCACCTTGCCCAGCCAAGATTGTTTTCTTAATTTCCTTTTTGATAATTTATTGTAGTGTATAGAAACACAACTGATTTTTGTGTATTGATCTTGTATCCTGAAACTTTGTTAAATTTGTTTATCCTAATTTTTTTGGTTAATCTTTAGACTTTTCTTTATACCATATGTAGAAATATAATTTTCTGCACATCTATAAGATCATGTAATCTGCAAACAGAGATAATCTTACTTCTTCCTTTCTGATTTGAATACTTCTTTTTTCCTTTTATTTTCTACTTACTCTGGCTAGGAATTATAATACTATGTTGGATAGAAGTGGTGAGAATGTGTATCATTTCCTTGTTCCAGATATGAGAGAAAAGCTTTCAGTTTTTGACCATTGAGTATGATGTTAGTTAGCTATGTGCTTTTTATATATGGCCTTTATTGTGTTGAGGTAAGTTCCTTCTCTACCCAATTTCTTGAGAATTTTTATCATCAAAAGGTGTTGAATCTTGTGGAATGCTTTTGCTGTGTCTTTTGAGATTATCATGTCATCTTTGTCCCTCATTCTGGTAGAATGCATCTGTGAAGGCATTTGGTGCTGGGCTTTTCTTTGTTGGAAGGTTTTTGATTACTAATTTAATCTCTTTGTTAGTTATTGGTATGTTCTGACTTTTTAATTCTTTATGATTCAGTCTTGGTAGGTTGTATGTTTTTAGGACTTTATCCATTTTTTCTAAGTGGTCTATTTTGTTGACATATAATTTTTTTCCTTTCTTTTTTTTTGAGATGGAGTTTTGCTCTTGTCACCCAGGCTGGAGTGCAGTGGCATGATCTTGGCTCCCTGCAACCCCCGCCTGCTGAGTTCAAGGGATTCTCCTGCCTCAGCCTGCTGAGTAGCTGAGATTACAGGCATCTGCCATCACACCCGGCTAATTTTTGTATTTTTGTAAAGACGGGGTTTCACCATGTTGGCCAGGATGGTCTTGAACTCTTGACCTCAAGTGATCCACTGGCCTCGGCCTCCGAAAGTGCTGGGATTTCAGGCATGCACCACCACACCTGGCTTTGTTGACATATAATTATTCATAGGGATTCTATAGGGATTCTTCACATTTCTATGGCATGAGTTGGAGTTTCTCCTCTTTCACTTCTGATTTTATTTCTTTGTGTATTTTTCTCATTTGTTTTTCTTAGTTCTAAGGTTTGTTGATTTTGTAGGAAGATTTTTTTTCTAAGAAAATCCTAAGGAACATTTTATTTTTCAATTTCATTTATTTCATTTTTGTTTATACTTTAGTATGCAAGGAACATTTTAATTTTTTCTTATTTTTTGAGAGGAAAATTACATGCTCATTTTATTCATGTCTCTAAATGCAAAGGCCCAAACAAATAAAAATTAAGAAATTAAATCCAAGAAAATAAAAAGAAAGAAATGCAACGAAAATTTAACATTTGAAAATATTTTTAATTAACTCTATTAATAGAGAAAAACTATTTTACCTTTTTAATAGGATCAGAAAACACATTTAATATAATGTAGTACCTATTCATGATTACTGGAAAAAACAAACATATAAACCTCAATGTATTAGGTTAACTTCCACATCCTGTTAAATAATATGTAGTGAAACTGGATAGGCAAACAAAAAACAAAAAATAGAACTCTACAGTAAACATTATCTTTAACAAAATTGGGTCAATTTCAGAATGATACAATAGTTAAAGTAAATACTAATATTTGTTTCATTCAGGTTGAGAACTTACTATTTCCTTTTGACCAATGTTAAAAAAAGGCGAGATAGGCGTGAAAGCAAAGGACTATCTTAAAATGAATAATGGTAATTTCATAAGTGCTGCTAATTTGAGTCTGCTTTTATGTAATAAAATCCTAGACACAGCATTTGCCCTACCATCTTAGTATTGCTTCCTATGCCCATACTGTGAATTCAGCTACATCATTTGGGAATCACATTACAGTATTTATAATAATCGACACCCGAGCAGCTGACTAGTGGCTTAGACTTCCCACTTTAGTATATTTTTAGTTCAAGTACAGAATGCTTATTATGGTGCATTCAAAATAGTTGTCTTTATTTTGCACATATCTTTTTAATAGCAATTTTTTTTATTCGATTTCTCCATATTTGAAACTTGAACTACATTAAAGGGATATTCTGCAAAATTGTCAGCATCTCCTTCCCTCATTCCTGTGTCTGGGCTTTGTATTCCAAAAGGATATTGAGGTGGAAATAAAAGCAATAATGTGAGATTATCCTTGGGGTGAATTTAGAGAATGGTGGACTTTCCTCATTGCCTACCTTTATGTCAGAAATTTAGATAAACAACTGTAAGAGCTCACTTAATAATATCTGTCATAATCATTACTATGATCTCCTACCTGGACAATATAAGGTGGCAATGGCTTCCCCAGAGAGCTTGGCTTCAATTTTATTGTTTTGGAAGTGGCACAGAGTAGACCCTGTTCAAAGAAATGCAGACAAGTTTTTCTTTAAAAAAGCAATAAATTAATGGATCTAGTTATTGATCATAACCAGACATTATGTGCCTCCTAACAGAACAACATTACACAGTCTAACAAGTAATCTTGATTAAAAAAAAATCAAGCAGGAGTGTGACTAAATTAACCTCTAGGTCAATTTACAGGAAATGCAGGGGAACAGAAGAACATGTAAACCATACTGCAATTAGCAAAATCCAGGCTGTGAAATATTCAAAAGAACCAACAACTCAGTTTTTTAAAATAACAAATTCAAGGAAAAAAGAAGGTAATGAGGAAATTCATAGATTAAAAGATACACAAAAGTCTTACCAACTAGCCACAATGTGTGTGCTTAATTGGAACAAATGGTAGCAAGAAAACATGCATGACTTAGATGATGGATGAAAATGTCAGTGGTAGATATTTGTTAATAAAAGGCAATTACTGTTAACTTTCAGGTATAATTGGAGAATATGTTTGTTTTTTAGTGCCTTTTTTTTAAATATACTAAAGCTATTTATGAGAAAATATTGTTTTTGGGATTGTAGAGGAGTAATGATAAAACAGGATTAGGTAATAATTGATGAAATGGGCAGTGGATGCATGGGAATTCAAATACAGTTTTGTCTATTTTTGTCTTTTGAGATTTTCAATAATAAATGTCTCAAAAATAAGTAATTGTTGGCTGCTGAGAAATACTTCAGCATACATGCAGGGCACCCCAAAGAGGGCACAGAGGTCTACCTTGGAGGACATGAGAACTGGATCTTGGATGAGTCAACCATGGGTGTAATGGGATGGAGAAAATTTTATTTATTAGAATTTTACCCCTAAAGTGCTGGGACTATAGGCATGAGCCACTGTTCCCAGCCTAGAACAGGAATTATTTCTGTCTTCTACATAGTTATTTTTCCAGTACCTATTGCTGTGTCTTACACGGAAAGAGACTTAATATTTTCTTGTGTTTACATGCTAACAAATTGGGAGCCCCCAGATTCTGAATGTTTTTGAGGATGGCCATAGTAATCTCTCTCTAGTGTACCGCAGTAACTAGTTTTATGGTTCCTTTAAGAACTCCTCCTTCCCTTCATCTAATCTGGTGGGACTATTAATCATGGTTCTGTAGATCCACTTTTTGGCATGAACAAATGTCTCAGGTTAGGCCCCTTAAGTTATAGTCCAAGGGAAAAGCATATGACAGAAGCATGGACAATCAGAGTCTGTTCCAAGAATTTTCCAAAGTAGAGGTAGAAGTAGGGCTATTTTGATCTTGTCTGAAGGAGTGGTGACTCCAGAGTTGCTGGTGTTAATCTTGTCTGCTTTGTGGAAGAAACTCATCAGAGAACAACTCAGAGAAAAAAGCAGATGGAGCAATTGAGAGGGAGAGAAAGAGAGAGCTGATGTTTTAAGAGTTTTTTTAGTCCTGGTGTTTTGGCCTCTCCAGTCTTGATTCCGTAAGCCTTGAAGCTATTCCCAGCAAAATGGACTTATAATTTCCACTTTTGCTCAGGCTTGTTTGAAATATGTTTCCATCACTTGCATCCCAAATAATGCTCACAAAACACAAGACTCCTTAGCTATTGCCAGTACATTACAATTAAATGGAAGATGTACATTTTCTCCCATGCAGGTTGTGTGACTAACTAAAAATGCCAAGTTTATTAGGTGTTGCTGGAGTCATATCAACTTAGTGTATCAACCTTGCCTTATTTCAGATGTTCTGAGTGTCAGTTATATTTGTATTTCATAAAAAGAAAGATAAAGCCAAAATCATTACTGCCTAAGATGTGCTGTTTTCTTGCTAGACAGAATCATTCACAACCTGAGATCAGTGGGGAAATACAATGCAATGAGTCCTGGGTGCTGAAAATGTCAACTCTTTGGATGTAATTAAATGGATCTGTGAGTGTAGTATAGACAGAATCTGAGACAGAATTTGATCATTTCTCAAGTTCCCTCTTTTACAGTTTTGAATTGTAACTTGCGTACCAAGCGTGAGCTTGACTATGAGGTCTCAAAGTTTTGAACCTTGTGTTCTGAATTTTCTTTAGCTTTCTAAGTGAGGATGTTTCCTGAGCCATATGGAACTACATAGCTCCACCAGGGTCCTCAAACTATAGACCTCTCCCCAGAGCCTAGGCTATCAATTTGGCTGTTTTGTCTTCTCCCACACAGTCTGAGGTTTTCTTAGTCACCAAAGAATTTTTTTTGGACGTATGACAGAACTAAGTCCTATAAAAAGGCTTTGGTGTTACCAAGATTATGGAATTCCCTTCTTAGTATAATTAATAAAAACAGTAGTAATATATAAAACAAATGTAAGAAATCCCCCTGCCCCCCACCACAAATTCTTATTTCTCCCATGCTATTTGAATGTTTTAAAAACATTGGGTATTCAATTCTCTCAAAAATATTTTGTGTTTTTGCTTCTCAGGAAGCCTATTTTATGGACCATCTGGCAGTGAATGCAGTTAATCCAGGCAACACTTCCCTATTTTCTTTTTCTTTTTCTTTTTTTTTTTTGAGATGGAGTCTCACTCTGTCCCCAGGCTGGAGTGCAGTGGTGCGATCTTGGCTCACTGCAACCTCCGCCTCCCAGATTCAGGTGATTCTCCTGCCTCAGCCTCCCGAGTAGCTGGGACTGCAGGTGCGTGCCACCACACCCGGCTAATTTTTTGTATTTTTAGTAAATACAGGGTTTCACATGTTGGCCAGGATGGTCTCAATCTCTTGACCTTGTGATTTGCCTGCCTTGGCCTCCCAAAGTGCTGGGATTACAGGCGTGAGCCACTGCTCCTGGCCCACTTCTCTATTTTCTTTTGTTCCTATCTACCTGGAAAACACTGAAACCAATTCATGTAAAAATTTGGCCACCAGCCTAAGGTACCAGCTCTACATTCTTATCTGTGGTGTTTCCATCATATAAGCTTTCCTGCTTATTTTCATCCTCATGTTGCAGGAACAGGACTGTTTGTTCCCTGACTCTTTCCTTCCAGAAACTTTTCACATGGTGTCTAGATAGAACATCAATTGAGTGGTTAAGGAACTATTCTACATCCACATCTATATCCTCTTTACTGGATGTTCTCTTCATCAGTTACCTTTCCAGAGACCTGGCTCTTCCATGGGAAGAGGTTTCTACTTATTTTTTTCAAGTGGGGGATGTTGATCCTTTTATATTCCTTGGGTTTGGCATCTTTTGAGCTCCCAATACCACCTTCTGACCATTACTTCTCTGACGCTATGTGCAATTCCCTTGTCTTTTTGAGATTCATGCCATTTACATTTACCACCCTATACCACTCTTTGTTGTCTATAATTTACCAACCTCTCAGTCATTCCTTATCCATTAAGGCCTTCAGCATGAGGTTCATTATCTTTCCTTTGATTCCAGGTCCCGCTGTCATCCCTAGTGCCTCCTGCAGCCATATGAATGATCAGTTCTACCCCCAGTCTCTTCCTTCCTTGATCCTGATCTCCAGGGAGTGTGATGTGTCTCCTCAAAATTTATGTGCTAATTCCCTACTGCTCACTGTGATGGTATTTGGAGATGAGGCCTTTGGGAGGTCATTGGGTTTAGATGAGGTCATGAGGGTGGCACTCTCATGATGGGATTAGTGCCCTTATAAGAAGAGATGCTGGGCACAGTGAATTGTGTCTGTCATCTTGGATATGCTGGGTTGCTGAGGTGGGAAGGTCCCTGAGGCCAGGAGTTTGAAACCAGTCTGGGCAACATAGCAAGTCTGTGTCTGTGCTAAAAAATAAAATAAAATAAATAGCAAGCATGGTGGTGCACACCTGTAGTCCCAACTGTTTGAGAGGCTGAGGTTGGAGAATCTCTTGATCCCAGGAGTTTGAGGCTGCAGGGAGCTATGGTCACACCACTGCACTCTAGTTTGGGGCAATAAAGCAAGACCCTGCCTCTCTTTAAAAACAAACAAACAAACTGAAAGACACTAAAGAGCTTGGAAAGAGCTTGGTCTCTCTCTCTCTCCCTGTCTGTGAGAACACCATGAGAAGTTGGTAGTCTGCAACCTAGAAGAGGACTCTTCCTAAAACCCGGCCTTTCTGGCACTCTGATCTTGGACTTCCAGCCTCTAGAACTGTGAGAAAAATAACTTTGGTTGTTTAAGCCACTCAATCTATGATATTTTGTTACAGCAGCCTGAGCAGACTAAGACAATTATCTTCAGTCCTTCCAGCTCCATTGACATCTCCAGTGCCTTGTCTTCTCACCACTGATCTGCCTTTTCTTGAATTCCCTTCCTTCTCTGATCAGCTTAGTTTCTTAGTCTTTCATCTTAATGCCAATATCCCTATATCCCTTGCCTGCTGCCCTTTTATTGCACCTTCTTGGCAAAATGTTAATCCTGTTCCAATCTAACTGTCCACTTTTACCATGCTTTTCATCTGTGTTTTAGAGTGATATTGGAGAAAATGACACAACTAAATAGTTAGTGACTTTGAAGATTAATGCTCTCCAACCTCAAATGTGCTCTTATCATAACCCATTTCTCCTTTATTTTCATAATCTACTCTTTCTTCCATTTTCAGCAGTGATAATTTTAAACATCCTCCACTCAGACTTGTACCCCATCATTTTTTCATTCTTATCACATGATATTGCCTTATACTCCACAAAGAGGGCAGGAATTGTCAGGTGGAAACTAGTTCAAGTTTCTGTTGTGAAATCTGTAAATCTGTAAGTTATCTGTACCTGTAATTCTTTGTCTTATCATGGAAGAGGGGTCTCCCTAGTTTAAGCCATTTCCTCTTCCTGTGCTTAAGATCCAGTTGTGCATTTCTAGTGCGTGCTTAGTGCTTTGACAGTGTGCTTACACAGTGAATGGGCAAGTTTGGTTTCTGGCTAAATAGTGAGTCAGCATCAACCTACAGTTTCCGTCTGCCCATAGCCTTCATAGATGTCCAACTTAGTGATGCGTTTCCAGTCCTCAATCACCCCAGGGCTGATGGGTCCTCCTGCAGCCACACACTGCTTCAGACTCTTGAATCTGTAGCTGGAGAGGCATCAAAAGTTGTTCTTAGCCTCAGGGAATATTTCTACCAATAACAGGTCTGTTAGAAAGAATCTTGGAAAAATGATGCAGTTATTCCAATACAGGAAATGCTCATTAAGTGGTGGTTGATGTTCTTAATACTACTCTATTAGATAATCTATTCAGACACCCCAGTTAGATCAATCTCCATGAAGACTCTCATTTACTCTTCTGGACAAGCGGCATTAATGTTAAAAGCAAATCAACCAGTGCTAACTGATGGCAGGAAGCCAGCCTTCTGCAGAAACCCTTCTGAGTTTTATTACCTCTCCCAAAGCCAGAAGTGTTTGTGAAGGATGTGTCAGCAATGGTAAGGTAAAAAAGGAACTAATTTTCTGAAGTCTGGAGGTGGAAAGAGAGCCACTAATTTTATAAACTAGGCTCAAAATCTCTAGATATTATAAGTTTCCACAGCGCCCCAACAATAGAATAGTAGTGAGCATTTTTTATAAACCCACAATTCATTTTATGTTTATTTGATTTTGGTGATGTCCAGTGGAAGGGTCAAGTGTGGGAAGATTATAGCAAAACTTTTTATGGTCTCAGATAGAGGCAGTGACCCTGTATATTCTGAATACATGAATGTACCATATTAATGGTAATGTGGTAGCTCATCTGTATTAGATAATAACTGCCTGCCCAGTTAGGTCCCAAGACTAAGCAAGATCAAAATTGGAGAACTGATTCTGAATTAATCCCAAATATACCATTACATCATTGCCTTTATATTATTAATTTCAGGGTATAAGCGAGAGATGACTATTTTAAAATTTTTAAGTGCTTTTAAGGGTTTAAGAAATAATCTGAACATTTTATATGAGATGGAATGTTGCTGAATAAAGATATACCATATTTAATCATAGCGATTTTTAACTGCTCCACAAAATGCCAATGAACTAGGCGTTCCTTCATGTCAACATAATTTAATACGGTGGTATTGTTTGCTACCATGGTTGTTTCCTTCTGTAGAGTTTATGTCCTTGCCCACATAGCTAAAATGAAATTTACACTTAAATGATTATTTAGCAAACACTAAGGCTTGATACAATGATTGAGAACCTGTGATTTCTCATTAATCTTTATCGATGATGATTGGCAATTCTACTTCTTAGTTGGTACCCTAGGGAATTGTGGGGTGTGTGCAATGATGCTCATTTCAGCAGCTTAGAAAAGATTCAACTATCTTTGATAGGTACTTGGCTTATTAATGTACAATTCATTCATACTAAAGAATACTATGCAATGATTAAAAATGTATTACCCATATTATCATAAATAGAGCTTTAAGGAATAGTGTGAAAAAAATGCAAGTTTCACTATGATATAAACAGATACCATCTATATAATCCCACCCCAATATCATAATATGTTTCTTTTGGGATAGATGGATAGGTAGATACACATAGGTATAAATTTGTTTTAAAAAGGCCTAGAAGAATTCATATCCAAGAGAGAAGGTGGTCTTTGTCTATAACTCATTTCCCGTTTGCTCTGAGAAATGAGTGCTGGCGGTGAATTACACATTTTTTTTTCTTCAAAATGGGAAATGGGTTAATATTTACTTTTTGAATTAAAGGTAGTATATTTGTCTTTAATGTTTATCTTTTTAAAGGGAGGTATAATTATAAATTTTTTAACAAACTCAACCTTCTAATTATAATTTAATTTTATGTTCTGGGTCAAGATATGGATTTCAAGTTGCAAGGGAATAAAAAATCACACACACTAATGGAGTTGTTGTCATGAATGGCAACAAGACAAGTGTGTTACCGGAGGGTAAGATTGGATCTACTTCAACAAATTAAGGGGTCCTAATTTTATTTATGGTACCATGAGTGGAAATGGACTCTCTCCTGAGGGATCCTCTCTTACCTGGTGAAACACTTGTGCTGAAGCAGTTCCTGGTACATCTCTGGATTTGCAGATAGAGTGGTGATGGGAAATCTGGACAGGACCTGGGCCCCAAAGGAAGGAAAAACAAAATCTGCATGTGAGGTGGGAGAGACAGTGAGACTGTGGCAGGGGTCCAGGCGGGAAAGTCCAGGGAAGAGGGTCACAGACTTTGAAACTCAGCTTGGGGATGCCTTTTATCTCAAAGACTTAGTGATTCCCCACCTTCCACACCTTGGGAGAGAATTTAGCTTTAGCTCTGTGAACATAGGAGCTATCATATTAATCACTGATAACCGAATGCATACACAGCGAGGCATTTACTTCTGGATCCAAGAAGCCTTGTTTTGATCTTTGTCGCTTTAAATAATAAGCCTAGATGTTGCCAGCAAAATTGTGGATTGTGCAGCAGTTGAGAGGTTAGCACAGCAGTGTAGAAATTGTGCTGTGGAGTTCAGTAGACCACAGTTTAATTCCTAGTTCTGCCTCTGTGATTCCTTAGGCTACTTACTTAACCTCTGTGAGAATCAGTTTCCCCAGTTCTTCCCTCACAGGGTTCTTGGGGAGATGAAATAATCCATATGAAGTGCCAGTAAGTAATCAGTAAATGATAACTGATATTAATATTATCTTCCTCAATATCACTATTGTCTTTTAAAAGTTTCCTTCTCAGTGATACAATGGAAGTAGCCAAGTCTTCCTAATTGCAAAGCCCCTAGGGAAGAGAGAGAGCATTGCTCTCACAAGCAGGGAGAGCATCTTCAAGTCAAGATCACATTCCAAATTTAACTCTTGATTTGCCCCATTCTGGGCATGAGTCACTGGGTCATTGCTAATGCCTCTCTCTGGCCTTTGTCCCACACATTCCACACTAGGAATTGATCTTACATTTAGAACAGTCTCAGGGCAGAAGGTTGGCATGTGACACAGAAACACACAGGCTCCTTGGAACCAAGTTCCCAAGACAGCGCTCAGGGATAAAGATCCACCAAAGGCATCACCCAGACTCCACAAGACATCTGTTGGCTGGAGATCCATCCACCGTCTAAAGAGAAAGAGGAAAGCCATTTGAATTCTCTCGTGCTGGTACTAGCAACAACAATAATACTTGCTATTATCAAGCCCTGACCTGTGGGGAGAAACAAAGATCACACAAATGAAAACAGGCAAAGCCTATTTATGAGGTCATGAGGCCAATGGACTCCTTAAATTTTTTCAGTATCAGTCTTAATTGGCATGGCATTGCCTTCCAGGTTTTATGGCTTTCAGGGGTCTCAGAAGTTTATTAATTAATTAAATTAATTAATCCAGTAGGCACTTTTATTAATTAATGGATTGATTAAGTCAGTGATCTCAGCTTCCCCTGTTTTATTTCTCTACCTGATATCTACTGGCCGTTGTTGCTTATGAGAGTCAAAGACTTTGAGGTGAAGGTGAGGAACATACACCTATTTCCGCTAAGGGACCTTTGTGTAGTTTGTTAAGAGAACTTGAGGGTGGAGTAACAACACACAACCATTTGTCTAAGGCAGGATTGAATGTAAGGTGGGGAAACTTAACCCCAGACAAACCAAGCTAACACAAGTGCAAGCCAACTACTTCATTGCATGTTCAACCAAAGAGATTGAAATCAGTTTCAGTGCCCTTTGAATTTGCCGAGAGATACCCATGAGCTACTTAACTAATTTTCTTAAAAAAGGGGTGGTGTGATGACATGTGATTTTCATCTTAGAGGCTGACTCTAGAACCCAAACCCCTTATCAATTATGACTCTACCTCTGTGTTTATCACTACATATAGTGGTCAACACAATTGTTCACCCTGGTGCTGGTAGCATAGAAAAACAAGTAACATCCCACAGTGTGTCTTTGGGGTGATCATCCTGGATCCCTCACCTACTGCATGGAATCCCTGCTCTTCCTCTTTTCCCTCCTGCTTACTCTTAGAATTTTGAACTATAGTAATTTGCTTTTCATCTTTTGGGGCCCTCAGCCCTGTTCCTTCTCTCAATATTGACACTTTCTGCAGTCTTGAGTAAGAAACTCCTTTCTTAGCTTTAGTCCCATGAAGCTCCCTTTACCTGCAAGAGAACAACTTTCAGGCCTGTACAGGCTGTGCGAGAACCGTACCTGGAAGCCTGGCTGAATCCCATTCCCAAACCATACTGGGAATACTCGACCATTTTGGGAGCTCCTGTTGTACCCTTGGTGAAGAATATGGCCATTGGATCTTGGCTTTTGGTCCTCATGTAGGTCTGCTTTGGAGGGGCAACTCTGTAAGCCAGGAAAGAGGCAACAGTGAGATCTAAATTTAGGTTCTCTGATTAAGTGCCTAGGCCCTGGGTTTGGTAATCTCTGATTTTAAAAAATAACAGCTGGTATCTTGATATATTTGAGGATTATTTGTTAGAGGGGCAGCTGCCATTTTTCCCTTAAATTTTTTTTGCATTAATTTTTGTTGCATAAGAAATATATGATGCATTTATACGCCAGCCTTATTTTTCTCAGTAAAAGACCCTCTTTATTCATTCAATTGCTCAAGTCAAAAATCTGTAGTAATCATTATTGTTCCTCTTTCCCCATCTATCGACTTACCTACCTAGCTATCTGTGCCACATCCTAACCATTGCCAAGCCCTGACAACTCTACTTCCAAAACATGTCACAAGTCTCTCTCTCTTCACTATTCCTAACCAGGGATGGGACTAAGGTGGAGTGAGTGAAACATTTGCCACAAACATTGTGATATTTAAGGGGATACCAGCAAATTCAGTAGTCAAGATAAATAATATTTTAGTGAAATGTTTTTAAATAATGAAAACTAATGCAAAAATCCATGATAAACAAAATATTGAAATTTAAAACAAAGACAGGACAACAACACTTCCAAACTGTTCAAATATTCCCAGTATGATTTAGGAATGGGATTCAGGCCGGCTTCAAGATGCAGTCCTCACACAGCCTATAATCCAGATAGGCACTTGCATGACTCACCTTACCTGTCAGCCCAGTCCTGTCCCTGGTTCCAATAAAACTTTATTTATAAAAATAGGCAGCTGGTCTGTCATGAGAAGTTTACCAATTTGATTTTTTTAATTAAAAAAAATTAAATTATTCAATTGAAAAGAGTATACAGTTTATAAAATTATAAATTATGAAAACATTACATAAATATATAAAATAAATATTTGTGGAAATTTAAAACTTCAATTATAAAAATTATTTTATAATTTAATTAAAAATTATTTTAAAATTAAAATATTATTTCCCTCGATCACTGGATTTTTCAGTGCCCTTTTACATTTTGTGCCTGAGGTGAGTTCCTCATTTGCCTGGCTTGTTTTCGGTCCTGTCTCCATTGCCACCACCATGGTCCACACCGGCACGGCCTCTCATCTGGACGACAGCAACAGCCTTCTCCTGGGTCCCTTTACTATCTCTCTTGTCTCCCATTTTTCAGACAGCAGTTGAGGGAGTTTCACAATTGTGGCTGAGATCAAGTCCTTCCCTTTAGTGTTTCCTAGACGACTCCTACATGACCTCCAAGACCTGCCGCAGTCTTCCCCTCCCTTGCGCTTCGGCCTCCTCTCCTGCTACTCTCTTCCCCACTCTCCGCACTTCAGGTGCCCTGGTGTTCTTTCTGTTCCTCACACAGTTTAAGCTCGCTCCCACCTCAGGTCCTTTACCTCTGAGTTCCCTCTGCAAGGGACAGTGTTCCCTCAGAGCTTCCAAAGGCTAGCTCTGTCATATTCAAATCTCAGCTTATCCTCACCTCAGAAGTCACCAAATCTAAAATCATTCCCCCATCTCCACATCAGACCAATTTATTTAATTTGCCTGTTTTGTTTTGGAGTTTCTTTTGGAAACTTTATTATATTGATAATTTATGTGTTTTCTTGTTGTCTATTTGTTGTCTATAATATAAAATCCATGAGGGTCGGGGTTTGACTGTCTCGTTTACTGCTTTTTTTTTTTTTTTTTTTTTTTTTTTAAACATCCCTGGACACTGAAATACTGCCCTCTAAAGACCACATTGATAATTATCAAACTTAATTTAGTAGTCTTGCCTTATCCGTGGGGGATGTGTCCCAAGACCCTCAGTGGATGCCTGAAACCATCAATAGTACTAAGCCCTATATACACTATGCTTTTTCCTATACATGCATACCTATGATGCAGTTAAATTTATAAATTAGGTATAGTAAGAGATTAAAAACAAAAACAAATAATAGAATATAACAATGTACTGTAATAAAAGTTATGCAAATGTGATCTCTGTACTCACCTATTTTGGACGGTAGTTGACCACAGGTAACTGAAACCGCAGAAAACAAAGCCACAGATAAGGGGGCACTACTGTATTTGGCTAACTTGAGGATGAACATGGCATCATCTCGCTATTTTAATAAGTATTTCCCCATATCCCAGTGAGGGTGAGGTTTACTTTTGTATAAACTTAAGGGGAACAAGTGCAGTTTTGTTACGTGGATATTGCATATATATATGGTGAAGTCTGGGTTTTCAGTGTAACCATCACCAAAATGGTGTACCTTGTACCCATTAAGTAATTTCTCATTCCTCATCCTCTCCCATCCTCTGACCTTTCCGAGTCTCCAGTGTCTATTATTCCACACTCTGTGTCCATTTGTACACATTATTTAGTTCCCACTTATAAGTGAGAACATATGGTATTTGACTTTCTGTTTCTGAGTTATTTGACATAAGATAATGTCCTCCAGTTCCATCCATGTTGCTGCAAAAGACATTATTTCTTTTTTTTTTTTGAGACAGAGTCTCACTCTGTCCCCCAGGCTGGAGTGCAGTGGTGTAATCTCGGCTCACTGCAACCTCAGCCTCCTGAGTTCAAGCGATTCTCCTGCCTCAGCCTCCTGAGTAGCTGGGATTATAGGTGTGTGCCACCACACCCAGCTAATTTTTGTACTTTTAGTAGAGACGGGGTTTCACCATGTTGGCCAGGCTGGTCTCGAACTCCTGATGTCAGGTGATCTGCCCACCTTGGCCTCCCAAAGTGCTAGGATTACAGGCATGAGCCTCCCGAAGTGCTGACATTGCAAGCATGAGCCACCATGTGCGACCATGATTTCATTTTTTATGGCTTCATAGTATTCCATTATATATAGTCTATATATAAGTTTTTTGTTATGTTTTTTGTAATATGTTTATATTTATATTACCTAATTTTTTATCCTTTCAGAACGAATGGTTACATATGAATCAGAACATAAGACTTTCACTCAGACTGGGAACTTGTAGGTCAGACCAGGGATGCTTGTGTTGGGGGTTACTCTGCTTTTTTCAGGACTAGAAATTGCCATTCAGCTTTTCATTCTGACCACTCACACCACCTTCTCATACATCATCTAATCTTGCATAGAAATTGCCATTCAGCTTTTCATTCTGACCACTCACACCACTTTCTCATATATCATCATCTTTCAAAGTCAAACATTTCCTTCATTTAAGCATCTCATATTCAGTGTCCACTTACTGAATCAACTTCTTGAAATCCAACCACCCATCATAGCTCTTATCTGACACCAGGAGCTTGGTTTTCAAGGTGGGGCAGTCGGACACGGCAGAGTTTACAACTGGGGCCATAGCTTCATTAGCCACAATGCACTGGGCCTTAGACATGCGTAATTGATAGCGAATTTTCTTGGCAGTCAGCTGGGGGCTCCCAGGCACAAAGGTGATTCCTGAAAAAAACCACAAAAGAAGGCTTCATTTTTATCTTTTGAGTAGAGAATTTTTCCTCAAGCATTCTGGCAGGCATGGATGAGGTCTCTGGGTTACCCTCTCTCTTAGGAGTCTCTCTTCTCTATTGGGTCAGTAACACGATGGCGACTGGGGAAAACTGAGACAGGCAGGAGACTGAGCCCACTGAAACAATCCAGTGATCTGTGGCTCTGTTGCTGTTATCCTTTCACCTCAATCAGGTCCTGAGTTTATATGGCTAAGTGTCAGACCACCAGTTACTTGAAATATAGCCTAATTTTGAAACTGTGATGCAAAGGGATTATGAAAACTTCCTCTTTGTTGTTTTCTCATGGCTTGAGAATGGCTTTTGCTGTGGATTTCTGGATTTGCACTGGAGAAAAGACAAAACAAAAAGACCTTCCTGCCTCTCTTCTTGGGCTGTTTCTATAGATTCTTCTGCATCCATAGAACACCTATTGTGGACCTCCTATGAGACTGGCATACGCTGGTTGCATCTGTGTGCCAGAGGCTCTTCTGACAGACGCTTCTTTTTAGTTTTCAGGCTTAGAGAACTAGAATACTTCTAGGATTAACTGGTGATGACCTTGCTTGTCTTGCAGTAATGCTTACACTCCCAACTACAGACCTATTGATTTTTGGAAAAGGATCTGCTTTACCGGTGTGGGCCTTTCCCACATACTGCACCTTCATCTTCTGTTTCTCACACTGAAATCTCTTGGGCATCATAAAATGTCATTGTTCGTAATAGCCCAAATGTGGAAACAACCTAAATATCTATCAGCTGATGAACTGATAAATGAAATATAGTATATATATTTACACAATGAAATACTATTAATTCATAAAAAGAGTGGAGTACTGACACATGCTATAACATGGGTGAACCTTGAAAACATTATGGTAACTGAAAGAAGTCAGGGACAAAAAGCTAGATGTTGCATTCTATTTGTAAGAAATATCTGGAAGAGGCAAATCCAAAGATAGGAAGTAGATTATTGGTTGCCAGGTTTTGCAGAGAGCGGGGAATAGGGAGGGACTGCTAATGGGTTTCTTTTTGGGGTGATGAAAATCTTCCAGAAATAGACAGTGGTGATGGTTGCCCAGCTTTGTGAATATTCTAAAAACCATGGATTTGTACACTTTTAAACGGTGAATTTTATAGTATATA
Source organism: Homo sapiens (assembly GCF_000001405.40). Classification (NCBI taxonomy): domain Eukaryota; kingdom Metazoa; phylum Chordata; class Mammalia; order Primates; family Hominidae; genus Homo; species Homo sapiens. The sequence continues at coordinate 95,206,017 of NC_000010.11, read as the reverse complement.
AATTATATCTCCAAAACAAAGTCATAGGAAACAGGATCTGGCATGGAATGGGGAGTTCATCTAATTCGAGTTACTCACTGGGCTGATGGGAAGGCCGAGGGACACAGTGGAAAAGACCTGTTCAGTATCACTGATTGCCATCTTATAGCTATCAAGTTACCCTTTAGCATTGAGTATATATATATGAAACCGTGCAATTGTGGGTGACACAAAGAAGTATCTTTCTTTAGATAACTGCAAACACTTTCAAGTGCCCCCACCCTTAGATGAAGCATTTGAAGAGGAGTGCCAAGTAATGTTAATTTATTTTCCCTATTGATTAGTAAGAACTCTTTCTACATTAAGGCCATTGACCACTTATCTTTCATAAGTGTTGCAAATATGTTTTCGATTTTGGCATTTGTCTTTGCCATGGTCTGAATTTGTGTGTCCTCCAACCCAGATTTGTATGTTGAGATTCTAAACTCCAAGGTGATGGAGGTGAGATCTTTGAAAGGTGATCAGATCATGAGTGGAGGTCTCATGAATGGGATTAGTGCCTTAATAAAATAGGCTCCCAAGAGATCCCTCATTCTTTCCATCATATGAGGACACAGCTAGAAGGAGCTATTTCTGAATCAGAAAGTGGGCCCTCACTGACATTGCGTCTGCCTTGATCTTGGACTTCCCAGCCTCCAGAGTTGTGAGAAATAAATTTCTGTTATATATGAGTTACTCAGTTGATAGCATTTTGCTATAGTAACCCAAGCAGACTAAGGCAGTGTTCAAATTTCTTTTGTGGTGGTTTAAGAAAAATACTAGAACTTTATAATAGTAGAAACTATATCTAAAAAATAATCTAACAGCTTTTCATTTTGTTTACAGATATAATGTTGAAATTTCTTGTGATAATGTCAGCGTAGTTTAAAAGCCAATTTAACTTTATCATGTTGAGTAATTTATAATAATTGAGAGCTCTCTCATTAGGAGAGATGCATGTGTTGTTAGAGCCATCACTGTGCAGCTTTCTGGATGCCACCAAAAGGGCACATCAGATGTAATCACACAGACAGATCTCACATATATGGAGAAGGGAGGAGTGCACCCTGGTCCCTCCTCCAAGTTGGCCACACAGATGTTTCTTATACATTATAGTGATTTTTTTGATGAATGAAATTTTAAAAATTTCATTAAGTGTAGTACATCTTTTTTTTCCTTTTTTGTTTGGGTATCTGGTGTCATATTCAGAAAGCCTTTCCATGAGTTTATGTACTCACCTATATATTCTTCTAATACTTAAGTCCTTTTCTAACATTTCAATTTTTAATGGTTCATTTGAATTTATTTTGGTACATTATTTGGAGGTAGAGTTATGACATTTAACGTTTTCAAACAGTTATCTTTAAATCATTTAAGAACTAATCAATGCTTTCATTAATGGCTTGAAAAGACCTGATAAATTATTATTATTATTATTTTTTTAAATAGACAGAGTCTCATTCTGGCACCCAGGCTGGAGTGCAGTGGCGTGATCTTGGCTGACTATAAACTCCACCTCTCGGGTTCAAGCGATTCTCCTGCCTCAGCCTCCGGATTAGCTGGGATTACAGGTGCCCACCATCACGTCTGGCTAATTTTTGTATTTTTTTAGTAGAGACGGGGTTTCACCATGTTGGCCAGGTTGGTCCCGAACTCCTCACCTCAGGTGATCCTCCCACCTCGGCCTCCCAAAGTGCTGGGATTACAGGCGTAGCCACTGCGCCCGGCTGATAAATTCTTACATATACTTTGGTCTGTTCTGAGTTTTCGATTTTGTTTTCATTCATTTTGCCTTATACCATCAATAAGCAATTTTAATTATTGTGAGTGAAAATGATAGCCCTGCTTTGGACTGGTATGTGGCTAAGGAAATCACTCTGCGTAACTTGGCCTCAGGTAGGAAGAATTTCTGGTGACCCAGACTGAAGTGGTCCCTGTCCTTTCTCAGACATGGATCAATTGTCCCTCAGGATAACTCAGTCCATTGGGAACTGGGGAAACACTGGGAGCCTGGATAGGCCTGAGGGTAGGGTTCACTCCCTTCCTCTCTTCTGTATGCTCCCCATAACTGACAGCTGGCATTCTCAAAGACACCTGCTCTTTGAATCACTTTTCAGTTTTTTTTTTTTTTTTTTTTTTTTTAAATCTAGCATCCCTGTTAGCAGGCAAAGGCAGTAGGCCAGTTGTGGCAACTCCTAATGAGTTTGGCCCATCTCAGGGGTACTTTGTTTTTCATACGCACCTTCCAACTACCAAAAAATATATGCCTGTATCCTAAGAATAGAAAGTCAGGTACTATAGCAGATAAAGAGGAATGATATTGGGGGTGGGCTCCTTTCCAGTATCCTTCACTTCTCACATGTGAAGGGGCTCTTGATTGAGGCATTTCCTGTTTATGTTGGAGGATTGAGCCTCAGGGGCATGGATGGGATATCCACAAAGAGCAGCTCTATTCTGGCTGATCCCAAGCTCATTCAGGGTGACTCTCAAGGACTCTCTAATACTGGATGAAGAGCAGTGGTCCCCAACCTTCTTGGCACCTGGGTTTTGTGGGAGACAATTTTTCCACAGACTGAGGCAAGAGGATGGTTTTGGGATGATTCGAGTGCATTACATTTATTGTGCACTTTATTTCTATTATTATTACATTGTAATATATATTGAAATAATTATACAACTCATCATAATGTAGAGTCAATGGGAGCCCTGAGCTTGCTTTTCTGCAACTAGAGAGTCCCATCTGGGAGTGATGGGAGACAGTGGCAGATGATCAGGCATTAAATTCTCATGTGGGGTGCACAACCCAGATTCCTCGCATGCACAGTTCACAATAGGATTTGCGCTCCTATGAGAATCTAATGCCACCTCTGATCTGACAGGAGGCAGAGCTCAGGTGGTAATGCAAGCAATGGGGAGTGGCTGTAAATACAGATGAAGCTTCACTCACTTGCCCTCTGCGCATCTCCTGCTGTGCAGCCTAGTTCCTAACATGTCACAGACTGAGGTAGAGGACGCTTTAGAGATATTCCTACCTTCTCTGTCTTTTTTTTTTTTTTTTTTTGAGACAGAGCCTTGCTCTGTCACCCAGGCTGGAGTGCAGTGGCACAATCTCAGCACACTGCAACCTCCGCCTTCCAGGTTTAAACAATTCTTGTCCCTCAGCCTCCTGAATAGCTGGACTACAGGTGTGTGCCACCACATGCAGCTAATTTTTTTTTTCTGCTTTGTGTTTTTTTTTAGTGGAGTTGGGGTTTCATCATGTTTCCCAGGCTGGTCTCAAACTTCTAAGCTCAGACAATCTGCCTGCCTTGGCCTCCCGAAGTGTTGGAATTACAGGTGTGAGCCACTGCACCCAGTACCCCTACATTCTCTTTTTTATAGATGGGGAAACTGAGGCCCAGAGAGGGCAAGATGTGCATGCTCTGTCTGTTGTTTTGATGATGACTATGTTAGGACAGAGGTCTACAGTTCCTTGAGGTGATAAACAGCCTATGAGCTAAGCGCTCTGTGGATTATTTACTCTTCACAACAGTTCTGTAAGACTGGACCGTAACAGTTCTATAAATATGGACTATTACTGTCCATATTTAATAGACAAGGAAACTGAGATTCAGAGAGGCATAATTTACAGAGGTGGTAAGTGGTGGAGCTGGGTTCAAATCTAGGCCTGTTTAAAGATCCCCCACACTGTGGGAAGAATTCAGGCATCAGATAGAGATCCCTCTAACATCTCCATTCTGTGAATAACTGAGGCTGGGATTCACATAAGCCTCCAACCCCTGGGGTCCGTCTCCCATGCCTCACCCAAGCGCACACAGGCCAGGCAGATCCAGTAGGCTTCAGGTGTTGGGGGCAAGATTATCATCAGCCGGTCTCCATGGCTAAGGGCACAGGTGTCTGAGAGGATGCTGGCGGCCTTCTTGGAGAGTTGAGTCATCCTTTCAAAGCTCCATTTGTCCTCTTCTCCTTTGGCACTAACCTTCCAGAGGGCGGGGTAAGGCCCTCTGAGTCCGTCCTAGGCAGGGTGATGTTTAAAATATGAATATTAGTCAGCATGGACATTGGCTATGGGAGGCCACTGTTGCCAGACAGCACCCTCAAGTGGCTAGATCTTGAGAGGCTAGGATGCCTGGGCTTAGGGGGAGCTACTGTTTCTCAACTGGCACAGAAATATTTACTGTTTACTGACATGGCAGTACTGGTAGGTTTCAACATAATGTCAGGCATGAGCCTAGGGAAGAACCTCCTGAGAGAACTCAGCATGTAACGTGAAACCAGCCCTGCCCAGGATGGCAGAGATTTCTCTGGGCATAAATCCCACTACTGGGTGTCTACCCAAAAGAAAAGAAATCATTATATAAAAAAGACACCTGCATTCATGTGTTTATGGTAGCACTCTATTCACAATAGCAAAGTGATGGAATCAACCTAAGGGTCCATCAGTGGATGATTGGATAAAGACAATGTGGTATACATACAACATGGAATATTACTCAGCCATGGAAAAGAATGAAATCCTGTCTTTTGCAGCAACATGGATGGAGCTGAAGGCCATTATCCTATGGGAAATAACTCAGAAACAGAAAATCAAATACTGCCTGTTTTCACTTATAAGTGGGAGTTAAACAGTGGGTACATATGGACATAAAGATGGAAATAATAGACATTGGGGAGGCTGGAGGGGAGTGAAGTTTGCAAAATTACCTATTTGGTACTATGGTCACTGTTTGGGTGATGAGTACACTAGAAGCTCAAGCCTCACCATTGTGCCATCTATACATGCAACAAACCTGCACATGCACCTCCTGAGTCTAAATTTTTTTAAGAAAAGATTTCTCAGGGCATGATCCTGTAAGTAGAGAAGAGTGCCCTCCTCCTAGCGGATAGGATTCTATTCCTGCCTTCAAATATACCTGTCTTCCAATGCAACTTATTTTTCAGTGGGACGAGTTTTGAAGGGGAAAGAATTTAATTTCCAATACCTCTTAGTGAATGCATGGATGAAGTTACCTAGAACTTTCAAAGCATTTCCATTCTAGCTGAGCCTTCTCCTCCTTAACAACACGGGTTTGTCCTCTTCTCTCCCTGAGGATGGAGGGAAGGAAGGCTCTTTTCTCCCTTTTTTCCTTCTTTCCCTCCTTTATTCCTTTTTTCCTCCTTTCTGTCCTCTCTCTCTCTCATCTCTTTCCCCCATCTCTCGCCTCTTTCCCCATCCCTCCTTTCCTTCTCTCCTACCTTCTGAACTTAACTTCTTTCTTCCTTTACAACTTTCTTCCTCCTTTTATCTCTTTCTCTTGCCTTTCTTCTCTTTTTCTCATCCACCCTGGAGCAGCCCATAGAATTGCTACTTTGTTCTGACCTGTTTAGAGTCTTCTTCTTCTTCTCCTTCTCCTTCTCCTTCTTCTTCTTCTTTCTTCATCTTCTTCTTCCTCTTCCTCTTCTTTCTTCTTCTTTTCATCTTCTTCTTCTTCCTATTCTTCCTCTTCCTCTTCTTCTTCTTTTCTTCTTCTTCAAGTTTTAGGGTACATGTGTACAATGTGCAGGTTTGTTACATGTGTATACATGTGCCATGTTGGTGTGCGGCACCCATTAACTCGTCATTCAGCATTAGGTATATCACCCAATGCTATCCCTCCCCCCTCCCCCCACCCCACAACAGTCCCCAGAGTGTGATGTTCCCCTTCCTGTGTCCATGTGTGCTCATTGTTCAATTCCCACCTATGAGTGAGAACATGTGGTGTTTGGTTTTTTGTCCTTGCGATAGTTTGCTGAGAATGATGGTTTCCAGCTTCATCCATGTCCCTACAAAGGACATGAACTCATCATTTTTTATGGCTGCATAGTATTCCATGGTGTCTATGTGCCACATTTTCTAAATCCAGTCTATCATTGTTGGACATTTGGTTCCAAGTCTTTGCTATTGTGAATAGTGCCTCAATAAACATACATGTGCATGTGTCTTTATAGCAGCATGATTTATAATCCTTTGGGTATATACCCAGTAATGGGATGGCTGGGTCAAATAGTATTTCTAGTTCTAGATCCCTGAGGAACGGCCACACTGACTTCCACAATGGCTGAACTAGTTTACAGTCCCACCAACAGTGTAAAAGTGTTCCTATTTCTCCACATCCTCTCCAGCACCTATTGTTTCCTGACTTTTTAATGATCACCATTCTAACTGCTGTGAGATGGTATCTCATTGTGGTTTTGATTTGCATTTCTCTGATGGCCGGTGATGATGAGCATTTTTTCATGTGTCTGTTGGCTGCATAAATGTCTTCTTTTGAGAAGTGTCTGTTCATATCCTTTGCCCACTTTTTGATGGGGTTGTTTGTTTTTTTCTTGTGAATTTGTTTGAGTTCATTGTAGATTCTGGATATTAGCCCTTTGTCAGATGAGTAGGTTGCAAAAATTTTCTCCCATTCTGTAGGTTGCCTGTTCACTCTGATGGTGGTTTCTTTTGCTGTGCAGAAGCTCTTTAGTTTAATTAGATCCCATTTGTCAATTTTGGCTTTTGTTGCCATTGCTTTTGGTGTTTTAGACATGAAGTCCTTGCCCATGCCTATGTCCTGAATGGAATTGCCTAGGTTTTCTTCTAGGGTTTTTATGGTTTTAGGTCTAACATTTAAGTCTTTAATCCATCTTGAATTAATTTTTGTATAAGGTATAAGGAAGGGATCCAGTTTCAGCTTTCTACATATGGCTAGCCAGTTTTCCCAGCACCATTTATTAAATAGGGAATCCTTTCTCCATTTCTTGTTTTTGTCAGGTTTGTCAAAGATCAGATAGTTGTAGATATGCGGCATTATTTCTGAGGGCTCTGTTTTGTTCCATTGATCTATATCTCTGTTTTGGTACCAGTACCATGCTGTTTTGGTTACTATAGCCTTGTAGTATAGTTTGAAGTCAGGTAGCATGATGCCTCCAGCTTTGTTCTTTTGGCTTAGGATTGACTTGGCAATGCAGGCTTTTTTGGTTCCATATGAACTTTAAAGTAGTTTTTTCCAATTCTGTGAAGAAAGTCTTTGGTAGCTTGATGGAGATGGTATTGATTCTATAAATTACCTTGGGCAGTATGGCCATTTTCATGATATTGATTCTTCCTACCCGTGAGCATGGAATGTTCTTCCATAGAGTTTCTTATTATAACAATGAGAATTGGCAGGGATGGGATGGGCCTTCCCCAACCCCTTCTCCTCCCATGACCAATAACAACAAACACAACTATATCTCTCCCCTGCCATTAATTTTTATTTTCTTGTCAACCACATTTTGATGTAGTTCAGGCCTAGGCCGTCAGAGATAATTTTATTTATGTGACCATGGAAGTAATTTTTTTTTTTTTTTTGAGACAGTCTTGCTCTGTCGCCCAGGCTGGAGTGCAGTGGCATGATCTCAGCTCACTGCAACCTCTGCCTCCCGGGTTCAAGCAATTCTCCTGCCTCAGACTCCCAAGTACCTGGCACTACAGGCACACACAGCCACACCAGGCTAATTTTTTGTACTTTAGTAGAGATGGGGTTTCACCATGTTGCCCAGGCTGGTCTTGAACTCCTGAGCTCAGGCAATTCACCTGCCTCGGCCTCCCAAAGTGCTGGGATTACAGGCGTGATCCACTGTGCCTGGTTGTAATTTTCATTTTTGTTCTATAATATCTTTGTGCGACCCAAGTAAGAACTCTGCTCACATCACTCAAGCACCTTTAGTGGTTTGCCACAGCCCATCACATCAGGTCCAAATTCTTTGGCTTCCTGGTTTTTTTTTTAGGGTGATATGTAGGGAAAAGAAAGAGAGATCAGACTGTTACTGTGTCTATGTAGAAAGGGAGGACATAAGAGACTCCATTTTGGAAAAGACCTGTACTTTAGACAATTGCTTTGCTGAGATGTTGTTAATTTGTAGCTTTGCCCCAGCCACTTTGCCCCAGCTACTTTGACCCAACCTGGAGCTCACAAAAACATGTGTTGTATGAAATCAAGGTTTAAGGGATCTAGGGTTGTGCAGGACGTGCCTTGTTAACAAAATGTTTACAAGCAGTATACTTGGTAAAAGTCATCGCCATTCTCTAGTCTCAATAAACCAGGGGCACAGTGCACTGCGGAAAGCCGCAGGGACTTCTGCCCTTGAAAGCTGGGTATCGTCCAAGGTTTCTCCCCATGTGATAGTCTGAAATATGGCCTCGTGGGATGAGAAAGACCTGACTGTCCCCCAGCCCGACACCCGTAAAGGGTCTGTGCTGAGGTGGATTAGTAAAAGAGGAAAGCCTCTTGCAGTTGAGATAGAGGAAGGCCACTGTCTCCTGCCTGCTCCTGGGAACTGAATGTCTCGGTATAAAACCCGATTGTACATTTGTTCAATTCTGAGATGAGAGAAAAACCGCCCTATGGTGGGAGGTGAGACATGTTTGCAGCAATGCTTCCTTGTTATTCTTTACTCCACTGAGATGTTTGGGTGGAGAGAAACATAAATCTGGCTTATGTGCACATCCAGGCATAGTACCTTCCCTTGACTTAATTATGACATAGATTCTATTGCTCACATGTTTGTTGCTGACCTTCTCCTTATTATCACCCTGCCCTCCTACTACATTCCTTTTTGCTGAAATAATGAAGATAATAATCAATAAAAACTGAGGGAACTCAGAGACCGGTGCCGGTGCAGGTCCTTGGTATGCTGAGTGCCGGTCCCCTGGGCCCACTGTTGTTTCTCTATACTTTGTCTCTGTGTCTTAATTCTTTTCTCAGTCTCTCGTCCCACCCGACTAGAAATACCCACAGATGTGGAGGGGCAGGCCACCCCTTCATGATAGAATTTACTGATGAACAGACTAGTACAAATGAAAAACAATGAAAATACCAAGAGTTTATGTATGTATGAAGAAACACACCCTACCACACGATGCCATTGAGTGTGGGAATTGGCACTTTTTTGTAGAAGGCAATCCAGAAATGTATTTTCCAAATGCTCGTGTAGTGCATTTGATGGAGTAATTTCACTTCTGGTAATGTAAATGAAGAAAAGAATATAGATACACAAAGATATTCATTTCAGCCTTGCTTACAATAGCAAAAAAAAACTTGTAAACTACTTAGAGGGGTAACAATAAAGAATAAATACATCTTGGTTCAACACTCAATGAAATACTTTATAAACATAGAGATATTAAAGTATTAAGTAGAATATTTATTGGTGTTGAAAGGTAGTTTCCACATCATATTGTTTCCACATTATATTATTTCTACAGTGCATTGTTTCTACATCATGTTATTTCCACAGCATAGTGCTTTCACAGCATAGTGTTTGGAGGAGAAAAACAGCAAGTAACAAGTCAAGTAACAAGTGTGATTCCAGGTTACAAATAGTTATATATAGAATGACTCCACTTTTGTGAAATCGGATGATCTATAAAAATCAGTAGAAAAGAAATATATATGAAAATTACCAGTGGTTATCTTTGGGTAATATTCCATATTAAAATTTTTTCATGTTTACCAGTATTTTCTAACAATTCTATGATGAAGTGCTCTTAAATGATAAAGGGTTGGAGCAGATGATTTGTAAAGTTCCTGCTGACTGACGTTTTGGGCACCTGTGATTGATGCCCCAAGTGACTTCAGACAACCAATGTTTAGTTGGGCTGACTGTGTGGCTTTTGGAGCCCAAGCCTTTGCTCACAGCTGCAGCCCTCTGAATTCCTTGGCACCCAATCACTGCTCATCTGTCTTGCCTCCCAGCCTGGAAGCTTCTGCTGGGTAGGGCCCAGCTGGGCCTTTGTCTGTAATCCATATGCTTAATCAAGAGCTGAGCAAAGGAACAAGGCTCTGCATGGTGCCAGATGCCATGCGGGCACAAAGAGATAAAAGGCACAACGCTAGCCCTAGAATCTTACTGGGACCCAGGACTCACACATAGTGCCTGGTGGTAGAACACAAGCTAAGAAAAGCAGAGGAGAGAGAAAGCAGCACAGGCTGGGCTGGGAAGGCAGAATGGGTGGGGAGGGCACCCCAAGAGGGGGCACAGCTCAGCAAAGATGAAAGCACCCCAAAGTCCTTCAGGATACATGCCTCAAACCTTTTCAAGGAGCTTTCACAATCCTTGCTCTACAGAATTTTTGTTCTTTGGCCCAAATGGGTAAAAATTAAGTCTCCTAAACAGAAGTCTTCCCTCTTATCTAACCCTAGATGATGCACCAAAGGCAGTAAGTATATTTTGCACAAAGACAATGAATTACTGTTTTGTCCACTTTCCTTACTCCTCCCAAAGCGGGTGATGAAGGTGGGGAGGGCCAGGAAGGGGCCTGGGGAGGGGAGGAGAATAGAGGGGCAATCAGATATTACACATGCAAATAACTCTCGCTGCTCACTCTCCACACGCACTGGATTCTCCTGCGGGCACCACCAGCCCCACTTGACAGAGGGAGGAAATGAGGCTCAGAGAGTTAAAATGACTTGCTCCAGAGTTACCTAGCCAGAGAGTAAGCAAGTCCACTCCACACAGCAGGGCCTTTCAAAATTAGACTGCTTCCTGCCTGTTTTCTCCTCATAACTCAATACTCTTCCCTCTGACCCTATACCTAGCCAAACTGTTCCTGAATACTCTTCCTTCTTTCCATGATGTCTCTATTCATGTGGTTGTTCCTGCCTAGACAGTCTTTCCCTTGTCTTTTTGTTGAAATTCTTCTCATTCTTCAGGATGCAGTAAATACCACCTCCTTTATCAAATCTTTCTAAATTCCATTATCCAGAGGCATACTTATACTTATTTCCTTTGGCACTTCTTTTTCAGCACTTTGTGGCTATCATTTGCTTTAAAGAAAAACACTACGCAGTAAGTTCCTTTAGTGTTTGGCTTCTAAAATTTTGTATGTGCTAGAAGATGCTCAAAAATGTTGGTTAATTAGAATCATATCTATGTGACAATAATATTACTAGTGATAATAAAAGCTAACTTTTATTGAGTGTTTTCAGGGTGTTGAGTCCTGTGCTAAACACTTTTTATTGATTGTCTCATTTAATCTTCTCGACAACACTGTGAAAAACACACCATTAATATCTCAATTTTACTGATAACAAAACTAAGGTCCTAGAAGGCAAATAACTTGTCCAAGTTTGCATGGTTATTTAGCAGCAGAGCCAGGATTTCAATGTAGAACCATCTGGCTGTCAAGCCTATGTTCTTAGTCATTTTGCTATAATTTCTTTTCTCTGAATTTGCACTTTCTAGTGCCAGCCATAGATGGGATATGAATCTCATGATCTTTGGACGCTTTACCAACTGGCCTTGGCCAAAGTTTCCAAGGTAGAAAACAACAAGTTTTACCTTTTCCAGCTGGGACCACTGATCCAACACATCCTTTGCAAAATTAAAGTTCTGAGAAACTGCTTGGACTAGGCACCTGGAGTCAGGGGGTCTGATGGTCTGAGTAGCACATTTTTGGTTTGGATAGCAGCAGGCTTCAAATCCCAGTCTGAAACTCCGGACCAAGGAGAAGGGTTGAAATCGGCCTAGCATTTGGGTCAGACAGGGAACCACCTAGGTAAATTGAGGAAAAGACAGGGAGTAATTGAGCAGCTCAGAGGGATAATCACTGAGATTGTAGTGCTGAGAATGAATCCATAAGGCAAACAATTTCCTTATGAGTACAAGCAACAGTCAGATCATTGGAGAAGAAGCCCATGAGCACAGATACTTACCAATTCCAAGAGGAGTTTCTATGGGGGGCTTCAGATGTTTGGAGGATGGTAGAGCTGTTGCCTTCTGTCTCCTCTGAGAACTGCTTACCTCTTATAGTTTAGTTGCCGGCTCTGGGGAAAAAGGCATTTCCTTGGTGCCAGCACAAACTAAGTCCTGGCTCACTTTCATTGGCTCTCAAGCCTAAAAGGCAATCTCTTTTGCTTCTGGGAGATAAAATCTATGGGCTGTGAGCTAAGTTGAAGCAACAGGTGTGCCTTGCTTTCTGATATGATGTCAGGAGAAATAGGTCACAGACTACTGTGCCAAGTGTGGTGAAAAGATGATGGACACAGAGTTTAAATAAGATTTTGTTGCTTACAAAATCCTGCACTGCAGAAAGGGAGAAGGGGGTTGCTCATCAGCCAGGTGAGGTAACCACACCCTGCCTCTTTAACCCACTGAGATGACAGGCCTTTTTTTTTTTTTTTTTTTTTTTTTTAAATAAATAGGCACATCGAAGGCCCTCTAGGGATTGCCTCTCGAGGTAGTGTAGGTGAAAGTCTCGTACTCAAGGTAGTGTAGGTGAAAGTCTTGCAACAATCAGGTAGGGAGCCAGATCTCATGATCCTCAGCGGGGGGCGGTGGGAGGGTCCACCTTGGAGCCTCAAATTAGCAAAACTAAAATTTGAAAGGGGGTGTGTATAACATATATTTAAAAGAGGTCACAATATTTGTTTAATAAAATATTGAAGATTTATTGTTTTGATAAGATTTTAACTTTATTTATAACTGTGTGAGGTGTAACTTGGTTACTGGTGGTTGAAGTTCTTCATCACAATTCCTATCCATGTTTCCAGTCGCCAGAGGGAGTAAAATAATGTAAGCTTTGGATGATGGGTTCACTTATTCGCATTCCAGAAATCTGAGATTTAATGGTTTCAATTTGATGATATTAACATTGTAACTATATCTAATATTAGAACTAAAATATTCCAATAAATTATCTAGTCCAAGTACTGCCTAAAACATCACGCTGCCTTTAAGATGAATAAACTCCTTATTGTGGTGCATTGGTTAGATATAAGTTTGGCTGCTTCAACAAAGACACAAAATAGTAAATTTGTTTCTTCAATTGACAGTCTGAGCATATGCAGTGAAAAGCTGTTTGTATTAGTCAGGGTTCTCCAGAAAAACAGAACCAATAGGAAATAGAGAAATAAAGATGAATATAGATACAGATATGTGAGAGGGACTTACTAGGGGAATTAGCTCATGTGATTATGGAGGCTGAGAAGTCCTATGGTGTAAGCTGAAGAACAAGAGAAGTTGGTAGTGTGGCTTAGTCCAAGTTTGAAATCTTTAGAACCAGGGAAGCCAATGGCCTAACTCTCAATTTGAGGCTGAAGGGCTGAGAACCTGAAGTTCTGATATCCAAGGGCAGGAGAATAAGGGTGTTCCAGTTCCAGGAGGGGGAGAGGTAGATAGACACACACACACACACACACACACACGGAAAGAGAGAGAAATTTTCCCTTTCTCAGCTTTTCATTGCATCTAGGCCCTCAGCCAATAAGATGGCGCCTACCACATTGAGGGTGGATCTTTCCCACTCAATCCACCTACTCACACACCAATATCCTTCAGAAGCACCCTCACAGGCACATCAAGAAATGAATACTTTACCAGATATCTAGGTATCTCTGAATCCAGTCAAGTTGACACCTAAAATCATCCATCACACTGGTTTAGTATCTTCACCCTTTCAGGGACCCAGATTCTTTCTGTAACGTTGCTCCACCATCTTTAGGGCATTTCTGAAACAACTTGCCATCACGTCCATATTCCATCCAGTGGGACGGGAGAGTGGTGAGGGGAAGAACATTCCCCTTGCCTAGGTGAATAACTAGAAATTTTTACACATTACCTCTGCTCATATTCCATTGGCGCAGACTTAAGTTATGTGGCTTCAGAAAGAGTCTGGGAACTGTGATCTTTATTCTGAGTGCCTATATGCTCAACTAAGAACTGGAGATTCCATATGCATGAGAGAGATGTGGGCATGAATACTGAGAGACAACTAGCATTTTCCATCACAGTCTATTCATTGACTATCCATGAACACAACATGGAACAGTTTTCCCATTTATAGAATATTCTCCAAGAAGCATAACCTCTAAGTCTCACAGAATTGCTACATCTAACTCAAAATTCAAGATGGAGGGTATTGCTCAGTTCTCTTCAACCAACAGGGATGGGGTCCCTGCCATATGGCAAACTAGAAACTAAAACATAAGTTATCTCTACTCTCCAAACAACCCACTCTTTAGGTCTGAAGTGGGAACCATAAAATTGCATGGAAAACTCCAAGACTGGAAAGAGAAAAATGAGCATTACCCAGCTGACTTGGGCCCAGCAATACCCAGTTGTCAAATCCTGCTGGGCAGGAATGGTGAAAGCATACATCCTGGCAGTGTTTGGGTTCTCAGCTCACTTGGCAAGTACTAATTCTGCTTTCTGGGAGGCAATCTCACCTTTGCTGTCATCTCGATATTTGGCTTGCCTTCTGGAAAGCCATTTCTTGTTTGTGATCCTCTTTGGCCATATCTGAAGTGGCACTGGTGAATATGCCCTTCTTGAGGACAGCATGGCTTTTGTAGCCCACCTCATGCTGGTACAGAACTGGGGTCTCAGGAGTTCTATTATGGGTCAAACTAGTCTATGTATCAGAAAGTCCAGACTTACGAGTATTTTTTTTTGTCATACAATTTCCTCAAGCATTTGGCTTCTGGTCTACTTTCCTTAGATAAATTCCATGTGTAAATAGACATAATCAAATATTTTGTCAAAACATAGCTTGCAGGCCTGGAAAGTATGATCTTCTATATACTGGCTTCTGGGCTTCACCAATCCTCCCTACTAACTTAATGGTAGCTACTTTGGGGCAATTCAAAATTATAGGTTTGGGTAAAATGGGAATGTAACCAGTTTCCCTTTAGGTTTGCTGTATGGAGAAGGTGACTGAGAAATCCTAGGTACATTGTCCTGCTAAAACTATCTCTATTTCTTTTATAAATGTTTTATGATTTTCAGTTTACAAGTCCTTCAGCTCTGTGGTTAAATTTATTTCTAAATATCTTAATTTATTTTTCATGCTCTTGTAAGTGGAATGGTTTCCTTGATTTCTTTTTCAGATAGTTTGTTTTTAGTGTATAGAAACACCACTAATTTTTGTATGTTAGTTTTATCTCCTGCAGCATTACTGAATTGGTTTATTAGTTCTAACAGGTTTTTGGTGAAGTCTTTAGGTTTTCTCTATATAAGATCATGTTTTCTACAAACATTGGCAATCTAACTTCTTTCATTTTGATTTGGAGGCCTTGTATTTCTTTTTCTTGCCTAGTTGCTCTGGTTAAAATTAACAGTGTTATGTTGATAGCAATGGTGAGAGTGGGCATTATTGTCTTGCTCCTGATCTTAGGGAAAAGCTAGTTGACTGTAATGTTAGCTGTAGGCTTGTATATATGGGTTTTATTATTTTGAGGTACATATATGTACCTTCTATATGTAATTTGTTGAGAGTGTTTAATGTGAAGGATGTTGAATTTGTCAATGCTTTTTCTACATCTGAGATGATCATATGGTTTTTGTTCTTCATTTTGCTAATACAGTGTATCATATTTATGTAAAATTTTATCAAAGGCAAAAGAATTCCATAGTGACAGAGAACAGATAATTAGTTGCCTGGAACAGGGGAGAAGCAGTTGGATTGCAAAGAGGGACAAAGAGTACATTTTGAGGGTTATGAAAATATCCCATATCTTGATTATGGTGATGGCTATTACTGATATAACTTAAAAATTAATAAGCTATTTTCATTTTTTAAAAGTGATAAGAAATCAGAAAAATGTAATACCAAGTCCAAAGATAAACTCTATACCAAAAATGCATTCAAATGAGTAAAAATCAAAGATTTAAAACATTATATAATCTGCATTTTCAAAGAAAATGGTATTTTCTGAGCATAATACTACATAATCAATCTAGAAATTTTGGTAATAGACATGTATTGGGAAAAGGAAAGGAAAATTATCTTGGTCCCTGTGAATAGGTGTTTACAGTATTTTGTGGTATTTTTATGTAGCAGTTTTTCACTCTACGGGCAGAGCATATATACTTTTAATTATACTATATAGAAACTCCTGGTTTCTGCTTTCTTTTATCTGACATTAGCTCAAGATTAGTGTCTGTATCCTAAAATGTCTTTGAAACATGTGAATTTTAAGAACTGCCTAATAGTCCACCTTAAGGGTGTAAAATAATTTAATAATTCTCCTACTACGTATAATTTAGATTATTGTATACTTTCACAATAATAAATAATGTCCTCCTATAAGTTCTTTGAATGCACAACTGGTTATTTTGCTAGGGTAGATTGCCAGAGATGAAACTATACTGAAAAAAGGATATGAATATTTTAAAGCCTTCGAAGATATATTTTATTATTCAGTTGCCTTTTAGGATGCCTGTGAGAATTCACGGTACCGCTAACAGTATGCAAAAAAGCCCACTGACTACTAAATATATGCTATTGCTTTTTTTTGATAGAAAGGATTTCTTTCTTTCTTAATAGAAGGAATGTGTACATTGAAGTTTTAAAATTGAGATTATACAGTTGTCTTACTCACTGAGGTCTTTACTAAAAGGTTATTTTACAAGTTTGCTTTGATTTCAAACATAAATTAGTGTTCATGTTAGTAACTTGATGGGAAACAAAAAGAGGGCCTAGGTTTTCTTTTGAACATACATGAATTGTCTGGGTTAAATCCTTTGGGAAATATCCCAATATACATCCAACCAGTATGAAAGAATGGAAAAATTTTAAAAATGCAAATAATGATCAAAATTTTATATTGAAAAAATAATATAGAAATACATTATAGATGTAACAAAAAAACAGGTGGCCATTATTATAGTTGTACTGGGATTATTCCATTAATCCATGCTTCTAATACCATTTCAGTTTTTGTTCAACATTCACTTTCATTTTGAAACAAGGCACATAATGTAAGATTTTTAAGTATATAAAAGACTTCATACTAGAGGATTTTTGTATATTATACGATTAAAACTCTGAAAATAGAAGCTTATTAGAAACACAATCCCAAATAATCACCACTAAGAATTCACCTTCATGTTTCATAGTATTGCATCTAAACCAATTAATAGCAGCTATAAAATTCTTATGAAAAAAGATATAAAATTTCTGGAACATATTATCATCAGAAAAAAGACAAACATACTGTTTTACAAAGACTAGATTTTACAGGTATTTTAGGAGACAGTAAACTCATAATGTATACTGATCCACATTCAAGCATTAGTTTCTTGCATATAAAACCTCTCTGAACTCTTAAAACACTTATCTTCAGCACTCACTGCTAAGGCATGTAAAGTGTGTACTTTTGGGAAAAATATGCTGTCCTTGAGCAGCCACTTTCTGAATGGGAGCAGTAGCTCTGAGCACAATGATTAAAGATGGGGATCAAATGGACAAGAAGGACAAAGGCCATTTTGTCACTACTTGGGAAAGCATTCCCAGTCATGGTCACTCTGGTTCCATCTGGCAACTGTCTGGACACAGATAACCATAGTGGACTCTCCTACCTAGATTAGATCCAACAGGGCCACAAAAGCTGCAGGTCTCATGGTGGTTGTCTGAACT
Organism: Homo sapiens; assembly: GCF_000001405.40. NCBI lineage: Eukaryota > Metazoa > Chordata > Mammalia > Primates > Hominidae > Homo > Homo sapiens. Next base: position 95,188,601 of record NC_000010.11, on the reverse strand, counting down.
CTGAGAAACTGAAAAGTACAGCAGAGCGAAGATACACAAACAATTAATTTGAAAGCTAAGAAGAGAGAATTTAAAATTTCCTAAGGTATCAGGCTTGAAAATGAGAGGGGAGACGGAGAGAAAATATACTTTTCTCTATGAAAAAACTTAAATAAGAGAATATGGAAAGGGAAAGAAATAAAAAATATATGAAGAAGGGTGAGATATAAACCTTTTTAACCTTTGAGACCACAGGTCATAGCATTCTTTACATGTGGTAGTGTCACATTTTTATGATATACCACATAGTGTAGTGTCAAACAGTGTGCCATACATTCTACCACGTACTACACATTCTACCACATGTGGTACACTCCATTCTTATACATTCTTATACATGTGGTAGTTTCACATTTCTTGCACCCTCACAAATAATTTTACAGAATCTTAGACTGTCAACATTGGAAGTAATCTTTATGTTGAACCCCTTATCCAGTGTTTAACTGTACTGATATAGATCAACCTCAGCAAGGAATTACTAATTTGATTTAAAAAGACATGTAGGTATTATTTCAGTGGGACAAATTCTGCTCAAGTGATGCACAAAATACATGGAAATATGAGCTGCTGCCAATACGGAAATATCCTATAGGATAGGTCAACAGACAAGACCCAGTTCTTTCCCTTACAAAACCTGTGACTTTCTAGAGGAGGCAAATTTATAACAAATTACCTGCAATTTAAGGCAATGAACTCAAATGCCCCATAAGCAGTATAAACAAAGTGCCACTGAAACACTTGCAGAGTGTACAGATTCCTTCTGGCTAATCTTGAAGATCAGAGCTACTTAACAGCGTGAAGGATAAGAGTTGGTCTCAGTCATAATCCTAAGCAAATTAATACAGGAATAGAAAAACCTAATACCGCACTTTCTCACTTATAAGTGGGAGCTAAACATAGAGCATCCATTGACATAAACATGGGAACAGTAGACACAGTGTACTAGAGTGGGGAAGGAGGGAGAGGAGCGTGGGTTGAAAAACGACCTACTGAGTACTATGCTCACTACTTAATTGCAGTATACCCATGTAACAAACCTGCACATGTACTCCCTGTATCTAAAATAAAAGTTAAAAAAAAAGTCCTCAGAAGGCTCAGGGGAATTTTGAGAGGCGAATGCGGCCATGAGCAAGGGTGGAGGTGGGAAATGCAAGACAGCTTAATTTATCCAAATGCTCAAAGATGCTAGGAAAAGAGAGGTTAGATGACCTATGAAAAATGCAGCCAAGATAGAAGCAACAACAACAACCAACAACAAAACCCCCAAAACTCTAAGAATAAACGTTTTCAAGACATTTGCCCTTTTAAAAGACTCAAAGGAAACAGAATAGGTTCTTTTGATTGGAAGTATTCAATTGGCCTAACACTGCCTAAATGATAGGGTTGTTCCTGAACACTGGACCTTTCCAGATCCCTCCATAGGTATCTGGGCCATGGTGATCAGAAGAAATTTATTAATACTTATCTTAATGGGAAGTGTCTGATCAACTCCCTTTTTCTCTTTCTCTCTCCCTGCCTTGGGTAAATCAAGAGATGACAAGTGACACATTTCACAAAGGAAATGACAATAATAATTCACCTCCTGGTCATATGTGATTCCCCCACTACAAACATTCCAGCAGAATATAGCCATTTATTTTGGTATCTGATGGGTTTCTTAGGGCTCTCATCAAACTGGCTGAACAGGGAATCCCTAGGGGCAGCCTGCCAGAGAAGAAGAAAAGGGATGACCCAGATGTTGCTAAAAATCAACAAACTCGAAATAACAGAGTGCAAAAGACATTTCACTTTTTTTCCGTAAGTTATAGGGGGTACAGGTGGTATTTGGTTACACAGACTAGTGCTAAAACCAACGATTAAGTATTAGTGTTCTTGGAGCTGTCAAGCTTTCACAAACATAAATAATGTACTCATAGGGAAACAAGGTTCACACAGGTTGGACCCCAAACTTGCAGAACTTGAAACAGGATCTTGCAGAGGGCTTCCAAGAATGCCCATGATGATTATTAAATAAGATTCCTTATGTTTTAAAAAACAACTTTATTGAAATAGAACTCATATAGCATACAACTTCCCCATTTCAGGCATACAATTCAATGGCTTTTAGTATATTCACAAATCCTTTTTTTTTCATATATATGTACCACACTTTATCCGTTCATCCGTTGATACTTAGGTTGATTTCATATTTTGGCTGTTGTGAATAGTGCTGCAATAAACTGGGAGTGCAGATGTCTCTTCGACATACTGATTTTCTTTCTTGTAGGCATATACCCAGCAGTGGGATTGCTGAATCATATGATAGTTCTATTTTTAGTTCTTTGAGGAACCTCCATGCAGTTTTCCATAGTGGATAAACTATTTTATGTTCCTACGAAGAGTGTTTGAGCGCTCCCATTTCTCTGTGTCCTTTTCAGCATTTGTTATTTTCTGAGTTTTTGACAATTGCCATTTTAATTGAGGTTAAATTATATTTTATTGTGGTTTTGATTTGGATTTATCTGATGATTAGTGATGTTAAACATGTTTGCATATAACTGTTGGCCATTTGTGTATCTTCTCTTGGGAAATGTCTATTGAAATCTTTTGCCCATTTTTAAATTGGATTATTTGGAATTTTTGTTTTTGAGTTCTTACGTATTCTTGTTAGTGATCCCTTGTTGGATGAATAGTTTGGAAAATTTTTCTCCCATTCTGTGGGTTGTCTCTTCACTTTATTTTTATTTTTATTGATGTGAAGAAGCTTTTTAGCTTGATGTAATTCTATTTATCAATTTTTGCATTCGTTACCCGTGCTTTTGAGGTCTTACTCAGGAAATCTTTGCCTAGACCAGTGTTCTAAAGTATTTCCCCTATGTTTTCTTCTAGTAGTTTCATAGTTTCCTACATGTAAGTTTTTAATTCATTTTGATTTGATTTTTATATATGATGAGGCATAGAAGTCTAGTTTTATTCTTCACGTGTCTCATTTTCCCAGTACCATTTATTGAAGAGACCATCTGTTTCCCAAGGTATGTTCCTGGTGCCTTGGTCAAAAATGAGTTGGTTGTAAATGCAAGGATTTATTTCTGGGTTCTCCATTCTGTTTCACTGGGCCGTGAAATCCTTACTTTTCGATATTATAAGTCACCATTTTCAGCTTTCCATCCTGTCAACCTTGCTGTATTTGGGCCAAGCAGGGCATGCAGGACCCAGAACTTGGTGTGGACAGGTGGGGCCAGAGCCCCTGTAGGCTGCTCAAGAAATCTGCACTGAGGTCTGCAGGGAGGACCAAATCCCCATAGATGATTCCACAAAAACACTGTTAGGTAAACCACAGTGTGAAACAGCTTGAGAAATAGAATCTGTGTCATATCCAACATTTACTCACACTCATAACTGCATGAGCGGGATACTTGAGCAGGAGGACCCAGAAGAACACCCTCTTCACCTGCATGTCCAGGTCCCCTTTGTGTCACCTAGGGCAAGAGGCTGGAAGGAGAGGCATCTGGGATAGGGGCAGGCTATGGTCGGGGCAGTGGGGTGGTAGGACCTGGACAGTGGGGGTGGTGGGGTTAGTGAAAGGTCTGGGGCAGGGCAGAGATCAGGAGGAACAGCATTCCAGCAGGGCTGGGAGACATGTCAGTAGGTTGGCAGACACAGGAGCAGGTGGCCTGGGACTCAGAGGAGCAGCTGGAGTTGGAGGAGAAGGGCTCTGTTTTCCTCCAGTCTTCTGCTTGGCTGCTGCATTAGCACCCCACTGCACCCCCAACACTCGTCTCTCCCTTGCCCTCACTTCCTGAGTCTTAAAACCAATTCCTTCATCCCCAGCATGCACCTTCCTAAGGACAGTTCCCCTCTGGATCCTTCCTAAGGTTCTAACTATTTATTTATTTATTGAGACAAGGCTTGCTCTGTCGCCCAGGCAGGAGTGCAGTGGCACCATCTCGGCTCACTGCAACCTCCGCCTCCCGGGTTCAAGCAATTCTCCTGCCTCAGCACACCCTAGTAGCTAGGATTACAGGCGCGCGCCACCACGCCCGGCTATTTTTTTGTATTTTATTTAGAGACGGGGCTTTGCCATGTTGGCCAGACTGGTCTCGAACTCCTGACGTCAGATGATCTACTCGCCTCTGAGCTTCTGATTTTTAATCCTTCCTAGCCCAGCTCCCCGCCATCCCCCCACCCCCGCCGTCCCCCCATTCTGCCTCACTTCCTCCTTTCCTGATTCCCACAATTTCCCACAATCAGTCTTGGCCTCAGATTCCCACCCTTCAGGTGCCAGGGTTCCTTGGGTCCTCCATCTCCCCTGATCCTCTCTGATTAGGGGCACGGGGTGTGAGTTGGAATTAAAGCCAGCGTTTGAGTCCTGGGGCTGGATTCTGCATTGGGTTCCGTTGTGTCATTGCACCTTCTCGTTTCCGCTCTTTCTGCCCTGCTTCCTCATCTTCAAAGTCATCTAAGATCCGCCAGCGGATGCTGACCCAGCCCGTGGAGCGCCGCTTCTCCGCACCTGCTGCTTCTCCATCTCTCCATCTTCTGCTCCTGGCCTTTTCCTGGCACTGGAGCCCGAGCTCTGAGCTCTTGCCCTTCTCTGGGGCCCCGTCCTGCTCCTCCTCGTCACCCTGGGGCGGCGGCCGGGGCCCCACGGGTCAGCGTGGCAGGGCCGACGGCGCAGTTCTCGCCCCGGGGCGGCGGCGGCGGCAGGTGCGGTGGGAGCGCCGCCTGGAGGTTGGTGTGGCGCTCATTGGTCGCGGAGGCCGCCGAGGTGTCCAGCGCCCAGGACCTGGGCTTCCTGTCTGCGTCGCTGCTGCCCCCTGCTGGGGCGGCGGGGCCCGGGTTCCGCTCTGCGGCGTGTTTTTGCGGGGCGCCTTCGCTCCTCCGGGAAGTCGGCGGTGCAGCCGCGGAGGCCGTTGTTGCTCTGGTAGCCGGTGGTTGTTTCATTCCCCTAGGGGCCGGCCGGGCTTTCGCCTCAGGCCGCCCACACCGGCTCCGGCCGCCGCCGCCTCTCGCTACCCGCGGCCCGGAGGAGGCGAGGGAACGACCTCCAGGCGCAGGGCGGCCGCCGCTCCCTCAGCAGCCGGCGGGGCAGAGGGAAAGACGCCGGGAAGCGTAAGGTCCCCGCCAGGCCCGAGGGTCGCCACGGACTTTGCCCTCTGGTTCCTGCCCAGGAGCAGCTGCCAGGTCCCCTCCCTGCCAAGCTTCTCCCCGAAAAGTTCTAAGGTTGTCAGGTCCGCCAGGAAGTGACATTTTTCTCCCCTCACTGTAAGGCTGGAAACTCTTGAATCCGGGCATTTTATGCATATTCTTAAATATGATGTTTCAGTCAAAGCCTTGATAATATAACCAATATTTCCGATTTTATCCTGCTTATAAAGAGCCGATATGTAAACGAAAATTAGAATATTTGTGAATAGTTTCCAAATTTTGGAGGGATCAAGTAGGGAGAAAAACCAAATGCTTCCACCTTTGTTTACAAGTGTGCTTTACCAAACTGATGTAAATTATAGATAACATCTGTGAGAAACCTTTCTTAAATCTAGAATACAACCAACAGTGTTTTAAATAAAAGTTATAAAAATATTATCTTAATTTCATAGATTTTTTGTTTTGCTTGATCTTGCTTAGCAGTTTTTTGAACCCTTAAGTTTATTAGAGTTCTAGGAATTTGTGTTTAGTTTATTTTTTTAAAACATTTGTTTTAATATATTTAAAGGGTATAAGTACAAGTTTCTTACATGCCTATATTGCATAGTGGTAAAGGCTGGGGTAGTTTATTGATCTGAAAGTTATCAGAAACCTGTGTTCAAGAGGACCTGTTAAGAGTTTTTTCCATGAAAAGCAAATTTGGACTATCGCTGATCGCAAATATTTTTCGAATTCAAAGCAGAACTGTGGATGATGGAAACAGAATAGCTATGATGAAAATCTGATGAAAGTTCCCAATTGACAAGGAAATTTAGTTACTTCTCTTACGTGCAGCATGTTAAGACAATAACCAGAATCATGACTGACAGCATCACATCAGGACCACCAGGCTTTTATAAATTTCATACAATCTTCAGAATGCATTAATAACATATTTATACAAATGTAACTTTAGCAAATATTTAGCGTAACAATCAAAATTATGAATCATTAAATTTTTATAAGTTTATATAATTTTTGGAACATGCGTGTCAATAACATACCTATAAATGTAACTGAAGTGGGATCTAATATCACATAATTTGACAATGCTCTCCCATGCAGTATCACAACATTTGACAATGCCCGCTCATACAGTCTACCAAATCTAATAATTTAATATCTCTACAAGGTGAGAGATCCATTCTTTAGACTCTCCAGGGACCCAGCTGAACAGTCCCGAAGTTAATTTTAAGACTTAATTTAGGATTTTTGACTCTGGGGAAACCTGTCAAAGATTGAAAACATTTGATCAAAACAGAATCACAGGTCACTGTTAAAAGAATAGTCATTTAACCAGAGACTTAAAAGCTATACAGAAAGTTATGTGGATATGAAAACTCGAACCCTTTTAAAGCTTAGTTTTCCTGAGTAATCAAAAAGGGTACTTGAATTTAATCAGACACAGGAAGAGTATGTACGGGGATATGAGTGTACACTGTATTTTAGAGGAATGTAAACAAGGAAATTAGTACCATGAGCCAGGGAATACATGGCTGTTAGTAACAGCATGGGAAGTTTCCTGGTTACATGGAACAACAATTTAGACATAGGAAGAAAAGCCAAAAGTACAGATTCAAGTTATGTTGGAGGAAAACATTGGTTTTCCAGACCTTCATGCTAACCATTTCAGTGTCAGGCCATAACAGCAGAACTAGAACCAGAGAAAAAATGTTACAGGAGTTGACAAAAATGTTGAAAGACAGAGCTACCACTGTTACCATTGTGGCCATGCAAAAAGATACACCTTTTTAAAGGGGGAGAAAACAGAAGGCAGTGGTTTATGACCTGCAATGTGGTACAGAGAAAGTTGAATTTCGGATATAAATCTGAGAAGTTTGAAAAAGAAAAATGTTACCTCTAGAAATGAAATGGCCATTCTGAAAGAAAGACACCGCATTTCCAATCTGAAACTAGGGAAGTTAGTTAGATCTCAGGAAGAATTAGAACTAGTTTAAATCTTCTATTAAATAAGATTTTAGAATTAAAAATAAAACCTCTTAAAATTTTACTAAGAGCAAATCAGTAAGCAAACTGTCATTCTAACATAGGGGACCAACTTATTTTGTTGTTTTGTATTAATGTATTTTAATGTCAAATTTCAATCTTTAGAAAGACTTCTGTTACCAAAATTACATCTTAATATCCATAACTTTCTTTACATCTGTCTCCTACTTACTAGTTCTTTTCTAGCTACTGTGAAACAACTTTTAAATGATCCCCAAATTCGATAAAAATATTCTTTTTCTCAATAAAATGTATTTTTTATGACTTTCTAATAATTTTTTTCTCACCAAGAACGCCTTATTTTTTGGCACATTGTATATATAGAATTATATGTACTAATTAAAAATTTTAACTCTTAGTAACCTTAAATTTTAGTGAAAATTTCCTTAATTTTTTAAGACGGAATCTCACTCTGTTGCCGAGGCTGGAGTGCAGTGGCATGATCTTGGCTCACTGCAACCTCCGCCTCCCGGGTTCAAGTGATTCTCCCACCTCGGCCTCCCAAGTAGCTGGGATTATGGGCATGCGCCACCACACCTGGCTAATTTTTTGTATTTTTGGTAAAGATGGGGCTTTGCCATGTTGGCCAGGCTGGTCTGGAACTCCTGACCTCAGATGATCTGCCCGCCTCAGCCTCCCAAAGTGCTGAGATTACAGAAATTTTATTTTTGTAATAAAAATAATTGTGAACCACCATGCCTAGCTGAAAGTAAGAAATTTTAAATTGTCTGTCACCTATCAGTATTTTATAGATAAGAACCATTTTATAATTTTTACAAACATATTCCCTAATATATATATATATATAATACACACACACACTTTTTTTTTTTTTCTTTTTTGAGACAGGGTCTGGCTCTGTCACCTGTGCTGGAGTGCAGTGGCACAGTCTCAGTTCACTGTAACCTTTGCTTTCTGGGCTCTAGTAATTCTTCGATTTCAGCCTCTCGAGTAGCTGGGACTACAGGCGTATGCAACCAGATCTGGTTAATTTTTGTATTTTTTTGTGGAGACTGGGTTTTGCTATGTTGCCCAGCCTGGTCTCGAACTCCTGAGCTCAAGCGATCCACCCAACTTGGCCTTCCAAAGTACTGAGATTACAGATGTGAGCCCCGGCCCACAGTGTGAGCCATGGCCCCTGGTCCCCTAGAACATAACTTTAAAATCTTATTTGGAAATGACCTACACATTTAATTAGTATCTATTATTTAATGTAACTTTAAGACATCAAGTTACATGAAAACTTTATAGACATTTTTCTCATTTACATTTAATTTTCTAACATTTACCTGGATTACCAGTGAGAACTGGGATATTAGACAAAACTCGATCTCATTTCAAGTTATTTCCCTGTTAATCATTTTTACAGCTTGTGAATATCAATGTTCACCTGATTAAGGACCTTGAAGTTAAATGTAGGAGCATGTTCCCAACAACTCAGAAGATACAGCTGTTTTTATTAAAGCAACAGTATTAAGTTAGTTTTGCTTATCAAATAATTATACAAAAATCACTTTGTTTTAGCCTGGGCTTACAGTTGTATAACCTTCATGTGAAACCCTGACACCTTAAAATATCTATCGGAGACAAATATTAAAGTAACCAGTAAACCCAGGCAGAAATATATGCTGACAATTCTAAAGACATTTTTATTTTTACCAATAATTTAAAAATGAGCTTCAGTAAATAAATAAAATCAAATAATAAAAATAAAATAATAATAAAAAGATTTATTTAAGTCATGTGAACTAAAAGGCATTTGGTAATTATTATATATTTTGTACTTTATATGAGTACTCATTTATCTTTAAGGAATTTCTGGCTGACTATGCCAGATTTCACCATGTAGACATAATATGTAACATGATACATGTGCTTCTATATGAACACATCTAAACACATATGTATACACACAAAAAATAAAAATCTCATCGCTTTTATTTTAGAATTTTGGTTGTGAGATAGTAATACAAACTCACTGGCTGATAAAACATTTGGACCCAAATTATATTTCTGACAAAATTGGGACCTGTTTACATATAGAGGCTAAACTTTATTTGCCCTAATAGATAATCTGGTGAAGGCTGTGGATTTTGGGTAAAGCAGTTTTCACAGCAGTTTGAGTAAAAAAAAAAAAAAAAAAAAAAAAGCCTTTCACCCTTTTCTCTGCCTTTGTTCAGTTTCTAATAAATTTATGGTTAAATTGTCAATGTGTACATTTTAACTAGGACTGGTGGAATAGTGTAAGAAAGAACAAAATCTCCAAGTAGCATTGAATTAGTAACCAGTCTATCTTTTGTTTGCTGATTTAGTTTGCTTGGTTAGCAAATGTGGGCAAAAGAATTTTAGTAGTTTCTTTTTTCTCTCCGCTTTTACATTTTGGCTTCTGTGTGGCAACAAAAGCAAACATTTTTTTTGCTGGACAGAGATAACATATTATTGCTCTGAGCTTAAGATTTTGACCTGTTTGATCTAAGAGCCTAACTTTTGTAAACACTTACCTAGTTCCTTTTCTTTTAGATTATTAATTTTTAAGTAAGTTAAGTGTTTTATCACTGTACATAATTGTAAGACAAATCTAAATGTGTATTTATAAAGGTATCTAGGTTGTTGCTCACCATGGAGCCATTGTAACTTGTAAAGCCATTAACTTAAAAGCCCTTTAAGACTTATTTTTAAAAATTTTTAGCTGGAATGCCATAAGCAATGAGTTTTATATTAACAACACTAGAAAAGTCAGCTGATTCAGAGTAGGCAGGAAAAAAACAGAGATAGAGAACGTAGAAGACTCTGTTAACTCTATACTTGTAGGTTTTTGAATAATGACCATTTGAACACTGAACATTTCTTAATGTGATTTGCCCACAGTTTTGAAATGTGCACAAGAGCAGGCTGTAATATGTAGCTGTCTAGAGTGTCAGAAAACCTGTCATCCCTTAATGTTTGAGAATACCACTCAGTTCCTTGTTAATCTCTTGAGAGCAAAGAAAATTCTATAAATCCTATCAGGGAATGTCAGGAGTTTACATGGGTATTTTAGATGGTGGTGACTTCACTGGTGACTTTTAACTAGTCATTCTGCAAGGGAAAAGAGTCCAACCAAATCAAAAGAAAGCAAGATAAAAGTGTTTGCAAAAATTTTGACATAGGCATGCACACAGAATTAAATATTAAACTAGGCATGCAAACCAGAGAAAACATACAGGCAGAATGTAAATTCTGTAGACACTAAGAGTACTCAGTCCAGAAGGACACTTGTCTTTATACCAGAAAGGACCTACCAGAAAAGACAAAAAGTATTTTATCATCCCTGGATGGATGTATGATCTTTTACTAAGGCAGCATTATCCCAACCAAATCCCAAGTCAAGTGAAAAAGCCTCTACCAATAGGAAAAAGGCTTAATCTAAGAGAACACTCACCAGGAAAGAAAAGGTGAGCCATGAAAGTGAAAAGGTCAAAGAGCCCGAGTGTGTGCTCCACACAGGTTACAGGAATCACTGATTCCTTCCAATGGTGATCTTGTTCAAATCCCACTCCTGACACCGTGTATATAAACCTAGACACCAAACAGAGAGAGGCTCTCTAAGACAAAAAATACTTATTTGGGAATAAAGTGTTGCAGTGAGAATACACCTGTCATATTAAACATGTGTGCACTCACAGAGGTAAAGGAAGACACAGGTTTTTACATAACATGAGGAGGATTACTTAATTGTTTTGGAAATAATTATACTTGGCTACAAAGATCAATAGAAAGTGTGTTCAGTCCAAGGTTGGAGAGGCAGTTGCTGGGCAGATGTCCTTGTAGAAGTATTTCTTGTGTACTTGCAAAAGGTTGTGGGTTTTGCAGTCTTTCTGTGATAATTTTTGTTATTAGGCATACAAGCATGAAAACTTTATGGCCTTTGCTGGCTCTATTAGAATTTTTAAAAAATTAGTAACTCCATTTAAAATAATTTATTTAAATAGGTTTTGGGGGGGAACAGGTGGTGTTTGGTTACATGAATAAGTTCTTTAGTGGTGATTTCTTAGATTTTGGTGCACCCATCACCCGAGCAGTGTACTCTGTACTCAATATGTTGTTTTGTTCCTCAGCCTTCTCCCACCCTTTCCCTCAAGTCCCCAAAGTTTATTGTATTATTCTTATGCCTTTGCATCCTCATAGCTTAGTTCCCACTTGTGAGTGAGAACATATGATGTTTGGTTTTCCATTCCTGAGTTACTTGACTTAGAAAAATGGATTAAAATTAGTGGCTCTGTTTTTTTTAATTTTTATTTATTTTTTATTATACTTTAAGTTTTAGGGTACATGTGCACAATGTGCAGGTTAGTTACATATGTATACATGTGCCATGTTGGTGTGCTGCACCCATTAACTCATCATTTAACATTATTACACTTAAACCTGCTAGCAAGCTTACTAAGGCAGCCTTATCCCAACCAAATCCTAAGTCAAGTGAAAAAGCCTGTACCAATAGGAAGAAGGCGTAATCTAAGAGAACACTCACCAGGAAAGGAAAGGTGAGCCATGAAAGTGAAAAGGTCAAAGAGCCCAACTGTGTGCTCCATATAGGTTCCAGGAATCACTGATTCCTTCCAATGGTGATCTTGTTCAAATCCCACTCCTGACACCATATATATATAAACCTAGATACCAAACAGAGAGAGGCTCTCTAAGACAGGTCTTTATAGTTTGGGCCCATGGCACAGGCAGGTCACAGGTCTCTGGCTCCCTTTGACCTTTACCCACCTTGCCAAGGGAAAATGTGACCCTCCAAAGCAAGAAACTTGAGGGTATGTGTCACCCCAGCCCTGGCATCTGCCCAGAGCCTGAGAAGGAAGGAACAGTGATCCTTCAGCTACCTCATAGGGCTGGCACAGGTGGTCACTGCCCTGTTGATCACCCAGCTGTGTTGGGCAACCTGGACCCCATCTGCGGGGATGTGAGGAGGAAAATACAAAAGTCTTTAGGTGGCCACTAAGAAGGCAGATGTAGGAGAAACCTCCAGTCCTTAACTACCCAGTGTTGGACCTGGGGTGGAAAGAGAACATAGTTGGCGATCATATGCACTTACACTCTAGGGTCACAAGCTGGCACTGTAGCCTTGTGTGTGGCTCTGAAAATGAAGACTTGGAAGGAGATCATCACAGCTAATATTTAACAAGCCCCTACTATGTGCCAAATTATTAATTCCTTGCAACAACCTAATAAGCTAGTGATTCTTATTATGTATATTTTATAGAGAAGGAAACAGAGACATAAAGAGGTGGATTAACTTTCCCAGATCACACAGCTAATAAGTGGTAAAGGAGAAGAGAATCTAAACAGTGTGGCTCCGGAGCACACATTCATTGATTCAGCAAGTGTTTATTGAGCACCCGCCATATAAAAAGCCTTGTGCGATTAAGCAGGGTTATAATTAATGATATAAAAATTACAAATCACTAGCACTTTCTAGAGTTAACATTTTCTTGTTTTGTAGGTTTTAGGCACAGAACTGTATAGACAATAATAGTGAAATTGATCCCACTACTAATAATGACAGGAATAATCATACATTTAAGCAAGTTGGATGTTTTATATGTTTTATCTCATGAAATATTGACAGAAACTGAATGAAAAATGAAACTTTATTTTTCCCATTTCACACAGAAGGAAATTGAGGTTAAGAGGGGTAAAGTAATTTTGCATGGCATGAAGTAGAAATTTGAAGTACAGGGATGTGAAATTGATCTTGTTCTTTTCTGAAGCCCCCATGCTTTTGAGCACTGTAGACTCAAACATCACCTTGTTTTTCCACTCATTCAACAAACATTTTCTTTTAAGCAAATCAATAAACATAATCCAGCATATAAACAGAACCAATGACAAAAACCGTATGATTATCTCAATAGATGCAGAAAAGGCCTTTGACAAAATACAACGACCCTTCATGCTAAAAACTCTCAATAAATTAGGTATTGATGGGACATATCTCAAAATAATAAGAGTTTATCTATGACAAACACACAGCCAATATCATAATGAATGGGCAAAAACTGGAAGCATTCCCTTTGAAAACTGGCACAAGACAGGGATGCCCTCTCTCACCACTCCTATTCAACATAGTGTTGGAAGTTCTGGCCAAGGCAATCAGGCAGGAGAAGGAAATAAAGGGGATTCAATTAGGAAAAGAGGAAGTCAAATTGTCCCTGTTTGCAGATGACATGATTGTATAGCTAGAAAACCCCATCATCTCAGCCCAAAATCTCCTTAAGCTGATAGGCACCTTCAGCAAAGTCTCAGGATACAAAATCAATGTGCAAAAATCACAAGCATTCTTATACACCAATAACAGGCAAACAGAGAGCCAAATCATGAGTGAACTCCCATTCACAACTGCTTCAAAGAGAATAAAATACCTAGGAATCCAACTTACAAGGGATGTGAAGGACCACTTCAAGGAGAACTACAAACCACTGCTCAAGGAAATAAAAGAGGATACAAACAAATGGAAGAACATTCCATGCTCATGGGTAGGAAGAATCAATAACGTGAAAATGGCCATACTGCCCAAGGTAATTTATAGATTCAATGCCATCCCCATTAAGCTACCAATGACTTTCTTCACAGAATTGGAAAAAACTACTTTAAAGTTCATATGGAACCAAAATGCGCCCACATTGCCAAGTCAATCCTAAGCCAAAAGAACAAAGCTGGAGGCATCACGCTACCTGACTTCAAACTATACTACAAGGCTACAGTAACCAAAACAGCATGGTACTGGTACCAAAACGGATAGACCAATGGAACAGAACAGAGCCCTCAGAAATAATGCCGCATATCTACAACCATCTGATCTTTGACAAACCTGACAAAACAAGCAATGGGGAAAGGATTCCCTATTTGATAAATGGTGCTGGGAAAACTGGCTAGCCATATGTAGGAAGCTGAAACTGGATCCCTTCCTTACACCTTATACAAAAATTAATCCAAGATGGATCAAAGACTTAAATGTTAGACATAAAACCATAAAAACCCTAGAAGAAAACCTAGGCAATACCATTCAGGACATAGGCATGGACAAGGACTTCATGTCTAAAACACCAAAAGCAATGGCAACAAAAGCCAAAATTGACAAATGGGATCTAATTAAACTAAAGAGCTTCTGCACAGCAAAAGAAACTACTATGAGAGTGAACAGGCAACCTACAGAATGGGAGAAAATTTTTGCAATCTACTCATCTGACAAAGGGCTAATATCCAGAATTTACAATGAACTCAAACAAATCTACAAGAAAAAAACAAACAACCCCATCAAAAAGTGGGCAAAGGATATGAACAGACACTTCTCAAGAGAAGACATTTATGCAGCCAAAAGACACATGAAAAAATGCTCATCATCACTGGCCATCAGAGAAATGCAAATCAAAACCACAGTGAGATACCATCTCACACCAGTTAGAATGGCAATCATTAAAAAGTCAGGAAACAACAGGTGCTGGAGAGGATGTGGAGAAATAGGAACACTTTTACACTGTTGGTGGGACTATAAACTAGTTCAACCATTGTGGAAGTCAGTGTGGCGATTCCTCAGGGATCTTGAACTAGAAATACCATTTGACCCAGCCATCCCATTACTGGTATATACCCAAAGGATTATAAATCATGCTGCTATAAAAACACATGCACATGTATGTTTATAGCAGCACTATTCACAATAGCAAAGACTTGGAACCAACCCAAATGTCCAACTATGATAGACTGGATTAAGAAAATGTGGCACATAGACACCATGGAATACTATGCAGCCATAAAAAATGATGAGTTCATGTCCTTTGTAGGGACTTGGATGAAGCCGGAAACTATCATTCTCAGCAAACTATCACAAGGACAAAAAACCAAACACCGCATATTCTCACTCATAGGTGGGAATTGAACAATGAGAACACATGGATACAGGAAGGGGAACATCACACACCAGGGCCTGTTGTGGGGTGGGGGAGGAGGGAGGGATAGATAGCATTAGGAGATATAGCTAATGTTAAATGACGAGTTGTTGGGTGCAGCACACCAACATGGCACATGTATACGTATGTAACAAACCTGCACGTTGTGCACATGTACCCTAAAACTTAAGGTATAATAAAAAAAGGGGAAAAAAAATAAAATTATCTAATAGGCTGGCACTCATTATGTGCCTCTGTTCCCATTCTGCAGGTGGTGAAGCCCCCTAATGTCCTGACTCCACAGTTCCTGTCCCATGACCAGGGCCAGCTCACCAAAGAGCTATAGCAGCACATAAAGTCAGTGACAGGCCCATGCAAGTACCAAAGGAAGGTGAGTGAGCACAGACAGATGGGGCCTGGTGCCCTTGAGCAGTTTCTGACTTTCAGCTGCCCTGTGTCTCATAGCGTGGCCATGCTGGGGGAAGCTTAGGCAGTCACAGTACTGGCCTTTTCCTCCTTTTTCATTCCATCTGAGTGGCTTAGGGATGGGGTGGATGAAAACCACTGTCTTGTGTCAGAAACCCAAAAGGAATCATTGCTGGCATGTTAAGCTAAAGAAAAACAACCAGACAAGTGCCCAACAGTACTTAAAAAGTTATAATCCTGCAAAATTCAAAAAGGGAAATCCAAATAAGCAGCTTCTAAACTATTTTTAAACATTACAATAAAAATACCTTCCATATTGCATATATATGTGCTTATATGAATAATAGAATTAACAAAACATAGTTATTTTATAACATGTAATACATTCTTATTTTTAATTCTCTTTCATTTGTTTTAAATGCTGTGTGCAATCTACAAAAAGTTCAATAGTAATAATTAAATTATTCATTAAATTGAGCATTACTTGTAATTTAAAATGATAATCTTAAACACAATCTTATTTTTGAGATAAAAATATTTTAGCAATATACTATTAAGAGAAAAACACTGGCTATGAAAGAATTTACATAGTTTCATCCTATCTGTTTGAAAATAAAGTTTGGAAGAATACATTTGAAAAATAGTTAACATTTCCTTTTTTGTAGTACTTTGCGGCATTGTCTAAATATTGACAGTCAATACACATTATGAAGTTACATGGTTAACGTTGATTGAGTACTCACTGTGTGTGCCAGGCCCTGGGCTCAGTGCTCTGTGTGCATTTTTATTTTATTTAATCCTCTCCACAATGTGAGATAGTATAGCCAACTCATGTTACAGAGGTGAAACAGGCTCAGAGATTGAAAGTTAAATGCCTGAGGTTGCAGTCAATAAGAGGAAGAGCTGTAACTGAAACCTATGTGTGTCTGACGAGCAGTTCATGTTCTGATGGTAGGCTAGTCTGCTTAACAGAGTGTGGAATAGATGGTGCATGCATACTAGGATGGGCTAGATACCACTGTGGGTCACAAACAGTCTTAAACAATGGAGGTTGTTTTCCTGCTCATGCTGCACGTCCATCATGGCTCTCCTGGGCCCTGTGCACCACATCTTCTTATCCTGCTGCCAGGGTAAAGGAGCAGCCTCCATGTGGAACCTGTCAGGTGCTCTCGGAGATAGAGAAGAGGGTGTCCAGTCTCAATGGCTCCCAACTCTTCTGCCTCAAGGTGACATGCTTCGCTTCCACTCACTTTTGGGTCAAAGCAAATCACATGGCTACACCCAACTTAAACGGCCCACGTGGAGAAGCTGAAATACTCAGTGGACACCATTAAGGCCACCATATGGTGTTAGCCTGTGTGGGAGACTGTGGAGGGGCAGAGGAGGAGAGTAGGGGATTGGTAGGAAATGACAGCAGGACTAAGTCACCACAGATTTGCTTTATCTTCAGCCAGGTGGAGTTTGTCCCAGAGCTGCCAAAAACCGTCACTGGCAAGATTAAACGGGAACTTCAAGTTTGGTCAGATGTAGTCAGCAGTGAACTCAGAAATGACTGAATGACATTGAGTCAGTAAATCCCTGACTGCCTCAGTTACCCCACATGATAGTGGTGAGGATGGGAGCATTGAAAGAGTTGATTTGGAAGGATATCAGGAGTGTGAAAATTCCAACATTTTACTTCAAGTTAAATCCAGGCACTATCCTTCCTGCAAGTCCCCTGTTTCTTTCAGATTGCACAGGTGAGAGTGCTCAGATTAGGGCTGTAGGTTATAAAATATTGGCTCCCACATGAACAGTTCCCCTGTGTCGTGTTTGTATTCTGAGCATTTTTCTGTGCTAAACACTTCCCCAAAACATCCTGGGTCCTGATTCTTCCTCCTTGTTCTGTCAGTGCTGGGTGACGCAAGTGCCCATTTTTTGGCCAGGACACAGAAGTCTCAGAGGGATGCTCTGTGAGGCCCCAGGTGCCAGCCTCTGCCCTGCTGGAATGTGAGGCAAGGGACAGGGCATCTTCTGTGAGGGGGCAGTGGTCAGCCAGCTTGGTGACTATGCTTGCTTATCAGACCATCCCACACCTGCCACCTCTGATGAATCTACTGCCTCTGTGCCTGCCTGTACTGCTGATACAGGACTCACTCAGCTGTCCCCAGGCGTGCCCAGACTTTCATTCCTATCCAGAACCTAGGAGTCCTGCCCACTGGCCCTCCCTCATCAGCAGTAAATGATGATTTACTGCTGTTATCATCATGACTGCCTTTAGCATCTGAGAACTTTCCAGGGTGCCAGCTCTGGAAGGACAGATGCCCTTGGGAGGTGCTGACACTCAGGTACACAGGTGCTCAACAGATTTCTTCCTCCTGTCCTCAGACAGTCTTTGCATGTAGCCATTGGCACTCCCATTGTATGGAAGGAAACCAGCCCAGGGTCACACAGCTGGTCAGCAGCACAGCTGGTCTCAAATCCAAGGTGCTTGGCCTTGCCTCCATGAGGGACCTGCCTGTGAGGTTGACACTGGCTTTGGGGAGCCTTTCCTGGGCTGCATAAATAACCTACCCTGTTTGAGGCCCCAAACTCTGCTCATATTGCCCTCCTTTCCTTATGTCTACTTGGGCTATAATCAAGGTGACCCCAGCAACCCTTCACGGACATTATGGTAATCTGTGCCGTTCACTTTTGTGCAGATCTGACTTCAACCCCCTCTTGGTCTCTCCTTTTACAAGCAAGACAACTGAAACTGGGGGTCTTTATGCAGGTGACAGTATACAAATATAATTTCATTGTTTTGTTATCTGTGTTTTGTTTTTGTCATGCTTGTTTCTTAGGATTTCTTTCCATTTATGGTAAAGGCATTGGCTTTCTATTTGTAGCCTCAATGGAATATTTCCTGTTTATAATAACTTTATGTCATAATAAATGGTAAAGGGATTTAAAGAAGTGGTTTTAAGCTGCTAGAAGCCTGGGTGAGTTTGGGCACACTCTGTGCAATCAGGCAGAAGAAGGCCTTTGGGAGGTTTAGCTGAAGACAGGACCAGGAAAGGTGATGGCCAGTGGGGGTCTGTCCTGGTCACCGGGCCCCTAGGTCCTGCCCAATTGCTTGGTACTCCCCACCCATTACTCCTGGTGCTGCCTGGCCCTCTGGGTATTGTGGCCAAATCTCCCAGGAGAGAAGCTGATGAACTTCGTCACTTGAAATGCACAGATTCCTTGGTCATACCTGGGAAGTCAATCATGAGAGTCAACTTGGTTTTCCTCCCCTCATTAGGGTTCAAAATTTAAAGCCCATGGTCACAGGCAGTAAGATGACATAGATAAGTGACATCATCACCCCATTTCAGATGTTAAAATGTCTAGGTGGGTTAGAAATGATTTGGGACCACACAACCTTGTGCCACAAAGTGGAATTCCCAGGCCAGAGGGAGATGTTTTATTGCCATATTATGATTCTATCATTGAGTGCAAAGGCAGTCTTGTTTCATTTTGGGTTCTTCCTTATGTTTATATCTTACTTATAAGGGCACATTGAATTTCCAAGCATATAAGAATTTTTGGTTAGCTTTTTATCGTTGACTTCTAGCACAATTATATGATCAGAAACGTGATTTGATTCCTCTGAAATATATTGAGATTTGCTTGATGAACAAAATAAGTCAGGTTAATTTTTGTAAATGTACCATATGTGCTTAAAATGAATATATCGCCAACATTTATTCCCAAGATACAAGGGTGATGGATAGATGACTACATGAATGTGATGGAGATGGTTTACTATTTGGACCTTCTACATCCTACTGATGTTTTGTTGCTTAGTATATGAATTGCTGAGAGGGGGCTGTGGAGCCTCCCACTCTGCTTGTGTATGAGGTTCTTCCTGCCATCCTGCCATCATTTGTTTTTCATGTTTTGCAGCCAAGACTGACCATGAGGAACACTTGGAGCTCAGGAAGGAAAGATCAGCCCAGAAGCAGGGACAGGGAGCTGGTTGGGGAGGATGAGAAGTCAGAAGGTCTGCGAAGTTTCCAGAGAGGACCTGTCTTTGGGATGGCGCATCAGGGGTTCAGGTGGGGGAGGGGGTGTTGGAAGAATGTGGACATCACATGGAATGCCCACTGTGAGGCACTATGGTACCAGGACCGAGGATTGGTGGAGAGGAAGTATAAAGCCCCAGGGTTGCTAAGGTAGCGCCCAGACAGGAGAAGGTTTGGTAGAAACCAGAGCCCTGGTCTCCCTCCAACTGCTCCTGAGCCTCCTGCTCCCCTGCCCCACTCCTCCTGCTGTTTTGCTGATAGACTTTTTCACTGACCTATAGCTGAACCTTCCACCAGCACTTGAAGACTTAGTTTTAACTGGATCCTTTCCCAGGGTTCCTTCTTTTTCTTCCTCCTCCTTCTTCTCCAGCCCCCCACCGCCCTGCTCCTCCAGGCCCCCCACAGTCCCCCTTGCCTTCCCTCCCCTCCCAATCCCTTTCCCTCCCCTCCCCCTCCCCAACTGCAGTCCCACCCCCAGTCCCCATCCCCTTTCCTCCCTTAGCCCTAAACCACCCTCACCTCTGTCCTGGCCTCCTCAGGGGGCCCTGAGAAAACCAGGACATGCGGGTCCAGTGGCTGCTGTTTTGGCTCCTCCTGCTTGGGTTTCCCAGCCATCAATCCACCCATGTGAGTATACGCTGGACCCACAGGGTTTCTTCCTTTTCATCATTGTGCTGTGTCATGCCACGTGAAATTACACAGTTCAAGCCTGTAATCCCAGCACTTTGGAGGGCTGAGGTAGGCAGATCATTTGAGTCCAGGAGTTCAAGACCAGCCTGGACATCTTTGCAAAAAATTTCATAAAAAAATTAGTTGGGCCTAGTGGCGCCTGCCTGTAGCCTCAGATACTGGAGAGACTGAGTTGAGAGAATCACTTGGGCCCAGGAGTTAGAGCCTGCAGTGAGCCCAGATCACCCCACCGCACTTCAGCCTGGGTGACAGAGTGACACCTTGTCTCAAACAAAACAAATCAAAACAAAGTGAAATGTCATTTGAGTTTTGTGCCACATGGTTTGATGAATTTCTAGGAACTTTTTTTTTTGCTGGTGATATCAATTTTATTTTTATTATTACACTGTAAGTTCTGGGTTACCTGCGCAGAATGTGCAGTTTTGTTACATAGGTATACACCTGCCATGGTGGTTTGCTGCACCCATCAACCTGTCACCTACATTAGGTATTTTTCCTAACGTTATCCCTCCCCTAGCTCCCCACCCCCCAACAGGCCCTGGGGTGTGATGTTCCCCTCCTTGTGTCAATGTGTTCTCATTGTTCAACCCCCACTTACGAGTGAGAACATGCAGTGTTTGGTTTTCTGATCTTGTGATAGTTTGCTGAGAATGATGGTTTCCAGCTTCATCCATGTCCCTGCAAAGGACATGAACTCATCCTTTTTTATGACTGCATAGTATTCCATGGTCTATATGTGCCACATTTTCTTCAGTCTATCATTGATGGGCATTTGGGTTGGTTCCAAGTCTTTGCTATTGTGAATAGTGCTGCAATAAACATACGTGTGCATGTGTCTTTATCATAGAATGATTTATAATCCTTTGGGTATATGCCCAGTAATGGGGTTGCTGGGTCAAATGGTATTTCTGGTTCTAGATCCTTGAGGAATCGCTGCACTGTCTTCCACAATGGTTGAACTAATTTACATTCCCACCAACAGTGTAAAAGTGTTCCTATTTCTCCACATCCTCTCCAGCACCTGTTGTTTCCTGATTATTTAATGATCACCATTCTAACTGGTTTGAGATGGTATCTCATTGTGGTTTTGAATTGCATTTCTCTGATGGCCAGTGATGATGAGCATTTTTTCATGTGTCTTTTGGCTGCATAAATGTCTTCTTTTGAGAAATGTCTGTTCATATCCTTTGCCAACTTTTTGATGGGGTTGTTTTTTTCTTGTAAATTTGTTTAGGTTCTTTGTAGATTCTGAATATTAGCCCTTTGTCAGATGAGTAGATTGCAAAATTTTTCTCCCATTCTGTAGGTTGCCCGTTCACTCTGGTGATATTTGCTTTTGCATAGCAAAAGCTCTTTAGTTTAATTAGATTCCATTTGTCAATTTTGGCTTTTGTTGCCATTGCTTTTGGTGTTTTAGACATGAAGTCTTTTCCCATGCCTATGTCCTGAATGGTATTGCCCAGGTTTTCTTCTAGGATTTTTATGGTCCTAGGTCTTACGTTTAAGTCTTTGATCCATCTTGAGTTGATTTTTGTAAAAGGTGTAAGGAAGGGGTCCAGTTTCAGTTTTGTGCATATGGCTAGCCAGTTTTCCCAACACCATTTATTAAATAGGGCATCCCTTCCCCATTGCTTGTGTGTGTCAGGTTTGTCAAAGATCAGATGGTTGTAGCTGTGTGGTGTTATTTCTGAGGCCTCTGTTCTGTTCCATTGGTGTATATATCTGTTTTGGTACCATGCTGTTTTGGTTACTGTAGCCTTGTAGTATAGTTTGAAGTCAGGTAGAATGATGCCTCCAGCTTTGTTCTTCTTGCCCATGATTGTGTTGGATATGCGGGCCGTTTTTTGGTTCCATATGAAGTTTAAAGTAGTTTTTTCCAGTTCTGTGAAGAAAGGCAGTGGTAGCTTGATGGGGATGGCATTGAATCTATAAATTACATTGGACAGTATGGCCATTTTCACGATATTGATTCTATCCATGAACATGGAATGTTTTTCCGTTTGTTTGTGTCCTCTCTTATTTCCTTGAGCAGTGGTTTGTAGATCTTCTTGAAGAGGTCCTTCACATCCCTTGTAAGTTGTATTCCTAAGTATTTTGTTCTCTTAGTAGCAATTGTGAATGGGAGTTGACTCATGATTTGGCTCTCTGTTTGGTGTATAGGAATGCTTGTGATTTTTGCACATTGATTTTGTTTCCTGAGACTTTGCTGAAGCTGTTTATCAGCTTAAGGAGGTTTTGGGCTGTAACGATGGGATTTTCTAAATACACAGTCATGTCATCTGCAAACAGGGACAATTTGACTTCCTCTCTTCTTATTTCAATATCCTGTATTGCTTTCTCTTGGCCGATTGCCCTGGAGAGAACTTCCAATACTATGTTGAATAGGAGTGATGAGAGAGGACATCCTTGTCTTGTGCTGATTTTCAAAGGGAATGCTTCCAGTTTTTACCCATTCTGTATGATATTGGCTGTGGGTTTGTCATAAATAACTCATATTATTTTGAGATATGTTCCATCAATACCCAGCTTATTGAGAGTTTTTAGCATGAAGTGGTGTTGAATTTTATTGAAGGCCTTTTCTGCATCTGTTGAGATAACCATGTGGTTTTTGTCATTGGTTCTGTTTTTTTTTTTTTTTTGAGGTGTGGAGTGGGAAATCAGGAGTCTCACAGCCTTCAGAGCTGAGAGCCTCGAACAGAGATTTACCCACTTATTTATTTATTTTATTTATTTGTGTATTTATTTTTTTTATTTTTTATTATTATACCATAAGTTCTAGGGTACATGTGCACAACGTGCTGGTTTGTTACATATGTATACATGTGCCATGTTGGTGTGCTGCACCCATTAACTCGTCATTTACATTAGGTATATCTTCTAATGCTATCCCTCCCCCCACCCCATGACAGGCTCTGGTGTGTGATGTACCCCATCCTGTGTCCAAGCGTTCTCATTGTTCAATTCCCACCTATGAGTGAGAACACACGGTGTTTGGTTTTCTGTCCTTGAGATAGTTTGCTCAGAATGCTGGTTTCCAGCTTCATCCATGTCCCTATAAAGGACACGAACTCATCATTTTTTATGGCTGCATAGTATTCCATGTTGTATATGTGCCACATTTTCTTAATCCATTCTATCACTGATGGGCTTGGGTTGGTTCCAATTCTTTGCTATTGTGAATAGTACTGCAATAAACATACATGTGCATGTGTCTTTATAGCAGCATGATTTATAATACTTTGGGTATATACCCAGTAATGGGATGGCTGGGTCAAATGGTATTTCTAGTTCTAGATCCTTGAGGAATCACCACACTGACTTCCACAATGGTTGAACTAGTTTACAGTCCCACCAACAGTGTAAAAGTGTTCCTATTTCTCCACATCCTCTCCAGCACCTGTTGTTTCCTGACTTTTTAATGATTGCCATTCTAACTGGTGTGAGATGGTATCTCACTGTGGTTTTGATTTGCATTTCTCTGATGGCCAGTGATGATGAGCATTTTTTCATGTGTCTTTTGGCTGCATAAACGTCTTCTTTTGAGAAGTGTCTGTTCATATGCCCACTTTTTGATGGGGTTGTTTTTTTCTTGTAAATTTGTTTAGGTTCTTTGTAGGTTCTGAATATTAGCCCTTTGTCAGATGAGTAGATTGCAAAATTTTTCTCCTATTCTTTAGGTTGCCTGTTCACTCTGATGGTAGTTTCTTTTGCTGTGCAGAAACTCTTTAATTTAATTAGATCCCATTTGTCAATTTTGGCTTTTGTTGCCATTGCTTTTGGTGTCTTAGACATGAAGTCCTTGTCCATGCCTATGTCCTGAATGGTATTGCCTAGGTTTTCTTCTAGGACTTTTATGGTTTTAGGTCTAACATTTAAGTCTTGAATCCATCTTGAATTAATTTTTGTGTAAGGTATAAGGAAGGGATCCAGTTTCAGCTTTCTACATATGGCTAGCCAGTTTTCCCAGAACCATTTATTAAATAGGGAATCCTTTCCCCATTGCTTGTTTTTGTCAGGTTTGTCAAAGATCACATGGTTGTGGATGTGTGGTATTCTTTCTGAGGGCTCTGTTCTGTTGCATTGGTCTGTATCTCTGTTTTGGTACCAGTACCATGCTGTTTTGGTACCAGTACCATGCTGTTTGTTTTGGTTACTGTAGCCTTGTAGTATAGTTTGAAGTCAGGTAGCATGATGCCTCCAGCTTTGTTCTTTTGGCTTATGATTGACTTGGCAATGCGGGCTGTTGTTTGGTTCCATATGAACTTTAAAGTAGTTTTTTTCTCAATTCTGTGAAGAAAGTCATTGGTAGCTTGATGGGGATGGCATTGAATCTATAAATTACCTTGGGCAGTATGGCCATTTTCACGACATTGATTCTTCCTGTGCATGAGCATGGAATGTTCTTCCATTTGTTTGCGTCCTCTTTTATTTCGTTGAGTAGTGGTTTGTAGTTCTCCTTGAAGAGGAGACTTGGAACCAACCCAGATGTCCATAAATGATAGACTGGATTAAGAAAATGTGGCACATATACACCATGGAATACTATGCAGCCATAAAAAATGATGAGTTCATGTCCTTTGTAGGGACATGGATGAAGCTGCAAGCCATCATTCTCTGCAATCTATCGCAAGGACAAAAAGCCAAACACCACATGTTCTCACTCATAGGTGGGAATTGATCAATGAAAACACATGGACACAGGAAGGGGAACATCACACAATGGGGCCTGTTGTGGGGTGGGGGGAGGGGGAGGGATAGCATTAGGAGATATACCTAATGTAAATGGCGAGTTAATGGGTGCGGCACACCAACATGCCACATTTATACATACGTAACAAACCTGCATGTTGTGCACGTGTACCCTAAAACTTAAAGTATAATAAAAATAAAAAATAAAAAAATAAAATCTTATATGTAAAAATAAAAAAGAACAAGAGAAGTAAGAGCTAACAAATTCAAAAGATAGCAGAAGGCAAGAAATAACTAAGATCAGAGCAGAACTGAAGGAGAGAGAGACACAATAATCCCTTCAAAAAAATCAATGAATCCAGGAGCTGGTTTTTTGAAAAGATCAACAGAATGGACAGACTGCTAGCAAGACTAATAAAGAAGAAAAAAGAGAAGAATCAAATAGATGCAATAAAAAATCATAAGGGGGATATCACCACTGATCCCACAGAAATACATATTGCCATCAGAGAACACTGTAAACACCTCTACACAAATAAACTAGAAAATCTAGAAGAAATGGATAAATTCCTGGACATAAACATCCTCCCCAGACTAAACCAGGAAGAAGTTGAATTTCTGAATAGACCAATAACAGGCTCTGAAATTGAGGCAATTATTAATATCCTACCAACCCAAAAGAGCCCAGCACCAGATGGATTAACAGCCGAATTCTACCAGAGGTACAAAGAGGAGTTGGTACCATTCCTTTGGAAACTATTCCAATCAATAGAAAAGAGGGAACCCTCCCTAACTCATTTTATGAGACCAGCATCATCCTGATATCAAAGCCTGGCAGAGACACAATAAAAAAAAGAGAATTTTAGACCAATATCCCTGATGACCATGAATGTGAAAATCCTCAATACAATACTAGCAAATTGAATCCAGCAGCACATCAACAAGCTTATCCCGCATGATCAAGTGGGCTTCATCCCTGGGATTCAAGGCTGGATCAACATACACAAATCAGTGAACATAATCCATCACATAAACAGAACCATCGACAAAAACCACATGATTATCTCAATAGATGCAGAAAAGGCCTTTGACAAAATTCAACACCATTTCATGCTAAAAACTCTCAATAAACTAGGTATTGATGGAATGCATCTCCAAATAATATGAGCTGTTTATGACAAACCCACAGCCAATATCATACTGAATGGGCAAAAACTGGATTCATTCCCTTTGAAAACTGGCACAAGACAGGGATGCCCTCTCTCACCACTCCTATTCAACATAGTGTTAGAAGTTCTGGCCAGAGCAATCAGGCAAGAGAAAGAAATAAAGGGTATTCAATTAGGAAAAGAGGAAGTCAAATTGTCCCTGTTTGCAGATGACATGATTGTATATTTAAAAACCCTATCATTTCAGCCCCAAATCCCCCTAAGCTAATAAGCAAAGTCTCAGGATACAAAATCAATATGCAAAAATCACAAGCATTCCTATACACCAATAACAGACAAACAGCGAGCCAAATCATGAGTGAACTCCCATTCACAATAGCTACGAAGAGAATAAAATACCTAGGAATCCAACTTACAAGGGATGTGAAGGACCTCTTCAAGGAGAACTACAAACCACTGCTCAAAGAAATAAAAGAGGACACAAAAAAATGAAAGAACATTCCATGCTCATGGGTAGGAAGAATCAATATTGTGAAAATGGCCATACTGCACAAGGTAATTTATAGATTCAATGGCATCCCCATCAAGGTACCACTCACTGCCTTTCTTTACAGGATTGGGAAAAAACTACTTTAAAGTTCATATAGAACCAAAAAAGAGCCCGCATAGCCAAGTCAATCCTAAGCAAAAGAAACAAACTGGGAGGTATCATGCTACCTGACTTCAAACTATACTACAAGGCTACAGTAACCAAAACAGCATGGTACTGGTACCAAAACAGATATATAGAGCAATGGTACAGAATGGAGGCCTCAGAAATAACACCACACAGCTACAACCATCTGATCTTTTACAAACCTGACACACACAAGCAATGGGGAAAAGATTCTCTATTTAATAAGAACACTTTTACACTGTTGGTGAAAGTGTAAATTAATTCAACCATTGTGGAAGACAGTGTGGCGACTCCTAAGGGATCTAGAGCTAGAAATACCATTTGACCCAGCGATCCCATTACTGGATATACAACCAAAGGATTATAAATCATACTACTAGAAAGACACATGCACACGTATGTTTATTGCAGCACTATTCACAATAGCAAAGACTTGGAACCAACCCAAATGTCCATCAATGATAGACCAAAACTGAACATTTGCAATGCCCTTTTCTCTGTCAGGCTGAATGAAAGGCTAAACTCTTTGCATTAATCATAAGTTGGGTACCTTTGGTGTTAGAATTCAGTTTTAATTAGTTTCAGTTAATTCACTTCATTGTCCTGAGAGGAGAATCATGCCCCTTTCCGCATCAGGGCTTGAGATATAAGCACCTGAGACTTTTTGTTTGCTTTCCAGCTGAGCTTCCAGCTTTTCATACTAAGGAGATCTCTTCTTCCAGCCCACCCTGTTTATAGCATGTTTATTTGTAATAGCTCAAACTCAGAAACAACCTAGAGGTTCTTCAGTGAGTGAATGGTTAAACTAATTGTGGTACATGTATACCATACTGACCAATGAAAAGTAACGAATTATTGATACAGGCAACAACTTTGAGGAATCACAAAGAATTATGATGAGTAAAAAATATTATCCAAGAGATTAGATACTGTATGTTTCCATTTATATGACATTCCTTAAGTGACAAAATTATAGAAGTGGAAACAGATTATGAATTTTCTAGGGTCTAAGAATAGGGTGGAGGGTGAAGGGGGGAGCATGGGTGTGGCTATAAAGGGGCTGCATAAGGAATCCTCGTGGTGATGGAATTGTTCTATGTCTTCACTATCAATTTAAATGTCCTGATAGTGATATTATAGTATATTTTTGCAAGATGTTATTGAGAGGGACTGGGCAAAGAGTACATGAGATTTCTGTGTATTACTTCTGATAACTGCATATAAATATACAATTACCTCCAATAATTTGGTTAAAAGGTAAGAAAATATGGATTGTTAAAATAACTGAACTAGGCATGCAAATAATTTAATAGAAATTTTACGATTACACATAGGTCTCTTGTCTTTACTTCATTACTTAACTAATATAAATTCCCTAAGAATAATATATGCATGCCAAGCACAGCATTGGCTACTAATTTGTCATTTTCATTCCCACTTTTGTAATTCTACATCAATTTACTTTGAAATTATGAAATCACTTTCACCCTGAAGAGGAGACCCCAAGACAAAACAATAAAAGAAGGCAGAACATTAATTTTGGTCTCACGACCAGTAGTCGAAATTTTCAGTGTAGATGGGAAGAGTATGGTGCAGACACTAGCAGCCATGTTCTCAGGTGGATTGCCAGGTAGGTTAGAAGATTGATAGACAGAGTCTGTGGTCCTGAGAAGTGTCTCTGTCTTGATGATACCCATGCGATTTTTCTTACAATCTACTTTTATCATGTACTTATACTTATACTAGGCCTACTGTGATGATTAATTTTATGTCAGCTTGACTTGACTAAAGCATGCCCAGATAGCTGGTGAAAGGTTATTACTGGGTATCTCTGTGAGGGTATTTTGTTGTTGTTGTTGTTGTTATACTTTAAGTTCTAGGGTACATATGCACAACGTGCAGGCTTGTTACATAGGTATACATGTGCCATGTTGGTTTGCTCCACCCATTAACTCGTCATTTACTTTACGTATTTCTCCTAATGCTATCCCTCCTCCTGCCCCCCACCCCACCACAGGCCCCAGTGTGTGATGTTCCTCACCCTCTGTCCAAGTGTTCTCATTGTTCAATTCCCACCTATGAGTGAGAACATGCAGTGTTTGGTTTTCTGTCTTTGTGATAGTTTGCTGAAAATGATGGTTTCCAGCTTCATCCATGTCCCTGCAAAGGACATGAACTCATCCTTTTTAATGGCTGCATAGTATTCCACGGTCTATATGTGCCACATTTTCTTTGTCCAGTCTATCATTGATGGGCATTTGGGTTGGTTCCAAGTCTTTGCTATTGTAAATAGTGCCACAATAAACATATGTGTACAGATGTCTTATAGAATGATTTATAATCCTTTGGTTATATATTCAATAATGGGATTGCTAGGTCAAATGGTATTTCTGGTTCAAGATCCTTGAAGAAACACCACACTGTCTTCCACAATGGTTGAACTAATTTACACTCCTACCAACAGTGTAAAGGCATTCCTATTTCTCCACATCCTCTCCAGCATGTGTTGTTTCCTGACTTTTTAGTGATCACGATTCTAACTGGTGTGAGACAGTATCTCATTGTGGTTTTGATTTGCATTTCTCTAATGACTAGTGATGATGAGCTTTTTTTCATGTTTGTTGGCTGCATAAATGTCTTCTTTTGAGAAGCGTCTCTTCATATCCTTCACCCACTTTTTGATGGGGTTGTTTGCTTTTTTATTGTAAATTTGTTTAAGTTCTTTATAGATTCTGGATATCAGCCCTTTGTCAGATAGATAGATTGCAAACATTTTTTCCCATTCTGTAGGCTGCCTGTTCACTCTGATGATAGTTTCTTTTGCTGTGCAGAACCCCTTTAGTTTAATTCGATCCCATTTGTCAGTTTTGGCTTTTGTTGCCATTGCTTTTGGTGTTTTAGTCATGAAGTCTTTGATCATGCCTATGTCCTGAATGGTATTGCCTAGGTTTTCTTCTAGGGTTTTTATGGTTTCGGTCTTACATTTAAGTCTTTAATCCATCTTGAGTTAATTTTTGTATAAGATATAGGGAAGGGGTCCAGTTTCAGTTTTCTGCATAAGGCTAGCCAGTTTTCCCAACACCATTTATTAAATAGAGAATCCTTTCCACCATTGCTTGTTTTTGTAAATGGTTGTAGATGTGTGGTGTTATTTCTGAGGCCTCTGTTCTGTTCCATTAGTCTATGTATCTATTTTGGTACCAACACCATGCTCTTTTGGTTACTGTAGCTTTGTAGTATAGTTTGAAAACAGCATGATGCCTCCGGCTTTGTTCTTTTTGCTTACGATTGTCCTGGCTACAGTCTGGGCTCTTTTTTGGTTCCATATGAAATTTAAAGTAGTTTTTTCCAATCCTGTGAAGAAAGTCATTGATAGTTTGATGGGGATAGCATTGAATCTACAAATCACTTTGGGCAGTATGGCCATTTTCATGATATTGATTCTTCCTATCCATGAGCATGGAATGTTTTTCCATTTATTTCTGTCCTCTCTTACTACCTGGAGAAGTGGTTTCTAGTTCTACTCGATAGTTCTCCTCGAAGAGGTCCTTCACATCCCTTGCAAGTTGTATTCCTAAGTGTTTTTTTCTCTTTGTAGCAACTGTGAATGGGAGTTCACTCATGATTTGGCTCCCTGTTTGCCCGTTATTGGTATATAGGAATGCTTGTAATTTTTGCACATTGATGTTGTATCCTGAGACTTTGCTAAAGTTGCTTATCAGCTTAAGGAGATTTTGGGCTGAGATGATGGGGTTTTCTAAATATACAATCATGTCATCTGCAAACAGACAATTTGACTTCCTCTTTTCCTGTTTGAATACCCTTTATTTATTTCTCTTGCCTGATTGCCCTGGGTAGAGCTTCCAATACTTTATTGAGTAGGAGTGGTGAGAGAGGGCATCCTTGTCCTGTGCCGGTTTTCAAAGGGAATGCTTCTAGTTTTTGCCTATTCAGTATGATATTGGCTGTGGGTTTGTCATAAATAGCTCTTATTATTTTGAGATACATTCCATCAATACTTAGCTTATTGAGAGTTGTTAGCATGAAGGACTGTTGAATTTTGTCAAAGGCCTTTTCTGCAACTATGAGATAATCACGTGGCTTTTGTCATTGGTTCTGTTTATGTGATGGATTATGTTTATTGATTTGTTGTTGATTGTATGTTGATCCAGCCTTGAATCCCAGGCATGAAGCTGACTTGATTGTAGTGGATAGGCTTGTTGATGTGCTGCTGGATTCAATTTGCCAGTATTTTATTGAGGATTTTTGCATCTATGTTGATCAGGGATACTGGCCTGAAATTTTCTTTTTTGTTGTTGTTTCTCTGCTCGGCTTTAGTATCAGGATGATACTGGCCTCATAAAATCAGTTAGGGAGGATTTTCTCTTATTCTATTGTTTGGAATAGTTTCAGAAGGAATGGTACCAGGTCCTCTGGTGTACCTCTGATAGAATTTGGCTGTGAATCCGTCTGGTCCTGGACTTTTTTTGGTTGGTAGGCAATTAATTACTGCCTCAATTTCAGAACTTGTTATTGCTGTATTCAGGGATTCAACTTCTTCCTGGTTAAGACTTGAGAGGGTGTATGTGTCCAGAAATTTGTGCATTTATTCTAGATTTTCTAGTTTGTTTGTGTAGAGGTGTTTGTAGTATTCTATGATGGTAGTTTGTATTTCTGTGGGATCACTAGTGATATCTCCTGTATCTTTTTTTTGTTTGTTTTTTGTTTTCCTTAAGCTTTTTAAAAAAATTATACTTTAAGTTTTAGGGTACATGGGCACAAAGTGCAGGATTGTTACATATGCATACATGTGCCATGTTGGTGTGCTGCACCCATTAATTCGTCATTTACATTAGGTATACCTCCTAATGCTATCCCTCCCCACTCCCCCCACCCCACGACAGGCCCCAGTGTGTGATGTTTCCCTTCCTGTGTCCATGTGTTCTCATTGTTCAGTTCCCACCTATGAGTGAGAACATGCGGTGTTTGGTTTTTTGTCCTTGTGATAGTTTGCTGAGAATGATGGTTTCCAGCTTCATCCATGTCCCTACAAAGGCATGAACTCATCATTTTTTATGGCTGCATAGTATTCCATGGGGTGTATATGTGCCACATTTTCTTAATCCAGTCTATCATTGTTGGACATTTGGCTTGGTTCCAAGTCTTTGCTATTGGGTATAGTGCCGCAATAAACGTACGTGTGCATGTGTCTTTATAGCAGTATGTTTTATCATCCTTTGCGTGTATACCCAGTAATGGGATGGCTGGGTCAAATGGTATTTCTAGTTCTAGATCCCTGAGGAACGGCCACACTGACTACCACAACGGTTGAACTAGTTTACAGTCCTACCAACAGTGTAAAAGTGTTCCTATTTCTCCACATCCTCTCCAGCACCTATTGTTTCCTGATTTTTTAATGATCACCATTCTAACTGGTGTGAGATGATATCTCATTGTGGTTTTGATTTGCATTTCTCTGATGGCCAGTGATGACGAGCATTTTTTTCATGTGTTTTTTGGCTGCATAAATGTCTTCTTTTGAGAAGTGTCTGTTCACATCCTTTGCCCACTTTTTGAAGGGGTTTTTTTTTTTCTTGTAAATTTGTTTGAGTTCTTTGTAGATTCTGGTTATTAGCCCTTTGTCAGATGAGCAGATTGCAAAAATTTTCTCCCATTCTGTAGGTTGCCTGTTCACTCTGATGGTAGTTTCTTTTGCTGTGCAGAAGCTCTTTATTTTAATTAGATCCCATTTGTCAATTTTGGCTTTTGTTGCCATTGTTTTTGGTGTTTTAGACATGAAGTCCTTGCCCATGCCTATGTCCTGAGTGGTATTGCCTAGGTTTTCTTCTAGGGTTTTTAAGGTTTTAGGTCTAACATTTAAGTCTTTAATCCATCTTGAATTAATTTTTGTATAAGGTGTAAGGAAGGGATCCAGTTTCAGCTTTCTACATATGGCTAGCCAGTTTTCCCAGCACCATTTATCAAATAGGGAATCCTTTTCCCATTGCTTGTTTTTCTCAGGTTTGTCAAAGATGAGATAGTTGTAGATATGTGGCATTATTTCTGAGGGCTCTGGTCTGTTCCATTGGTCTATATCTCTGTTTTGGTACCAGTACCATGCTGTTTTGGTTACTGTAGCCTTGTAGTATAGTTTGAAGTCAGGTAGCGTGATGCCTCCAGCTTTGTTCTTTTGGCTGAGGATTGACTTGGCAATGTGGGCTCTTTTTTGGTTCCATATGAACTTTAAAGTAGTTTTTTCCAATTCTGTGAAGAAAGTCATGTGTAGCTTGATGGGGATGGCATTGAATCTGTAAATTACCTTGGGCAGTATGGCCATTTTCACGATATTGATTCTTCCTACCCATGAGCATGGAATGTTCTTCCATTTGTTTGTATCCTCTTTTATTTCCTTGAGCAGTGGTTTGTAGTTCTCCTTGAAGAGGTCCTTCACATCCCTTGTAAGTTGGATTCCTAGGTATTTTATTCTCTTTGAAGCAATTTTGAATGGGAGTTCACTCATGATTTGGCTCTCTGTTTCTCTGTTATTGGTGTATAAGAATGCTTGTGATTTTTGCACATTGATTTTGTATCCTGAGACTTTGCTGAAGGTGCCTATCAGCTTAAGGAGATTTTGGGCTGAGATGATGGGGTTTTCTAGCTATACAATCATGTCATCTGCAAACAGGGACAATTTGACTTCCTCTTTTCCTAATTGAATCCCCTTTATTACCTTCTCCTGCCTGATTGCCCTGGGCAGAACTTCCAACACTTTGTTGAACAGGAGTGGTGAGAGAGGGCATCCCTGTCTTGTGCCAGTTTTCAAAGGGAATGCATCCAGTTTTTGCCCATTCAGTATGATATTGGCTGTGTGTTTGTCATAGATAGCTCTTATTATTTTGAGATACTTCCCATCAATACCTAATTTATTGAGAGTTTTTAGCATGAAGGGTTGTTGAATTTTGTCAAAGTCCTTTTCTGCATCTATTGAGATAATCATGTGGTTTATGTCTTTGGTTCTGTTTACATGCTGGATTACGTTTATTGATTTGTGTATGTTGAACCAGCCTTGCATCCCAGGGATGTAGCCCACTTGATCATGGTGGATAAGCTTCTTGACGTGCTGCTGGATTCGGTTTGCCAGTATTATATTGAGGATTTTTGCATCGATTTTCTTCAGGGATATTGGTCTAAAATTCTCTTTTTTTGTTGTGTCTCTGCCAGGCTTTGCTATCAGGATGATGCTGGCCTCATCAAATGAGTTAGGGAGGATTCCCCTTTTTTCTATTGATTGGAATAGTTTCAGAAGGAATGGTACCAGTTCCTCCTTGTACCTCTGGTAGAATTCGGCTGTGAATCCATCTGGTCCTGGACTTTTTTTGGTTGGTAAGCTATTAATTATTGCCTCCATTTCAGAGCCTGCTATTGTTCTATTCAGAGATTCAACTTCTTCCTGGTTTAGTCTTGGGAGGGTGTATGTGTGGATGAATTTATCCATTTCTTCTAGATTTTCAAGTTTATTTGCGTAGAGGTGTTTATAGTGTTCTCTGATGGCACTATGTATTTCTGTGGGATCATTGGTGATATCCCCTTTATCATTTTTTATTGCGTGTATTTGATTCTTCTCTTTCTTCTTTATTAGTCTTTATTAGTCTTGCTAGAAGACTATCAATTTTGTTGATCTTTTCAAAAAACCAGCTCCTGGATTCATTGATTTCTTGAAGGGTTTTTTGTGTCTGTATCTCCTTCAGTTCTGCTCTGATCTTAGTTATTTCTTGCCTTCTGCTAGCTTTTGAATGTGATTGCTCTTGCTTCTCTAGTTCTTTTAATTGTGATGTTAGGGTGTCAATTTTAGATCTTTCCTGCTTTCTCTTGTGAGCATTTAGTGCTATAAATTACCCTCTACACACTGCTTTGAATGTGTCCCAGAGATTCTGGTATGTTGTGTCTTTGTTCTCACTGGTTTCAAAGAACATCTTTATTTCTGCCTTCATTTCGTTATGTACCCAGTAGTAATTCAGGAGCAGGTTGTTCAGTTTCCATGTAG
This sequence comes from Homo sapiens, assembly GCF_000001405.40. Lineage (NCBI taxonomy): Eukaryota > Metazoa > Chordata > Mammalia > Primates > Hominidae > Homo > Homo sapiens. The sequence continues at coordinate 95,153,739 of NC_000010.11, read as the reverse complement.
TTGAGCGGTTTTGAGTGAGTTTCTTTTTTTTTTTAATTAATCACATATTTTTTATTATGACAGAGGCTCCTTCAGAGTTATTCAAATGTGTCGCAACCTTGACCATAGAGGAGCAGCAGCTTTAGGGCCTTTAATTCCAATTGCACAGTCTCTGTTTTTGAATTTTGTTTTTTTTAGGGAGAAAAACTTTTTTTTAAAATTTATTTATTTATTTATTTATTATTATACCTTAAGTTTTAGGGTACATGTGCACAATGTGCAGGTTAGTTACATATGTATACATGGGCCATGCTGGTGCGCTGCACCCACTAACTCGTCATCTAGCATTAGGTATATCTCCCAGTGCTATCCCTCCCTCCTTCCCCCAACCCACAACAGTCCCCAGAGTGTGATGTTCCCCTTCCTGTGTCCATGTGTTCTCATTGTTCAGTTCCCAAGTATGAGTGAGAATATGCGGTGTTTGGTTTTTTGTTCTTGCGATAGTTTACTGAGAATGATGATTTCCAGTTTCATCCATGTCCCTACAAAGGACATGAACTCATCATTTTTTATGGCTGCGTAGTATTCCATGGTGTATATGTGCCACATTTTCTTAATCTAGTCTATCATTGTTGGACATTTGGCTTGGTTCCAAGTCTTTGCTATTGTGAATAATGCCGCAATAAACATACGTGTGCATGTGTCTTTATAGCAGCATGATTTATAGTCCTTTGGGTATATACCCAGTAATGGGATGGCTGGGTCAAATGGTATTTCTAGTTCTAGATCCCTGAGGAATCGCCACACTGACTTCCACAGTGGTTGAACTAGTTTACAGTCCCACCAACAGTGTAAAGGTGTTCCTATTTCTCCACATCGTCTCCAGCACCTGTTGTTTCCTGACTTTTTAATGATTGCCATTCTAACTGGTGTGAGATGGTATCTCATTGTGGTTTTGATTGGCATTTCTCTGATGGCCAGTGATGGTGAGCATTTTTTCATGTGTTTTTTGGCTGCATAAATGTCTTCTTTTGAGAAGTGTCTGTTCATGTCCTTCGTCCACTTTTTGATGGGGTTGTTTGTTTTTTTCTTGTAAATTTGTTTGAGTTCATTGTAGATTCTGGATATTAGCCCTTTGTCAGAGGAGTAGGTTGAGAAAATTTTCTCCCATTTTGTAGGTTGCCTGTTCACTCTGATGGTGGTTTCTTTTGCTGTGCAGAAGCTCTTTAGTTTAATTAGATCCCATTTGTCAATTTTGGCTTTTGTTGCCATTGCTTTTGGTGTTTTAGACATGAAGTCCTTGCCCATGCCTATGTCCTGAATGGTACTGCCTAGGTTTTCTTCTAGGGTTTTTATGGTTTTAGGTCTAACGTTTAAGTCTTTAATCCATCTTGAATTGATTTTTGTATAAGGTGTAAGGAAGGGATCCAGTTTCAGCTTTCTACATATGGCTAGCCAGTTTTCCCAGCACCATTTATTAAATAGGGAATCCTTTCCCCATTTCTTGTTTTTCTCAGCTTTGTCAAAGATGAGATAGTTGTAGATATGCAGTGTTATTTCTGAGGGCTCTGTTCTGTTCCATTGATCTATATCTCTGTTTTGGTACCAGTACCATGCTGTTTTGGTTACTGTAGCCTTGTAGTATAGTTTGAAGTCAGGTAGTGTGATGCCTCCAGCTTTGTTCTTTTGGCTTAGGATTGACTTGGCGATGTGGGCTCTTTTTTGGTTCCATATGAACTTTAAAGTAGTTTTTTCCAATTCTGTGAAGAAAGTCATGTGTAGCTTGATGGAGATGGCATTGAATCTGTAAATTACCTTGGGCAGTATGGCCATTTTCACGATATTGATTCTTCCTACCCATGAGCATGGAATGTTCTTCCATTTGTTTGTATCCTCTTTTATTTCCTTGAGCAGTGGTTTGTAGTTCTCCTTGAAGAGGTCCTTCACATCCCTTGTAAGTTGGATTCCTAGGTATTTTATTCTCTTTGAAGCAGTTGTGAATGGGAGTTCACTCATGATTTGGCTCTCTGTTTGTCTGTTGTTGGTGTATAAGAATGCTTGTGATTTTTGTACATTGATTTTGTATCCTGAGACTTTGCTGAAGTTGCTTATCAGCTTAAGGAGATTTTGGGCTGAGACAATGGGGTTTTCTAGATATACAAGCATGTCGTCTGCAAACAGGGACAATTTGACTTCCTCTTTTCCTGATTGAATACCCTTTATTTCCTTCTCCTGCCTGATTGCCCTGGGCAGAACTTCCAACACTATGTTGAATAGGAGTGGTGAGAGAGGGCATCCCTGTCTTGTGCCAGTTTTCAAAGGGAATGCTTCCAGTTTGTGCCCATTCAGTATGATATTGGCTGTGTGTTTGTCATAGATAGCTCTTATTATTTTGAAATACGTCCCATCAGTACCTAATTTATTGAGAGTTTTTAGCATGAAGGGTTGTTGAATTTTGTCAAAGTCCTTTTCTGCATCTATTGAGATAATCATGTGGTTTTTGTCTTTGGTTCTGTTTATATGCTGGATTACATTTATTGATTTGCATATATTGAACCAGCCTTGCATCCCAGGGATGAAGCCCACTTGATCATGGTGGATAAGCTTTTTGATGTGCTGCTGGATTCAGTTTGCCAGTATTTTATTGAGGATTTTTGCATCAATGTTCATCAAGGATATTGGTCTAAAACTCTCTTTTTTGGTTGTGTCTCTGCCCGGCTCTGGTATCAGCATGATGCTGGCCTCATCAAATGAGTTAGGGAGGATTCCCTCTTTTTCTATTGATTGGAATAGTTTCAGAAGGAATGGTACCAGTTCCTCCTTGTACCTCTGGTAGAATTTGGCTGTGAATCCTTCTGGTCCTGGACTCTTTTTGGTTGGTAAGCTATTGATTATTGCCACAATTTCAGCTCCTGTTATTGTTATATTCAGAGATTCAACTTCTTCCTGGTTTAGTCTTGGGAGAGTGTATGTGTCGAGGAATTTATCCGTTTCTTCTAGATTTTCTAGTTTATTTGCGTAGAGGTGTTTGTAGTATTCTCTGATGGTAGTTTGTGTTTCTGTGGGATTGGTGGTGATATCCCCTTTATCATTTTTTATTGCATCGATTTGATTTTTCTCTCTTTTTTTTTTTTTTTAGTCTTGCTAGTGGTCTATCAATTTTGTTGATCCTTTCAAAAAATCAGCTCCTGGATTCCTTAATTTTTTGAAGGGTTTTTTGTGTCTCTATTTCCTTCTATTCTGCTCTGATTTTAGTTATTTCTTGCCTTCTGCTAGCTTTTGAATGTGTTTGCTCTTGCTTTTCTAGTTCTTTTAATTGTGATGTTAGGGTGTCAATTTTGGATCTTTCCTGCTTTCTCTTGTGAGCATTTAGTGCTATAAATTTCCCTCTACACACTGCTTTGAATGTGTCCCAGAGATTCTGTTATGTTGTGTCTTTGTTCTCGTTGGTTTCAAAGAACATCTTTATTTCTGCCTTCATTTCGTTATGTACCCAGTAGTCATTCAGGAGCAGGTTGTTCAGTTTCCATGTATTTGAGCGGTTTTGAGTGAGTTTCTTAATTCTGAGTCCTAATTTGATTGCACTGTGGTCTGAGAGATAGTTTGTTATAATTTCTGTTCTTTTACATTCGCTGAGAAGAGCTTTACTTCCAAGTATGTGGTCAATTTTGGTATAGGTGTGGTGTGGTGCAGGAAAAAATGTATATTCTGTTGATTTGGGGTGGGGAGTTCTGTAGATGTCTATTAGGTCCGCTTGGTGCAGAGTTGAGTTCAATTCCTGGGTATCATTATTAACTTTCTGTCTCGTTGATCTGTCTACTGTTGACAGTGGGGTGTTAAAGTCTCCTATTATTAATGTGTGGGAGTCTAAGTCTCTTTGTGGGTCACTCAGGACTTGCTTTATGAATCTGGGTGCTCCTGTATTAGGTGCATATATATTTAGGATAGTTAGCTCTTCCTGTTGAATTGATCCCTTTACCATTATGTAATGGCCTTCTTTGTCTCTTTTGATCTTTGTTGGTTTAAAGTCTGTTTTATCAGAGACTAGGTATGCAACCCTTGCCTTTTTTTGTTTTCCATTTGCTTGGTAGATCTTCCTCCATCCTTTTATTTTGAGCCTGTGTGTGTCTCTGCACGTGTGATGGGTTTCCTGAATACAGCACACTGATGGGTCTTGACTCTTTATCCCATTTGCCAGTCTGTGTCTTTTAATTGGAGCATTTAGTCCATTTACATTTAAGGTTAATATTGATATGTGTGAATTTGATCCTGTCATTATGATGTTAGCTGGTTATTTTGCTCGTTAGTTGATACAGTTTCTTCCTAGTCTCGATGGTCTTTACATTTTGGCATGATTTTGCAGCGGCTGGTACTGGTTGTTCCTTTCCATGTTTAGCGCTTCCTTCAGGAGGTCTTTTAGGGCAGGCCTGGTGGTGACAAAATCTCTCAGCATTTGTTTGTCTGTAAAGTATTTTATTTCTCCTTCACTTATGAAGCTTAGTTTGTCTGGATATGAAATTCTGGGTTCAAAATTCTTTTCTTTAAGAATGTTGAATATTGGCCACCACTCTCTTCTGGCTTGTAGGGTTTCTGCCGAGAGATCCGCTGTTAGTCTGATGGGCTTCCCTTTTTGGGTAACCCGACATTTCTCTCTGGCCGCCCTTAATATTTTTTCCTTCATTTCAACTTTGGTGAATCTGACAATTATGTGTCTTGGAGTTGCTCTTCTCGAGGAGTATCTTTGTGGCGTTCTCTGTATTTCCTGAATCTGAATGTTGGCCTGACTTGCTAGATTGGGGAAGTTCTCCTGGATGATATCCTGCAGAGTGTTTTCCAACTTGGTTCCATTCTCCCCATCACTTTCAGGTACACCAATCAGACGCAGATTTGGTCTTTTCACATAGTCCCATATTTCTTGGAGGCTTTGCTTGTTTCTTTTTATTCTTTTTTCTCTAAACTTCCCTTCTCACTTCATTTCATTCACTTCATCTTCCATCGCCAATACCCTTTCTTCCAGTTGATCACATTGGCTCCTGAGGCTTCTGCATTCTTCACGTAGTTCTCGAGCCTTGGCTTTCAGTTCCATCAGCTCCTTTAAGCACTTCTCTGTATTGGTTATTCTAGTTATACATTCTTCTAAGCTTTTTTCAAAGTTTTCAACTTCTTTGCCTTTGGTTTGAATTTCCTCCCGTAGCTAGGACTAATTTGATCATCTGAAGCCTTATTCTCTCAGCTCGTCAAAGTCATTCTCCATCCAGCTTTGCTCCATTGCTGGTGAGGAACTGTGTTCCTTTGGAGGAGGAGAGGTGCTCTGCTTTTTAGAGTTTCCAGTTTTTGTGATCTGTTTTTTCCCCATCTTTTTGGTTTTATCTACTTTTGGTCTTTGATGATGGTGATGTACAGATGGGTTTTTGGTGTGGATGTCCTTTCTGTTTGTTAGTTTTCCTTCTAACAGACAGGACCCTCAGCTGCAGGTCCGTTGGAGTTTGCTAGAGGTCCACTCCAGACCTTGTTTGCCTGGGTATCAGCAGCAGTGTCTGCAGAACTGCGGATTTTCTTGACCGGGAATGCTGCTGTCTGATCGTTCCTGTGGAATTTTTGTCTCAGAGGAGTACCCAGCCATGTGAGGTGTCAGTCCGCCCCTACTGGGGGGTGCCTTCCAGTTAGGCTCCTCAGGGGTCGGCGGTCAGGGGCCCACTTGAGGAGGCAGTCTGCCCGTTCTCAGATCTCCAGCTGTGTGCTGGGAGAACCACTGCGCTCCTCAAAGCTGTCAGACAGGGACATTTAAGTCTGCAGAGGTTACTGCTTTTTGTTTGTCTGTGTCCCGCCCCCAGAGGTGGAGCCTACAGAGGCAGGCAGGCCTCCTTGAGCTGTGGTGGGCTCCACCCAGTTGGAGCTTCCCGGCTGCTTTGTTTACCTAAGGGAGCCTGGGCAATGGTGGGCACCCCTCCCCCAGCCTCACTGCCGCCTTGCAGTTTGATCTCAGACTGCTGTGCTAGGAATCAGTGAGATTCCATGGGCGTAGGACCATCCAAGCCATGTGTGGGATATAATCTCCTGGTGTGCCATTTCCTAAGCCCGTTGGAAAAGTGCTGTATTCAGGTGGGAGTGGCCTGATCTTCCAGGTGCCGTCTGTCACCCCTTTCCTTGACCAGGAAAGGGAACTCCCTGATCCCTTGTGCTTCCCGAGTGAGGCAATGCCTCGCCCTGCTTCAGCTGGTGCACGGTGCACTGAACCCACTGTCCTGCGCCCACTGTCTGGCACTCCCTAGTGAGATGAACCTGGTACCTCAGATGGAAATGCAGAAATCACCCGTCTTCTGCTTTGCTCATGCTGGGAGCTGTAGACTGGAGCTGTTCCTATTTGGCCATCTTCAGGGATTTCTTTTCTGACGTCTAATCACATTTTCCCGTTCCCTCAAAATGCATTGAACATCCAATCTTCATTAAGGAGAGTTGCTTGGGTCATTGCATAAGTATATCTGCTATTATTAATATTCTGTAATACTTCTTTTATTGATGGCTACACATACTAATAATTAGTGCTGAGTTTTTAATATGTTATCATTATAAAACAGAGAAAAAGGATTACCATATCATAATTCAGATTCATTTCTTCTGTGAATATTCTAAATGAAAAGTGTTACTAATTGCTAGCCCATTCTCAAATTTTTCCTCTTTTTTGCATAATGGAAGAAAGAAATGAAACAGAGTATCAACCATGCTGTCCCTCATAATGATACTCATAGAGAGGGACAAAGGGAAAGAGGGTGGGGAAGCTTTCTTGGCTGCGTGTTATCTAGAGTTTCTCAAGATTTGGATTTGAGAGAGAAGGTCTGTCAAACAGCAAAACTAACCTTTAGGGAAATATTAAAAGTATAAGTGACAGCTAGGAATGAACATTAAGTGTCAGAATTCATGCCCTTGCTTTGGTGTTACTGTCCACACTAAATACAAATTTGAAATATTATTTTTACTTCATGTTTCCAACTTAGAATCAAGTATAAATATATGCTCTCAAATTGCTATTCATGTGTTCTGAATGTTATTCTTCTCTCCCCAAACAAGAACAATATCTCTGCAAAGCCTCAGTAGATTATATTATTTTTCTAATTTCTACCTCATTGTTTTACACTTATCATTAATGTGATGATAATTTGATTCTATGGCCCTGAAGTAATTAGCCTCATTTTATCTCCAAAATATACACAATTGAACGTCTAGTACACATCAAATTCTAGTCATCCATTCCCATTCCTTCTATCTTCAAGTTTATGAAATGAGAACAGACATCAGTGATTACTCTTTGTGAGCTTATCTTCCAGAGGGAGCCAATTTGTCATGCATTTTAAGCTAATATATAAGCGTATTGATGTACATATAAGTACATATGTATCTATACACATATGACTGCATAAATATATATTCACTCATTATGTATAATATATACACACAAATACGTATGCTATTAAGTGTGGTTCTTTATAAAATTTGGCTCATATTACATGTATTTTCTACAACTTGATGTTTTTCTAGTAAACAATATACCAGGAACTACCCCAATATAATAAAAACATGGAAAAATGATTCTAATGAACCACATCGGAAAAGAAAATGGAAATGGTTATTAAACATGAAAGTAGCTTAAAAACAAAAAAATATATATTATATATCTTTTCAACATTCTTGATTGGAAAATGAAAACGTGTTCATGTAAGCATTGGTCAGGTGTGGGCAAACAGGCACTCTTGTACATTTATGTAGAAGGTCAACTTCTCAATGAGGCATACATTGAGTACCTTATATTGAAATTTGTACTCTTCCCTCCATCAGCACCTTTCCCCATCAGTCAACTTTTGGTTCCCTTTACACATTTTTTTTGGAATTTTGCATGTTTTGTGTTAATCTTTCTTATAAACCTAGGAGGTATGTAGAATTTGTGTTAGTTTCCATGAGTACTATAACAAATTAGAACAAACTTAGTGGTTTAAAATAATGCAAATGACTATCTTACAGTTCTGAAGTTCGAAGATCCAATATCAGTTTCACTGGTCTAAGATCAAGGTGTTGAGCAAGGCTGTTTCCTTGAGAGAATTTATTTCTCTGCATTTTTGTTTTTGCTTCTAGAGACTGCCAACATTCCTCAGCTCATGAGTCCTTTGCTTGGGGTATCACATCTTCTACTATCCACTCTTATCCTCTTATTTCCCTCTTATAAGGATCAATGTGATTACATTGGGCCCACCTGGATAATCTAGTGTAATTTACCCATGTCATATCCTTAGCATAATACATTTGGAGTGTTTCTTTTACCATGTAAAGTAACAAATTTATAGGTTCACATGTTGCTAGGATTAGGACATGGCATCTTTTGTTGGGGGATGAAGTTATTATTCAGCCTATCACACTACTGTTATACCCATTTTATCACCAGATAACTGAGATGATGTTTTGTTATGAATCTTGCTCAAGGTCAGACAGATTTTAAGTTCAGAGACTGCAATTGAACCAAGCCTAACTGACTGAAAAGTGGAGTTGCTAATCACCTTGCTATTAACTCTTTTTCCCCCAATTTTGTGCCAAGATAAAATACCCATAAATAAAATTCACTATCTTAAACATTTTTAAGTGTACAGTGTTTTTATGGTTTGGCTCTGTTTCCCCATCCAAATCTCATGTTGAATTGTAATCACGTGTAGAGGGAAGGAGGTGATTGGATCATGGGGACAGTTTCTCCCATGCTGTTACATGACTGGGAGTAAGTTCTCATGAGGTCTGATGGTTTTATAAGCGTCTGGCCTTTCCCGTTTGCACTTCTCTCTCCTGCGACCATGTGAAGAATGTCCTTGCTTCCCTTTTGCCTTCTGCCATGACTGTAGGTTTCCTGAGGCCTCCTCAGCCATATGGAACTGTGAGTTAATTAAATCTCCTTTGTTTGTAAATTACCCAGTCTCTGGTATTTCTTTATAGCAGTGTGAAATTGGACTAATACACAGGCAGTCGTATTAAATATATTTCTAATGTTATTCAACCACCATGCTCATTCATCTCCATAACCTTTTTTATCTTCTAAAACTGAAACTTTCTACCCATTGAATAATAACTCCCATTTCACTGTCCCCCAGCTTCTAGCAATCATTCTACTTTCTAGCTCTATGATTTTAACTATTCTAAGTTCCTCATGTAAGAGAAATCATACAGTATTTATCTTTTGGTAATTGGTTTATTTCATTTATCATAATGTCCCCAAGATTTATCCATGTTGTTGTGTGCTGTTAACTCTTATTGTGTTTATTCTTTATTGTTTATTTTCTTTCAATACAATACATGTTTCATGTCCAGCTGGCACAGGATTGACTCCTGGTGGAACCCAACTCAGTGATCTGTGCAGTGTGGTGTTTTCCAAACTGGCCAAGGTGTCTGCAGGGCCCTCAGAATTTTCCAAGCAAGAAAAGATTTGGCTACTTGGAGAAACTTCATCCTTCTGGAGGTTTGGACTAGTGGTAAACTCCTGTGATTCTAAAGCATTCCATAGCAGAATCCACTGATGATGACAAACTGAACCTTGGTGTTCCTGGATTAGTGGGAGGTGGTGAAAGGATTCTGTGGTAGTTCAGGTGTTCACAGCTCTCTTGCTTTTGACAGAATTTCTTAAGTATTTTTTTAAAAAGAATTTAAAAATTTAAAGCGAATTACCATATCATCTAGCAATTCTACTTGTGGGTACATACCTGAAAGAAATGCAAGTAACTTATCATAGAGATATATCCACACCCCTGTTCATAGCAGCACTATTCACAATATCCAAAAAGTAGAAACATCACAAGTGACCACTGAGGAAGTAATGTGGTGCAAATATACAATGGAAGATTATTTATCCTTAAAAGAAAGTAAATTTTGACACATGCTATGCCATGAATGAAATTTAAAGATATTAATGCAAAGTGAAATAAGACAGCCACAATCATACAAAATACTATGTGACTGGCTTATCTAAGGTACCTAGAAATACACAAGTTCATAGATATAGAAAATTTCTATGGGTTGTTATATGGGGGGTAGTCAGGAATAGGAGGAAATTGAGGATGGGTAGTTACTGTTTAATGATACAAAGTTCAGTTTTGCAAGATGAAAAGAGTTCTTGAGACAGTGATGTTTGTTGCATAATAATTTGAATGTAATTATGGATGCTAAAATATACACTCTAAATGATCAATATAGTTAATTTTGTTATGTATATATTATCACAATTAATAAAATATCATTTGTGTCTTAAAAAAAGTATTACTTGTATTATCTAGACATTAAAATAGAATGAGAATACTTAGTGTTTATTGAACAAAGCTACCCTGACAACTATAGTAAAATGAAGATGCAAAAGAGCATAAGGGAAGCCATTCATGGGGCATGTATTGGTGAAAAGCTGTGCCCTCAAATACTTCACTCCTTGCAATTCCTTTTTATAGGCATCACCTCCAGAATCTACTTGAAGTGGATGACACTGACTTCCATGAACTGTTTTCCTGTGAGTAATTTCTCCATTTTAGACAGAGTTATCCATGGGAAGGTGAGTCTGATCAAGCTGCTTGACCATGATCAGAACAATTTGCTTCCCCATTGCATCATCAAACTTTAATTTAAAAAGCCCCACTTTCTGTCCGTCCC